>NC_000008.11:35617678-35920708 GCF_000001405.40 Homo sapiens
CACCCCAGCTTAGCAGCTGCACCGTTCCCATTGCATGTAACTCAGATTCACTTGGTTCTATCAGTTAAGCTTCCAAGAAAAACATCCAACATTCAGAACTGAACAGCTGAGAATCCCCTGCTGTGGTGAATTTTGATTTAAATATAACTGAGTCTCTCTTGGCTCTGGCTTAACTGATTTGGAACTGTTCTTTTAATTGTTGATTCAGTATTGGCTTCCAGATCTGGCTGTCAGTCCTCTCAACAGATTCTCTCTATAGATGCATTTATTAATCATGTGCAATATTTCTCATCCTCTGTGGGCTGCCAGCACTGGCCCTTGTGAGTTACAAGTGATGGCTTAAACCTTAATTTCTGTGTGCAGGAAGTGTCAGGCTGACGATTCATATACTGGCTCAACAGCATCATTTGGAGATCACCTTCTAGAGGCAGCTCTGGCATGCTGCTGCAGGGAAACAAAAAACAGATCTGCATAATACCACCAGAACTTGACAAGAGCAGTCACTCTAGTTCATCAGTCATCTGTGGGCTTAGGCGATCAGTTTAATCTTTTTTTTCAACGCTGTTATCTAGGTACCAGTGGAGATGCCGTAGTTACAGTAACGGGATATTTTTAGAAGGATTATTAAATGATAATGCACATTGTACATTGGTCTGGGAAAGTCTGTCTTCTTAGAGCTTCCATTCTCAGTTTTAATTAACTCATAAGACTAATAGGCAATGTGAATTGGTGCTATAGATCGGTGATGGTAATGATAGATTTTTACAAAGGAATAATAAAAGCTAAAGAGAGAAAAGACTTCAAAGTAGAGATGGGAGCTGACAAATACTAGATTTTATTTATATGGCATTTCACTGAGTTGTGTGAACTGCCAAAATGACAGAATCCTCATTACTGATGATCATGGTTAGTTACCATACATTGAGGACCCACATGCCAGGCTTTCTCCTAGGTATTTAACTATGTGATTCTGTTGTATTCTTTCAGCTGAGTTAGGTACTTTATTATTTTTCATTGTACAGATGTGGTCATTGAAGCTTAGGTTAAGTAACTTCCCCAAAGTTTGTCAGATGGTAAGAGTCTAGTTCTCTTTGGTTTCAAAGCCTAAATCTTGCCACTACCTGACACTTTGTTAATTACTGCGTGCCATGAAGTTGCTGAGTAAGGAAATAGACATTATGGCAGGGTTGTGTCTTTCCTGTCTATTGTATCACATTACTCCCTGCCCCTCCACACCCCCATTGGTGCTGGGTCAACTTTATTGTACTTGAAATCAGAGCATGGTTCAAAGACAATTCATGGACAGCATCTTGCTTGATCTGCTACAGCTTTAATGTCTTACTACAGATTTCAATTTATTTAATAAATGCTTTCTTTGCCTCGGAGGATACAGTAATAAATGAGACATGGTCTGTTCCTGACAAGCTCAAGCATCCAACAAATGAAATAAATATGTAAATAAGCATCTAAAGTAGAGTGTGTTACTCATAATAATAATCATAACAGCATTAATATAGAAGGGATTTGATAACTTCTGTTGGCCAGGGTGATCAACCAAGACATTGCAGAATATAATTCCCATATAGGCTTTTGAAGTATGAATGAGCTCATTGTGGTGAGAGTTTGTACAGAACAGTCAAGAAGCAAGATCGGCATGGTCAAAAGCATGCAGGTATGAAATGGCATGGTTGCCCAGGAAGTTCAATTAGTTTCATTTTGAGAGCACCTAAGGCACAAGTGGGAGAATCACTGAAGCAGAGACTCTAGAAAATAGTCAGGCATTGGATCACAAAGTGTCTTGTCTTCCATCCTGAAAAAAAACTGGACTTTTCACTCGTAGGTGGTAGGGAGCCATTGAGCGACTTGCTTCTCAAGCTTTATGTGTCTGTCTGTCTGTTTCAGTGTCCATATTGTTTGTTATTTTAAGGAGCTGGTAATCCAGTTGCAACTGGGCAGCTGGTCAGAAGTTACAAATAGGTGTGATTTGTCTTTGCATCATTGTTGGAACTAACTTTTTACAAACTGTTTGTAAATGATTTCAGACTTGTATACAATCTTAAGAATCAGTAACTCTTAGAAGACACCTCCTTTTAGAATTGCTCTGCCAGATGCTGTGACCACAGTCCCCGGACTCCTTATCTTTAGCAAGTCCAGGTCTGTCTTTTCAAGCTCTTTTGTTCTTTCTACTGCACCTGTTGCACGGAGATTATGAGAGACAGTGTAGAGAGTGTAGATGCTTTGTATTCCTGATGTAGAGCAGTGTGGCCCAGCCCTAGCCTTGCTCTGCAGCCTGTAAGCATGACTGCCTCAACTCAGCTCATTCGCTCAGCACAGGTCCTCTAATGGGTGTCCTTGCCCTTCCCTCATTCAGAATAAAAGTAGCAACAAAAGAGGGGGTCAAAGATCTTCATGTCATTAGATGTCCCTGCACCATCCCTTCACCTCTGTATTCAACATGGACTTCCAGAACGATTTGACAAAGACTTTGAAGATTTCCTTTACCTCCTTTGTACTTGATCCACATTCTCCCTGAAACATGCTGAGATCCTTCCATTTACCAGTAACTTTGATCCCATTGGAGGCAGGTAGGAAACTCCGGCTTCTCGGGCTGTACCGAGTTGTTACAGTATTTCACTGAAGCCTGTGTTAAAGGCAAACAAAGGAGAGTTGAGTTTTGTCATCATTGTCTCCATGAGGCAGGACCAGGATCTTTTCATCCGTAGAATGTAGATAGCCCATCAAAGGTTCTTTGGTCCTGCAGTCTAAGGGGCTTTTGTGTTCTCTTGGATCACCTCTGCGACTCATCATGTGAAGTGAGTTTCTCCTCACATCAGACCCTTACCCCCACTGTTCCGATTACCCTTTGCATCTGCTTTTACCCTGTGTGCCTGTGTGCAGTTGGGTTTATTCAGTCAAGTCTCACTTAGGCAATTATGGTTTACCTTATCTCCTGTTTAGTGCTGGGACCATTTTAAGTGCTGAGACCATTATTTCTTTCATATGCCTGCTTTAAAATCTGAAAGTTAGTTCTAATTTACTTATGTTCTTAGGCCTAATTATGCTCTTATTATTGGGCTTTCATCCCTGAGTTTCCTAGTTTCTGTTGTCTTCCTGGCTCCCAAAAGCAATTGTGGATTCCTAAGGCAATTAAGGGCAGCTGCTATCAAAGACAGTCTTCTTTCCACCTTCTAGTCACCAGTCATTCAACACTGAAGACTCACTAAGACTTGGAGAAGCGTAAGATAGAGCAAGGATTCTCAGCCTTAACACTGTTGACGTTTGGGGTCGGATACTCCTTTATTCTGGGGAGCTTTCCTGTTCAGGGTACGATGTTGAGCAACATCCTTGGCCTCTACCCATTCCATGCTAGTAGACCCTACTTTCCCCCACTGGCCACATCCAGTTGTGACAACCAAAAATGTCAGCAGGCATTGCCAAATGTTATTCCTGGCTGAGAATCCTTGAGACTCTGTCTTCCTCTCAGGGAGCTTAGAATCTCATTAAGATGCTCTCTACAGCACCTCATACATTGGCTGTCATATAGCAGGTGCTTAATAATTTTTGTTTGAATTGAGTCCAGCATCAACAGATAGTCGTTAACATGTGCCTGTGAGCCCGGGATCACAGTGTAGGGAGTGAGTATCACGCCTCATCTCTCTCTATAACCATCCCATAGCAGAGTACCTAGCATGTACTAGGCACTCAGAAAATATATGTTGAAGGAATGCCTAATTGACAAGACTAGGCAAAAAGCTCAAATGGAATGATTATGTTAGGTTTGCTGATTAGTCAAGAGTTACATGTATTGGGTCATTGTGAGCTAGAATTCAAGGGATGAGGTGGATCCATATAAGAAGAGATAAATAAAGAGGAAGTCAATGAGGGAAGTATGGTGAAGGCTTAAGTTGTAGAATCTGCACCGTGGTCATTGTCTACACTCTGCCATTGGCTTCTCATTAAAAAAATGAAAATAAAAAAGATTGCAGAGCTTTGAACTGGTAGGTCAAAAATTCACACCATAGATGAATACCATCAGGCCACTACCCTGCAAAGGAACTCACCTCAGAGTAGAGAGCCTGCTAAAGCATATCAGATCCTAGAAGGTGCAGCATATTCCTGGAGCATGTGCCTGAGCCTTCAGTAGGGTGGTTTCTTCAAAATTCAATATGAACACACTTACCCTTGGCTCCACTTAATGTGGCTGAAGAGGAAATGGGACATGTCAAAGACAAGAGACCTGTGTTCTAGACTCCCTCCTCCACTTCAGAGCAAGGAAAGCTTAAATCTCTTGTTTTCTTAACTGGAGATACTACTGTTCCTACTTAAAAGGCAACAGGCTTGCAAAACGCAGTTGCATGAAGGCCCCTTAAAATCCTGAGAGGGGGCCGGGCGCGGTGGCTCACACCTGTAATCCCAGCACTTTGGGAGGCCAAGGCGGGTAGATCATGAAGTCAAGAGATCGAGACCATCCTGGCCAACATGGTGAAACCCCATCTCTACTAAAATTACAAAAATTAGCTGGGCGTGGTGGTGCACACCTTTAGTCCCAGCTACTCGAGAGGCTGAGGCAGGAGAATCGCTTGAACCTGGGAGGTGGAGGTTGCAGTGAGCCACAATCGCACCACTGCACTCCAGCCTGGCAACAGAGAGGGAGACTCTGTCTCAAAACAAACAAACAAACAAACAAAACAAACAAAAAACTCCTGAGAGGGAGACATTATTTATTATAAGCATATTGTTCAAGAGCATGGATCTTGATGCTATGAGTCAGGTAAGGGAGGGGTACAATCTAAGTTCCTCCTCTTGTTAGCTGTGTGTTAAGCTAATTCTATAACTTCTCTGAACATAAGGGTCTTCATATGAAAAAACAGAATAAAATGCCCTTAAGGATGCTTTGGAGATTAATTTAAATAAGATAATGTCTTTTTAACATATACCTTGGTTCTTGGCACATTAAATGTTTGTTGTTAGTAGTATTAGATAATAAAATCTAATAAGACTTTTTTTATGTTATTGTTTGTCCACAGCATTCCATTCACGTGTGGAAAAATAGTTCTGCTTCTGTGTTTATTCTCACCTTGTAATATGTTGTTGAAGTGAGGTCATGTTGAAATTTTCACTTATTCTTCTCTCTTCCTACAATAATTTGGTCAAACTGTTTACCTATCCTACTTAGCCTGTAATAGCTCATCCTATTCCAGTCAGAGCTAATGCATTCTTTCTGAATGATCATGATCTCTCTCAGTTTTAGGAGTGTAGCTACCGTTGAACTCATGTTTTCTCAGTGACAAAGCCATTTACTTTCATTGTAAAACAATGAAGAATGTGAACAACTTGATTTTGTCATTGCAAGTGCTCTGTACCAGTCAAGGTGGAACGTCTAGAATCAATATGACTAATGGATCCCAGCTCCTAGTGATAGAGTCAGCAAAAAGGATAAATTATCACTGCCTCTCTGTCTCTCGGATGGTAATTTCTTCTCCCTGTCCGATCTGATAGCCATCCTTGAGTTCTCTGCCACGGCTATCAGACCATTCCCATACCAAGCCTGGGGAGGACTTGGTCAATACATCCGGTGTGTCAAGCTTTGAGTCATTTTTATGTTTGTTTGTTCCCCTTATTACTTTCTTTGGCTGAGTAAAATCTCTATTACTTTGGGCTCAGGAACGGAAAATGTGCTATGAACACCCGCGGCGTACATTTTATTTTATTTTTATTATTTTTTGTGATGACTTCATTATTCCCTGTTGCCAAAGTTTTTGCCAAAATTGTTTTTCTCCCTTCCTCTCTTTTCAGCATCCTCTTTTCTGGCATCTCTGTTTATTTATTGCAGCCGCACAGAAGACGACCTTGCCATTGCATGGCCTCTCTCCCTCGGGGCCGCGAGTGGCTCCCAGATTTCTGGGTTTCATGAGCCAGTAAAAAGTCCCCTCTTCCCCTTCCCTAAGAAAAGGGATTAGACAAGTGTTGCCAACTTTTAATATTTTTTTCAGGGAAGGATTTTAATATAGAATAACAGCCATTTTTTAATAACCATTTTTTCATTTAGAAGCAGGCATTTAACAACATGCCATCTGATTTACACATTTTTAAATAAATTTGATTTTATAAAAATTTCATGGCCGGGCGCAGTGGCTCACGCCTGTAATCCCAGCACTTTGGGAGGCTGAGGCAGGCGGATCACAAGGGTAGGAGATCGAGACCATCCTGGCTAACACGGTGAAACCCCGTCTCTACTAAAGATACAAAAAATTAGCCGGACGTGGTGGTGGGCGCCTGTAGTCCCAGCTACTCTGGAGGCTGAGGCAGGAGAATGGCGTGAACCCGGGAGGCGGAGCTTGCGGTGAGCCGAAATTGTGCCACTGCACTCCAGCCTGGGCGACACAGCGAGACTCCACCTCAAAAAGAAAAAAAAATTCATTAGTCTTATTTTTCCTGTTTCTCTACAAAGCTAAAAAAGTCATCACAGATCACGCATGTTGTGAATGAATGATGTATGGCATTGATTTTAAAGATTAGTCATCTTCACTCACATAACACTAATGGATTACAGATGAGAAGAGTGCTGTATGGCGTATATAGTGGAAGCCACAATCTCTTTAGTTCTTTAATCAATACCTATGCAATCTTCTAATTTTTAAGAATATCTTTCCGCACAGTTAGTGTGTTTGCAGTGATAAACACCAGTGTTGCACAGGTGAAGATGACTGGTGTTTAAAAATTGATGTTGTTTATCCTTTATTCCCAACATGCATGACCTCTGATGATTATTTTATAATAGTCCCGTATTCGTCTTGCACATTCATGCACAAAAGGCCTGAGCTTTGGAATCAACAGAAAAGAATCCAAACCCTACTTCTGACAATCGTTGACCGAGTGGTCTCAGACAAGTTCTGCCTTACAAGCTGATATCCTTATTTACAGAAATTAAATAATAATGTCCATACCTCTGTCTTGTCCTAAGATTTAAATGATAGGTCTTTAAGAATGAGTGGCATACTACTTGACACATCATTTTAAGGGATACAGACACCTTTTCATGTTCCTTTCCACTTAACTACAGTTTCATTTTTTAAGGGGAAACTTAACCGGGGGCGTCTTACAACCATCCACAGCATCTCTCTAAATTAACAAATTGCTGTGCTTCTTCCCTCTCCACAGTCAGCCAGCTGCAGTGAGTCACATTTCACATATATATGTGACTACATAAACCTACTTGTTAATTCTTTAAAATAGGGCCTTTTCAATTACGGGAATGTTAATTATTATTAATCATCCCTTAATTATTGTAATCTGCTTCATGCTTATTTTGAACATGCATATGTGTGTGCATATGTGTGTATGAATCTGAGCCCAGTGGTCTATGAACTTCAGCGACCTGGTAGTCTTTTATCTGTTTTCTAATATCACCATTTCGTTTTCAGCCCTGACAGGGCATTCCGTTGTGATGAGCTGTACAGCTGCTTTATTCACAAACATAAACTTCCCTTGATTTTTGAGTGTTCTGCAGAGGTTGGTACAGTATTATAAAATATCTTTAAAACTCTATCACTTGAAAAAAAATGTTAGAAATGCGCCTTATAGGTGCTCTTTTATCAAATGTTTAACACAGGGTTTGGCACTTTAATGGGTTCCCCCTCGATGTTCTGGTGGATATCTACATAAACTCTGATGGTTTATTTACTACTGTAGATTTTAATGGAAATGTAAAATAATTTCTCTTCTGGGCAGTACTGATTTCATTGCAAACACATCAACAAAATGTGAAATTCACATAAAATGCAAAGTTGCAAGTATCACTAAAGCTGGGAGAGCCGTTGCTGCATATTTTAGATGGACTAGTGTATTTATGGTTTTTGTACACATACTGTAAAATGTAATGTGGCAGGATTGCTATATTGTAATAAAACAATGTGCTGCTTGCTGAAGAAAAAAAGGGGATGGTGAATTATTGCAGTCATTGTACCTTGTTTCCCATTACTGAAAATGGAGTATGATTATTAAATGCGTGCAGTGTGCATTTTACACACTTAGTTATAGATCTTGGTTTTTATGTGTGCCTAGAATATCAATATTTGCTTTACTTTTAAGGAACATTAGTTACAAATACAATAAGTGTGCTTCATTTTTCATTGAAGACTTACTGGCTTCAGTTCTCAAGTCAGAGTGTGCAATGTATGTCTCAATGATTATTGATCTAAAAACCCTGTTGAAAGTAAGCAAGACTGGTTTTGCAATAAGCAAACATTGTTGCTGCTGCTGCTGCTCTCTGAAACCCATGAAGCTGGAGTGAGAAGCAATAAATAAGAGTTTAATTAAATTGCTCCTTGGCAGATAGCAGGGCTGTCTTTCAGCTTTTGTTTAGAACCCTTGGGGTCTTTTTTCCCTCTTGATGTATGTGTAGCATTCTCATTAATGCTAATGGGAGCTCTATGCTGTAAAGGGGCAGCTGACCTCATGTTCCATTGTGTCTGCAAAATACCACATGGATTTCTCTCCCTGGGGCCACTCAGACTTTTTTTTTTTTTTTAAAGGTAAGGAAAGGAAATCAGCATCTAAGGAAGTCTCAATATATAAACTCTATATATTATTCTTAACGTACTTTACGAGTGCTAAAATCATAGTCAAAATATCCTGGAAACCCATAAAAATATCTATATGTATTTTGTATTTTGTATATGACTTAGTTTCATATTGTAATTATAACCAAAAAATTAAAATGCAGCCTCCCTTTGGAATTTAACTCTCTGATTAGCTATATGCATATATGAGATTATAGTGCTTGGTAAACCATGGAAACCATGCTCCTAGGCTAGAAATGAATGAAAATGATTAATTAGATTCTGTAAGGTGTTGCATTTATAGCAGGGCACACGTAGCCTTCAGCTTATTTGGGTTCAAAGCTGTCTGCAAGATACGAGTGCTTGAAAATGATTAAAGCAGAGCTAGCAAGGTACAATTTCCACTTGCTGTGTTGCTATTACTTTCCCTAGAGCACAGGCTGGGAATATATATCATCCAGGCATCCGCGTGCTCTTGCAAAAGAGATATTTCATTATGTCTTTGTATGAGTTCAAACATTTTCTGGATAATACTATCAAACAAACATACATATACATGTAGGGCCTAGTCTATATATGAAAACACCTTGCTGATACTTTTTTTTTTCTCCCAGGTATCTGGCTTGTTGGTACTGGAGATATATTCACTTACTAAAAATCTGTAGACTGGCTCATGTTATTGTCAATGTGAGAAGTAGCTGCTACCCCGAAGCAGAATAGTTTCTTTAACTAGCACTTTGGTGACTTTTCAGTACTGATAACCTAGTAAATGCTAACTCTTTATTCATAGAAACTAATTCCACCAACACCCATCTACTAAGAAATGGTTAAAAAGGCAACAATTTCATTAATTTTGCTAAATTAAGCACAAATGTGAACAAAATGTATTCAGGGATTTTAAACTTAAAACAGGGACAAGTAGGAAAAAGCTTTGCATAGGTTCCATTACATTAGCCTCTTCTTGCCTAATTCTTCTTATCAGCTTGAGACACACCCTCTAGAGTAAAATCCAATGACCTTTAAGGTAGAGTTCCAACTTCCGAACAATAACGTTCAGACATAATCATCTGGCTTAATTAATCTCGTAATTTCTGACCTAATTTGATTCATCATCCTGCAGTGACAGAGAATCAGGGGAGCTGCAGATTCTGAGCACACTCAGGGCATCTTTATTGTATTAATTTGTCACCATTCCTCTCATAGCAGTCATGCAGCCTTTTGCCCTGGTAAATAATTTATAGTATGTTGGTCTTCTTCTGTCTGAGAATGCAGCCATCTTTACTTAGCAAAATCCAGTCTTTTTGTTTCCATGGAAAATGACCCTAGACTTTTAAATATTCATCATTATAAGAAATTCCATGAGCCATTCCCCAGTTGACAGTACTGTTTTTAAAAAGAATAAAACTTGACTGGGCGCGGTGGCTCACGTCTGTAATCCCAGCACTTTGGGAGGCTGAGGTGGAAGGTTCACTTGAGCCTGGGAGCTTGACACCAGCCTGGGCAACATATTAGACCCCTGTCTCTCCAAAAAATAGAAAAATTAGCCAGGCGTGGTGGCACACACCGAGTCCCAGCTACTTGGAAGGCTGAGGCAGGAGGCTCTCTTGAGCCCAGGAGGTTGAGGCTGCATTGAGCTGTGGTTGTGCCACTACACTACCGCCTGGGTGACAGAGCGAGACTGTCTCAAAAAAGAAGAAAATTCTTCTGTTGTATTTACTCATCTAATGGGTTTAGATTTTTTTTGATTGGGGGTGTGGTTGAGGGAACAAGGTGTGCATTAGTCTGTATGTGATGGATAATACCATGTTTCATAGACCTAATCAATTGTAAAAATTACCATTATTTTATATAGCCCTTTAAGAAAGCTCTTTATTTATTTATTTACTTACTTACTTACTTACTTATTTTTTTTGAGACTGAGTCTCACTCTGTTGCTCAGGCTGGAGTGCAGTGGCATGATGTCAGTTTACTGCAACCTTCACCTCCCAGGTCCGACTGATTCTCGTGCCTCAGCTTCCCAAGTAGCTGGGATTACAGGCACCTGCCACCACACCCAGCCAATTTTTGTATTTTTATTAGAGACAGGGTTTCACCACGTTGGCCAGGCTTGTCTTGAATTCCTTACCTCAGGTGATCCACCCGCCTCAGCCTCCCAAAGTGCTAGGATTACAGGTGTGAGCCACTGTGCCCAGCCCAGAAAGCCCTTTTTAATGTTAAGATGTCATCAACTAAAAACACATCCTGCTTTTAAAGATGTTCATGTACAAAGTGTGCATAGATTTTTCAGAACCAGAGAAACAAGTACTGTTTTTACTCTTCTTCACTGACTTTTCTTCCTTTCCTTTTCTTAGTATTGAAACTTAAAACTTTGCAACTAGTCTGAAATGAATGTTTTCAGAAATGGATTAGGTATTAAATTACTAGGTACCACATAACCCAAGATAAGTTTTTCAGGTTCAGAAAGAAGGCAGGTTTCTGAAGGGTAAAAAGAAAAGCTTGTTAGCATAGACACTCTGAGCAGTTAGTTTAATGCTTATCATGGTATGAGACTTACTCTCAGTGATACACTAATTAGAGATTTCCAACAGTGTGGCCCCTTCTAGAAAATTTCTGTGTATCTCATAGAATTAGTGATTGTCAAATCTGGATAAAATTATAATAATTATATAGGCTTATCCAACCCCCTGATTATACAGATGAGCAAAATCAATCTCAAAATGAAAACAGTCAAATTCCTCTCTGGTGCTCTTTCCTCTGTGGGTATCTTTGATGCAGAGGAGGGGAGGGGCCCATGGAACAGTTTTATATGCAGAGTTTCTAATTCTTTGCCTTTCTGGTTTGCCATTATTCTCTCAAACCCCCAGTACTATTTCAGTAGCAAGCCTTTTTCTCCCCACCTAAATAATGGCAGCAATGTTTTGTGCTTTAAGTCCAAGAGTAGAAAGCTACTTAAACACAGACACTTTACTACATTTTAAATTGTTCATAATATCCATCCTGACTGGTGTAAGATGATATCTCAGTGTGGTTTTAATTTGCATTTCTCTGATGATTAGTGATGTTGAGCATTTTTTCATGTCTTTGTTGGCTGTTTGTATTTCTTCTTTTGAGAAATGTCTGTTCGTGTCCTTTGCCCAGTTTTTAATGGGTTTTTTTTTCTTGTTGAGTTGCATCTCAAGTGAACAAATTCAGCAACAGAAAATCAAATACTGCATTTTCTCAATGTAGTCGCTTGTAAGTAGGAGCTAAACATAAGGTATTCATGGACATAAAGATGGAAATAATAGACACTAGGACTCCAAAATGGGGGTAGGAGAGGGGAGGGAGTGTTGAAAAATAATCGATTCGGTGCAGTGTTCAATATTTGGGTGGTGGGTAGATTAAAAGCCCAATCCCCACCATTACACAATATACCCACGTAACAATCATGTACATGGATCCCCCAAATCTATAATTTAAAAAACATAGATGAATTCCTAAGTCATTCTGTAATTAGAGATATCTTTTAGTTTCACAAAAACAAATACAATTTCTAGAACACATCTTTAGCTTCTGTGTTATAATGTATTGTCTGTTTTTTACAATCTTAAATTATCCCCCCACCCCAGGTCGTAAAAGTATTGAGATCACTATAAATGAGTTAATGGTATGAGGCCTAGACCCAAAGTTGTATTGTAACTTACGGGTAACCCTAAGATTTTGTTTCCCCTGCTTTTGCATTTCCCCTTTATATTGAATTATTCATTTAGAATTCTTCCTTCCCTGGCAGTCTTTTTTATTTTACCTTAATAAAATAATTTCATTGATATTTACGCATGGAAAAGACTTTGTTTGGCAAATCTTTTATTGTCTGGACTGAAATTACTTAATCCAATGAAATAAGTTCAATAAATTGCTTCTTCCACAATAGATGAACTCTGGCCTTTTTTATACCGAACTTTACTTCTTGTAAGAAATGTTATGATGATAGTGGAATTTTGTTGGCAAAGGTTATATTTCAGCAACTTGGGCCATATACAAATACTCTTTTATCCAATGATCTACAACTGTTTTCCCTGTTTTCAATTGCTTTTTTATGATTAGTGTATTATCAGGGATTATTAGCCACTCATTTGAATTCTAAGCAGCCCTGATCTCAGAAAATAAGTCTTAATTCATGGATAGCTAACTATTCCTCTAACATTGCCTGAGTTGTCCGGACTGGCTATACCTGACGTAGAGGAAAATGCAAAGCTAAGGCTGGTTGGCAACTCAGAAGCAGTGGTGTCCTTTTCTCTCTCCGTGTGATTTCAAGCCAAGAATATTGTGACAGTGAAGTGTGTTTGACCCTGTTCTGGCTCTCTCCAGGGACCACATTGCAAATTCTTGTCTTGGGTAAATTTCCATGATTTTCTCAAGAATTTTAGGGCCGTACATACCCTCCAATCAAATTTTCCTTGCTCATCTAGTGATTCGTAAGGCGGGAAAAAGGCTGCTTAAATCTCCCCGCATCTACTTTGGCTAACTGGTTACAATGCTACCAAAGTTATTAATTCAGAGCCAGAATAATGTACTGGGGTGGGGGGGAATAGGCCAGAAGTTTGCAAACTTCATCCCTAATTTAAGCCATGCTTCTCCCAAGGGCACAATTTTGGGGCCCCAAGGATTCAAGATAGCACTTGGATGTCTCTGAGCACAGTGATCATCATTTGGGAATGAAAGTAGTTTCTCTAGACATTAAGACTAGGTTTTCTCCTTTGTGGAAACACAGAATGTTTGAGCTGAAAGGAGTCTTAAAAATCATTTGGCCTGGGCCGGGCACAGTGGCTCAAGCCTGTAATCCTAGCACTTTGGGAGGCCAAATAGGGCAGATTGCCTGAGCTCAGGAGTTCGAGACGAGCCTGGGCAACACGGTGAAACCCCATCTCTACCAAAATACAAATAATTAACTGGACATAGTGGTGTGTGCCTTGCAGTCCCAGCTACTGGGGAGACTGAGGCAGGAGAATGGCTTCAACCCAGGAGGCGGAGGTTTCAGTGAGCCGAGATCATGCCACTGCACTCCAGCCTGGGCAACAGAGTGAGACCCTGTCTCAAAAAAAAAAAAAATCATTTGGCCTGACTGCTTTGTTTTATAGAAGGCATGAAATGAGACTCAGAGAGGCCTGATGATTCACCCAGAGTCACACAGCTTGACATAGTTCTTCAGACTCCTGGTCAAATGTCCCTTCAACTGCACCATGCACTGCTGGGCAGTATCAGTTGTCCTTTGTTAGAAAGCTGTTGACCCAATTCTCTCAAATCAGTGGATGTCAAGCCTTATTTGTCTTTGTCACCACAGTCCACGTATGGACTTGGGAAATTAGAGTTTATTGAAGCAGAAAAGGGCCGAAGTTGCTCACTTCTCCAGCAAGTAGTCCGAACAGAGTAGATGAGTAAGGAACTTATTCTGATCTTACTGACAGCTCTTCTGCAATACATTTTGCTCCCTGGAACTCAGTTTCTTCACCCATAATATAAGGATATTGACCATAAGAATCCTTAGGTGGTCTGTTTTATAGGATTACAATATAGGGATTATTGAGAGTAGTTAGAGAGCTTTGGAATCTGCAGAGGTTTGTTCTTGCCCTTTCTTCAAAGCCTGTTTTAACATTACCTTGACTTACTTGTCTTATTATTTAATATGGTTCTATATTAGCCAGAACAATTAAGTGTTATGCATCATTTATCCAATACCCAAATGATCAGACAGGTTTCTCACTGGGGCACATGTAAGCATTTGCCCCGTGCATGCATCTGACATTGTCCACTGTCCAACAGGCTCATCACAAAGCCATGCTGTTCTTCCCCAGCTCAAGCACAGGAATCTATTGCATTTCAACAGAGCAAGCCTTCTTGCACTTAAGACCAAGAAGAGGTGAAACCAGTGTCAAATCTGTAGCTCTGCTGTCACTGGATATGCATTCATTTGGGGCAGAAAAGTTTCCATTTTTTCTATTTGGAGTGAAATTTGGGCATCTTTGCAACTCATGCTTACTTGTTGAGACATGAGTGAGGAAACTGCATTATTTAGAAAATGCATCCTTTAACCCAGCATTGATACCCTGCATAACCTGGAACTGCAAGTCTAGCTACTTTTGTTTTGTGTGTCCTGTGGGATGAAATGGAAATCTCTTATTTGTAATCACAATGATCACCATGGTTATGGAGGCTGAGGAAGGGGGCCTGGGCCCTTCTGGAGCTTGAGTGTCATTTGACCTCAAGCCGACCTGATTGTCCTCTGATACAGGTCACTTCTTTTCCAAAGGAATAAAAGAACATTCAACCAGCTGGGGCCTCATCCCTGTGCTGTTGCTGCTGCATGCGGAGGTAAGAGGAGAAATTGGATTTTCCTCTGAAGAGCACTTCCCTAAACCAGGGCTTACCTTTTTTTCTCTGTCTTGTTCACTGCAGAACAGTGCACATGGTCAGTCCAATGGCACACTTCCACCTCCCATGTGCCCACACTTGCGGACATTGTGCTCTTCTCAGATGTTACCACTTTACAGGCCAGAGGGGCTCAGGCAAGGAGAGGAGTCTAGGCTGGCCCACGAGGGTGTGTGGTCTAACCTGTTCCAGTCAGCCATCTCTTTTTCTCAGCTACTGACTACAGTTTCTTTGGAGCCCCTTTCCTGGTCCAAAACTACTCTTCACCTCCCTTGTTTCTGCAAACAACCTGCCCACAGGTTATCACCTCCTTTGGGCTTTAGCTTTAACAATCAGCTCCCTCCTACAGAAGAGAAGTCAGTTGTCAGGGACCAACTTGCACTCCAATAGTCTATGTCCCTGGTAATTTCCTCCATGTCAGGTTCATGGGGTCCCCTCTCTAAGGCTCTCTGCCTCCCCAATAGCACCCCTGACAGTATATAGCCTGCAGCCTTGCCACCTGCAATATTTCAGGGCTCCTTGACATCCTGTGCTCCCTTAGGATAGGACTTCTTGCGTAAAAGGTTGGTAACACAACTCTACAATGCTTAAGTAAATCAGCAGCATATCTCTACATGCTTGTTCACTTGCTGCCAGGTTACAATTTAAATACTCCCTTGGAGGTGTTCCCCTGTGTCTCATCTTTTTCTGATTTACAATGACCTTTTCTAAACCACAGCCAATAATTTTATAACCACACAACTTTCCAGTCTAATATTGAGCAATTTCTTTTAGCCTCTTTTTTTATGTGAGATTTTTTTTTAAAAAAAAATCCTTTTTTGTACAGGGCACGGTGGCTCACACCTGTAATCCTAACACTTCAGGAGGTCGAGGCGGGAGGATCTCTCAAGACCAGGAATTCAAGACCAACCTGGGCAACATAGTGAGACCTCATCTCTACAAAAAAAAAATTTTTTTTAAATTAGCAAGACATGGTGGCACATGCCTGTAATCCTAGCTACTTGGGAGGCTGAGGCAAGAGGATTGCTTGAGCCTGGGAGTTTGAGGTTACAGTGAGCTGTGATTGTACCATTGCACACCAGCTTAGATCGCAGATACAGCTTATAATATTCCTGGTCAGAATGACCAGGTCTGCAGTTTCCAGGACCTAATACAAACTTCTAGGATCGTGGAGGCTGAAGGAGTGGGCCCAGGCAGGGATGTGGTATCACAGAGCCTGAGCCAGGAATAAGGTGGAAAGTCACTTACCCAAGAATCCTATCTGTAGAGCTAAGAAAGGAATGCGAAAGATATAATCTTGGCAAGAAGCCGAATCAAAGCCCAGTCATTAGTCCAAACCATTCAGCTATTAGAATTTACAGAGAACACAAGCTTTGTAAAACCAAACCAAATAAAAAATACTGGCATTTGATTTTAACTTTATCACTCATTAGCCTGTGTGATCTTTAGGTTTCACATCGTAGTCCAGTTAATGTCTATCTCTGTAGGGTGTTGTTAACATTTAAAATCAGGATTATTTGGAAAACGGTTTGTAAACTCCAAAGTGAGATGAAAACCTTAGGCATTTTGTTTGCATTGCACTCTTAAGCATTTTTCCAGAATCACACAGAATTTCCATTCAATCAAGGCAAGTAAGCACGGCACACGCATTTTCCCTGAGAACCAGGTGGCTTGCACATTTTTACTTCTGTGTTAAACTGTAAACTAAACAAGGCAATGCACAAAGGAGTAGCAAAGGTTGCAGAATAGAAACACTATAGCAAAACACATCCCTACTAATGGGAGTGCTAAAATGAGAATGATTTGCATCCCAAGGTCCTCTGGTTCCAACTAGATAGCTCCTGTTAGAGCTTTGTGAATTCATTTCCTGGGCTGACAGTGACCTAAATGGATCTATTTGATAGAATTAGGAGCATTTAGAAGAAGCATACTGAATTTCAGGGTACAGAGAGACAAGTTATTTAGTTTTGAAAGGTTACAAATACTGATGCAGGGGGGAAAAAACAGACAATGGGATGGCACATATTGATTTTCAAGTGCTTTTTGTGCAATTATAAGGTAAATAAGGAAATAGTTCTTACAGTTGTTTTTCTCCCTCTGGATTTTTCTTTTCTTTTTTTTTTTTCTTTCCTTTTTTTTGAGACGGAGTTTCACTCTTGTTGCCTGGGCTGGAGTGCAATGGCAGGATCTTGGCTCACGGCAACCTCCGACTACCAGGTTCAAGTGATTCCTCTGCCTCAGCTCCTGAGTAGCTGGGATTACAGGCATGCACCACCATGCCTGGCTAAATTTTGTATTTTTAGCAGAGACGGGATTTCTCCACGTTGGTCAGGCTGGTCTTGAACTCCTGACCTCAGGCGATCCACCCGCCTTGGCCTCCCAAAGTGCTGGGATTACAAGCATGAGCCACTGTGCCCAGGTTGGATTTTTCTAAAAAGTTACACAAATTTGACACTGACTTCTTGGAAGAGTGCACTATTTTTTCTCTCTCTCTATCCTTCAGCACCGTAATATACATCGTGTTTTGGGGAGACTGTATCCCTTATTCTCTTCTTTCCTTGACTCTCCCTTTCCTCCTCCATGTCAGGTATCTCATTTTGAGTATTTGCACCAAGGCACCTCCTTTGGGGTACAATGATACTCCTATGTATTGATACCTCTCTTGCTGTCACTCAGCATCACCCACTATATTCATAGATGACACAGTCTTTTGACTTTGAAAGGGATGCACGTTTTGTCTTAACCCGTTAAGTGTTTGTCATCTGCTTTTCCTGTCACTTGTCCAAGGTCTACTCACCTATCCAGGAAACCAGCTCTGGCTTTGAAGCAGTTCAGCTCTTAATAAGAAGTTGAGCAGAAGTTATAATAACTCATTGCCTTGCCTGCTTGGAAAACATGATAATGCTCCTTCGTTGTAAGAAATCATTTTAACAACACTGACTGCTGGCAGTTCATTGATGAAGGCTATGTGAAACCTGCCATAAATAGCACATGCTGCATGTAGTAAAGGGTTCTTCTGTGTGGCATTTATTTATTTGTAATTTATACCCTGCCGGCTTTCACAAAAGGACTTGAGCAGGCTAACAATAAAAGACACATATACAATAAGGTTGTTATGTATGTAGAAACTAAAGATCAAAAATTGTATGGAAAGGAAAAGGGAAAAGAGTTACGTGTGTAGATTTTCCTTCCTCATCAAGGCAATAGGAGAAGATTATGTTTTCAGCCTTTCCTCTCTCAGACTCACTGAGGTGTGCTGAAAAGTGGCATGCACTTCATCCCTCACGGAAACCAAATAAGTAAAATTATGGTGGTCATAGGGGAGGAAACTATTGAGGAAGAAGGAAGCAGAAATCTCGGGAGATCTTATTTTTGGCTGAGAGGTGGTATAGAAGGAGGGCCATACAATGGCACAACCTCAGAGTGATTATATTTTTGCTCATCATTAAGAGTTCTGATTATCTGCTGCCGAATTCTATATTGCACATGCTTGTGATTATGCAGGAGGTACTGATTTTCTTCTGCATTCATTTGTATAAATCAATTTCATAGAGCAAGGAAAGAAAGCAAACGGGGTCGAATGATGGGTTTTGTACCTACCGGTAATAGTTTCTAGTAACTAAGCATCTGTCATAAAGGAGATGGTCAATGGCCTAAAATTAAACAACAAAAGGTTATTTTCTTTTAACTTAGGTCAGGTTTTCTCAACCTCAGCATTTCAGGCCTGGTAATTATTTGTCCCGGAGGCTATCCTGTGAATTATGGGTGTTTGGCAGCATCCCTGAGCTGTACCCACTGGGTGCCTGTAGAACTCCCTGATGCCCCTTTAGTTGTGCCAAACTGAAGTTTCTCCAGACATTGCCAAATGTTCCCCTAGCATGGAGATACCATTGCTCCCAGTATAGTTACTGATTTAGGTAAAGAGTCTAAGAACTTGCCAGTATACAGACTGCCTCACAGAGCAGGAGACTCCACAGATCCCTCCTGGCCCTGTCTTCCCCAGTGAGGGATCCATCACTCACAGAAAAGTGCTGGGGGATGGGGTAGGGGAGACTCCCTCATCAGGCCTCCAGAGGCATATCCTTCCTTTCTGTTCTCACAAGGTTGTTGTATATCCTGCCCATCCAAACATTTTGGAGAATCTGGATGCATTTCTGCTAACTAAACAGATACAAGTAACCCCAGTAACATTCAAAATAATCCCAGCAATGTTGCTGTGTGTTTGCTCTGGCAGTGGGTAAGTCAAAAGGCAGTTTTACAGGCTGTTGCCTAGTGAGACCAGGACTTCGAGTCTGCCTGAAGTCTGTTTCTGCAGACATTCTGACTGCCCGTCAAATAACTCTAATAAACCCTTTCTCATGTCTCACTTCCAATGAGGATGAAATGTTTGCAAAATAAAAAGCTGAACTTCCTTATGATCATGCCCAGGAACATAGTACAATTCATTGCTATTAGTTTTCCAAGTAGAGGTGCAATCACCAGTTTCCTAAAGTGGTTCCTAATTATTAGCACACATTGTTTCTGTGTAAAGCCCATAAACAGGTTTGTACTCTGAGAAATTTACCTTTTTTGTCTTATTTTTCTGCTTTTGTCTTTTTAAAAAAGTAATCACACTTTTCCTTTGTGATAGGGTCACAAAGAGACTCTAGCACAACTAGGATCAATTGTCATACCAATCAAAAATATTAATTTAGGTTTCATGTGGAAGCTAAGCTTCTCAGGTGCATAGGTTACATTCATTTATATGTAGTTTTACTTCACCTCCCATCTAAAATCTCCGAAGTACTTGTGGTGTAGCCCTTTTATCTTTATAATACACCTGTAAAATGGAGAGAAAGCCAGTCATAATGAGCCCATTTTAGGGATGGATGTGAAATACGGGAACAGAGTTCACGTTTTCATGAGGCCTCTCTAATGGGTATGAGAGTAGTCTTGAGTAGGAAAGTATCCATATAGTAAATTGGTGAAATGAACACATGGCCATCATATTAACTGCAGAATTAAACACAGGTCATCATATCTTAACAGGAGGATTCAGCCTGCTCTGTTTGCATTGCCATCTCTTGGTACTAATGGGAATTTTCCACATGTTTAAATCAAAAGGAAAAATAAAATGGGGTGCTCCATTTCCAAAGAGAGGACTTCTCCATTCTTGCATGATAATGAGGATGCTTTCAAGAGACACTCAGTCTCTGATATTATTCAACAGCTGTTTTTTGAAATGTGAGTTTTGCTGACCTTGCTCTTCAGTCCCCATGTGCCGGCCAACATACAACATGATAGACCAGGTCAGTCTATTATGTTTCTGATTCTGGACTAGCTGTCACTCTCAGCCCTGGGTATCTTAAGAAGGATGGCAAGGGAAAACTGAAAAAGCCTGTGGTGTGTTCTTTTATGGAATCTTTTCTTCATACATTTTATTTCAAGAGCCAATTAGAGATTTTCATACTTTTTCCATCTTTAAGAAAAGGCAATTATTTGCTTTTAAAATTCACAATAGTGAAAGAAGACATGTCACCTATACTTCCTGTACATATTTTTTTGAGAACAAACACTTGTCTCATAGTGATGAAATCATTACGCATAGTAACTTAAATACTATGCTTTCAGAAGGAAGGTAATCGGAATCAACTAAAATTGGAGCGGTGTTTGGCAGGTGAAGACTCTTTTAAATACAGTAAGAATTTCCTGAATGAGAACTTAATGCCTACAGAAGTATCTGGCACAAATTAATATGCACTTTTCCTAAATGAAAGACAACTAGAAGAGGGGACTATATGATCTATATTTTTCAATTTTTATTATTACTTTTTTTATGTGTAGTTGTTTGCCCTCTAACAAGATAAGGATTAAGATTTAACATAATTTGGCAAGGCTTGGTGGCTCACACCTGTAATCCTAGTGCCTTAGGAGGCCAGGGAGGGAGGAATGCTTGAGGCCAGGAATTTGAGCCAGCCTAGGCAACATACTGAGACCTCATCTCTATAAAAAAAAATAAAAAATTAGAGTGTATGATGACATGCACCTACAGTCCTAGCTACTCAGGAAGCTGAGCTGAGCTGGGAGGATTGTTCAAGCCCAGATGTTGGAGGTGATAGTGAGCCGTGATCCTGCCACTGCACTCCAGCCTGGGTGATAAAGCAATACCCTGTCTCTTTAAAAAAAAAGTGACATAAATTATCCTGAGACTAGCCTCAGTCACAGTATGAAGAGTAGATGAAAAGAACTAAAATAAACTCTTTATTCATATTGAAACTTAGTTAAGACTTTGGTAAAAGCAACTGAAGCCAAATAAGTTATACCTACATTGGTTCATTTCATTTTTCTAACATTTGTTAAGTCTTCTGTAGGCCAGATTCAGGAAAAGATGCTACAGATACCATAGTTAAGTATATCTTTCCCACACTGAATTGTGTACCCAAAGCAAACCTCAACAGTAAGGGAAAATGAATATTGTTCGGATATGATTGGATTCTGTGTAGGAGAGAAATAAATAGAAATCCAAGAATGATGGTGAATGAGATCCCAGGACCATGTCCACTCAAAGGCCTGTGCAACAGCACAAGAGGGTGGGTAGCCCTATGTGGAACCAAGGGGCAGGGCGACCAGGAAAGGACATCTCAAAAAGAAGGTGGAACTGACAGGTTGCCTGATTTATTTGCTCATATTGAGTGGTTTACAGTTCTTTAGGAGATTTGGTATAAAAATTGCCTTCACCAAAAATTAATTCAATTGTTAACTATAGGGAAAAAAAGTTGTCAAGATAGAAGAGTAATCATAGCATATTGCTTTCATATTTTGAAAGCAAACAATGGCAAATAGTCATAATATGGTGAATTTAATCAAACGTAATATATTTATTACATTGGCAGGATGATTATAGAAAATATGTTTCTGCGGGGTACTGTAATATTAAATCTTAATCCTTAATATGGGAAACAGATAATTACTAATATCTGAAAGCCAATTAATAACTATAAACACATATTACCTTAATTTTAAAATATTGATATAAATTCTGGAAGATAAAACTCAAGAGTAGGGAGCAGTGGGAGAAAAGAACTACTTATTTTCATTAGAAGTCACATAAAGTATTTTGACTTCTTTTTTCTTTTTTTAAGACAAGGTCTTGCTGTGTCATCCAGGCTGAAGAGCAGTGGTGTGATCTCAGCTCACTGCAACCTCTGCCTCTTGAGCTCAAGCAATCCTTCCACCTATAGGCATGCACCCCCATGCCTGGCTATTTTTTTTTTAAATTTTTTGTAGTGATGAGGTCTCATTTATTGCCCAGTCTGGTCTTAAACTCCTGCCCATAAGCGATCGTCCTGCCTCAGACCCCCAAAGTATTGGGATTACAGCCATGAGCCACTGTGCCTGGCCTATTTCACTTTTTAAATAATGTACAAGCACATGGTCCATTTCATTTATTTGAAAAATATTTAAGATGTGTCCTATTGGTCTTCATAAAATTTTAATTTTTTTTTAATGAAAGCAAAAAGAGTGATTTCTGCTAATTGCGAAACCCCAGTTTCTGCTTACACTTTAATTCCTACTTTGTATGTAACAACGTTAAACCCAAGCTAGGCCAAATATTTTCCTGCTCTCAAGGTTTCTTGGTTGCACAAAATGAAGGGTTCATTCATGCCCTGTCCTTGAACTTTTCATATCCTGATCAGATTGTGATTCATCCACTCAGGATTGTGGCATGAAAGTAAACAGCCCTTCAAGAAATCATGTACCCATAATAATGGAACTCAGAATAATGTAACCCAAAATAATGTAGCTTGTGGTCAAAACTACTTTTTGCTTTCTTGATATGATGTTACGTAGACTGGGTATCTCACAGTCAGATTCTGGAGTTTGAAGGGATGATATAAAGCTGTCTGGAGTAACTCCACATGAGCAAGAAGATTTGATGGTAAGAATCACAGACATCTCCCATTATTACAGTCCTGCCTTGAGAAAGGTAATCTAGCAGGATGACGCAGTGGAAGATTAAGGTAAAAATTCCTGATTTCAAATCACAATTATATTTTTCAAAATCTAAATTCCCTGAAAACGCAGAGATGTTTTTCACAGTTGTAATTTTAAGTGTCATGTCTTTTGAATTCGGATCTATTTACATTGTCTATGAAGTAGACTATGATTTTTAAAATATGGCTAAGTCCAGCTATACAAAGAAAAGAATGTTTTCTTTGAAATCAATTTTTTAGAAAATTGTTAGTTTTCTTCAGTCATTTAAACGTAACTCTCTGTCCTCTTCTTCCTCTTCCTCCTCCTCTCCTCTCTCTCTCTCTTTCTAATAGTTCTCTGAAATGTAACTTCAGCCCATTAGAGAACATCCCTTTTCTTGGTTTCTTTCTATTTATAAGACAGCTTTTTTAGAGATAAGAAATTCGATTAGATTTGGGCCCAATCAAAGCCTAGAACTATAAGTTGTTTAATAGAGACATTCACAAAACATAGATTAGGGTTAAGAAATTTCCCAAAGGCACAAGGATCTCACATTTCTGGAAGCTGTGTATATATGAATATGACTAATGAGCAGAATTTTTTCCTGTGTTGATATTCATCTCCTCATTTGATACGAAGGCAAAGTCTACTAAACACTATTTTACAGCTGCCAAAAGCTTCTAATCATTCAATCTCGTTTCAATTTTAGGGCAGCAGGATTGTGGCTGTATGATGTATCTCACTGCCAAACAAGAAAAAAAAATAAAGCAAAAAAAAAAAAAAAAAAAGAAAAAAAAAAACAGCATCTACAACATTTGAGAACTCATAGGTCCACAGGGATGGGGTGTCTGATCAGATCTTTGCCAACTGTTTAAGTGGATGGCCTGCAAGGACATAATTATCTTTCTCTTGGTGAGAATACATAGAGCCTTCATTTAGCCTTCATTAGACATTGAGTCATATTCTACAATTTGTAATATTTTATGACAGTCATCAAGTATGACTATGTTAGCCATCAGTCATAAATACAATATAATATGTATTCTGTATCATCTCATGGATAGAAAGAAAAGGATAAACTGAGCCTCAAATTCTTGGGCTGTGTTCACAGGACCTGTGCAAAAATACGGCTTTTTCAAAGTAGCTTGGGAAAATAGGAGTGTAGGACATCTTAATAGATTGACCTTGAAAACAATATATTTATTTCAAACTCCAGGTTCAAAGATCCCAATTGCAAGTGCTGTCTTAAGATTGTTATAATCCTAAATAAAAAGGGCTGGCACAATTATAGCTCCTTATTTCTCCAGGTTCTTGCTTAGGTATGGATGGTGGTACCATCTCACTATTGAATACCCTGAAAATTCTCTCAAACACTCCAAGACATTTGGTTATGAACAGGGAGCTAAAATCTCTCTTAAAGAGCATTGCCATTAGTCAGTTGATACTTATAGTGTGAGACTTGGAACCTCCCCCTGCCTCTCTGACCTGAGGAATAACTTTTTCCCTGCGTGAGATTCTGCACCTCCACCTAGAGTTTATCTTACACTCCCTGATCTATGAAAGCAGCAAATCTTAATCCAGTATTCACACATTCATACGATCAGAATTAACTGGGGTGCTGCTGCCTGTCACCTCATTTTATAGCTGTGAAATTAGCCACATTATCTGTGGGACATGGGTGTTAAAGCAGTGGTTCAATCCCAGGCCTTGGGATCAAGAGCTTTTTTCCTCTTTTACAGTACCTTTTTTCTTTGCCCATATTTTACTTACAGTATATCTGGTATCATATTCTTGAGGTTTTCAGGACTCTGATTGCAAACAAATAGCAACAACATGATACAATTTTTTTTAGAGGTTTTTCTGTCCTCTCTCTTACCCAAGTCTGAACCCTGAGACAAACCATAGTCATATATCTAAGTTTACACTCAGGCTTTAAGTAGGGGGTTAATTTTTTCTCTGATAAACCGAGTTGCACTGGCCATGGGTGCTTTTCTGAAGCCTGCGAAATCCGAATCAGGGCAGCCTACCCATCAAATCAATCTGGAGATGGGGCAGATCAGCAGATTGCTTTCCTAGCTGGGTTCCTGGCTAATCTTAAGGCTTTTGCTAAATTTAATTAGCACATACTGCAAAGATTACTAGGAAGTATTGTTTTGTGGCCCGGTACAGATTTAATTTTGATGAGACTTTAAGCTCCTAGAAGACATTTTAATGATGTCCTAAGCACACAGTAAGATGCAATTTTGTGATAATTACAAAATACATTTCCCCTTCTTTTTAGTTACAAGATTGTTTTTCCCTTCTCCCCAACCCACCCCAGATAGAGTAAAGCAAACAGGTCTTTTGTTGAACAGTGTTAATGCCCACGGAGCAGGCTTAGAAACATGCTAGGAAGACATCCTTAACAAAAGGGACAGGCCAGCTTCTGGTCACCCTGCTGTTTCTTGTCTATAGGAGAAGTGAGAGTTACTCTCCCTGATTCATGGCTTCTCAGCCTCGGCACTGTTGGCATTTTGGTCCAGAGAAGTCTTTGTTGTGGGGGGGCTGTCCTGTGCATGGTAGATGTTTAGTGGGATCCGTGGCCTCCACCCAATAGGCACCACTTAGTCCTGCTTTCCAATTGTGACAGCCAAATATGTCTCCAGACATTGCCAGATGTTCCCTGGAGGAAAAAGTCGCCCTTGGTTGAGAACCACCACCCTAATTCTGTCCTCATCTCGCCTCTCCTCCTTTTTGCAGCCCATCTCTGTTTTAAAAGCTCTGCAATTGAGATTTTTTTGGTGATCTCGGCTTACTGCAACCTCTGCCTCCTGGGTTCAAGCATTTCCCCTGTCTCAGCCTCCTGAGTAGCTGGGACTACAGGCACATGCCACCACCCCCAGCTAATTTTTGTATTTTTAGTAGAGATGGGGTTTCACCATATTAGTATTTTTAGTAGAGACAGGGTTTATATTGTATTTTTAGCAGAGACAGCGTTCCACCATATTAGTCCGGCTGATCTCGAACTCCTGACCTTAAATGATCCACCCACCTGGGCCTCCCAAAGTGCTGGGATTACAGGTGTGAGCCACTGGCCTGGGCTGCAGTTGAGATTTAAAAATCAGATCAGTCCTTGCATGACTTCAGAGTCACTTAGTGGCTTCTAAATGTCTAAAAAATGTTTTAGGATGCTAATGGTTCAGGAAGGACAATGGAGTAGGCGATGAAATCTGGAGAGGTTGTTTTACCATTTTAATTAAGCCCTATCAACAAAACTAGAGGTATGATTAAAAAATAAATCCCTGCTCTTCATCAGTCTCAGGGCCTGAGAGCTTCATTATCCTCCAAGCTGAGATGAAGCCCCCCATTTTCCCCATAATACTTACACCTACACAAAACAAGTAGAGAACAATAAAGCTGTTGGGGATATTGAGCCATCGGCTATGTTTCTCACCAGCTTAATTCTTCACTCCTGCCACAGTTTCACTATGCACATTTCACATTTGTCCTCCTACAAAATTCTAAATCATCATGTATTGCGGACATTTGTAATTGCTAACAAATAGTAATAGTCAAAAGTCCAGGCTCTACTGGGTTAAAATTAAGGCTTATATAGAGTTAGGGTTTTTGATCTCCTGATCCTTTTTCAGTAAGTGGGAAGGGAGGGTTGAGACAGAAGTGGTTAACAGAGAAATGGGTAACAGGAATCCCATAGGACAATTGTATACCTGTTGGTGGCCATGCTTTGAGCACTTAAAGCCCTTTTTTCTTATTAACACAGCTGATGTCACAAGTCTATCCACAGGGGACCAAGATGTTTGCCTTTGCTGTAGCTTAGTCGATTTCTGCTGATTCAACATTTTCCCTGTCCTCTATTCCTCCAGTTATTTATAAGACCCTGAGAATTAAAGTTCATCGTAGTCCCAGAATGAAAAGCTTCTCATCACCTTTAGTTCCTGCATCCACAATCTAGCACCATTTTGATCAGTTTTAAAGATCTCTGGGCTGATTATATCAGACTGAAAATAACTGAGGGAACACTCAGAGTGCTCACTTTGTAACCATCATGCAGGTTGTCTGCAGCTCACAAGCCTGTCTTGCCTTCATTGATATAGAACACCTTGGATTATATTTTAAAAATGTATAACATTTTCTCCTTTCATGTGAAAGTTCTTTTCTGATCATCTTAAAGAGTTGTGGCTCATCACATTTTTGCCCAATTAGTAGAGAGACCACATGAAATCACTAAAAGAGTTAGATGTTTATGTCTAGGATTTTCATTGACATAGACACATATCAAAAAGTGAGACTTGGAGCACTCGGACAATGGTAGAATTCTGATATTGATTCTTTTATAATATAGCTGATATAATCATGTCTAGGGACTCTAAATAAAGGTCTTTGTCTTCGTATACCACTGATCTGATTTGAGCAATCTAACAATCCAGACAATCATAGCGACTTTTGGGCAGGGCGGTTGCAATGTCCTTTAGCTGTGCTTAATGCTTCCTACTCTGGCACAGTGAGAGTTCACACACGCAGATTACAACATGTCCATCTACCCACTCCATCTTTCTGCACTGGTCTGATTTAGCTGTCTTCATATGTGTCTCTTTCAGGTACCTTGGAAACCTCAGACAAGCTTCCCTGAACTAGATGCACAGGGGAATTACTTTCAAATGGGTGACAGATCCCTAATTTGGGCATTATTTACTGTTTTGCAGGAAGCTGAAGCAGCAGCCTGGTTGCTCTGATTAATTAATTATTGAATCCATTGGCGTGCATTGTGTTCTATTAGAAAGAAGCAGACAAGCTGCCCAGCTTGCAATTTTAGCCTCTGGAAAATCTTTTAGCAAAATAATGCAATAAAGCTAAAGAAAAACTGCATACAAATAATAAGATTACTTGAACCCACTTGCAACATTTTTCTATCGTATATATGTGTGTGTGCTGTGTGTGTGTGTGTGTGTGTGTGTGTGAATTCTCTCTTGTTTCTAGTACTCCAACCCTTCTTCCCAGCTTATGTAATCTAAGTGAAGTGTTTTTCCTGGGTGGAAAATTGAGACTCACTTTCCTGCTGTAGCATTATGCAAAGGTCTTTGAACTAGGCTGCTTTCAAGTAGATATAGGCATTTTTCAGAGAATATAAAATGGCAGGGCAAAGGAATTTTGCTATTATCTTGAGGGTATTGTTCTCTTTCCTGCCATTCTAGACACTTGCTGGTCAAGGTCCAGATGGATGAGACATATATGTCAAAGAATGATAAAACCTAAACTTGCACCCTTTCTCTTGAGCTCCTGGTCCTTGATAGGAGTGAAGTCTGTGTGTGTTCCTTTAGATTACACACACACACACACACTCCTTTACTCAAAAGATTATGCAAAGGATTCCCACATTAAACTAATATTTCTATCTGTTAAGTTCAGCAGAGACTGTCAACCCAGGAAGTGATGTAAATGATGCGAAAATAATCAACCAAAGAAATGGATTAGAATAATATCAATTAAGCAATGTTTTTATATAATGTAGCTCATTGGCATGCAATTTAGTAGATTTAACACTTTCTGAGCACTTATTGTGTTGTCATTTTGCTAGGTTGGAGAAAGGCAGAGAAAACATAATCTCTGCTTTCAGCTTGCAGATTACTAGGTGATAGGTGAGGTGGAATCAAAGGAGAAAAACACTATGCTTTTTTTCTACAACATTAAAACATTCTTCATGAAAGTGCTGAGATGGCAGAAATTGTTTGACTCAAGAAAGACGTTTATGGAGTAAAGCACAGGGAGAACATTGAAGAACATTGGAAGGCAGTCAGGAGCTGATTAAAATCAGCTCATTTTTGCCTGTCCCTATTTCTTTCTGATTTCATCTTTAGTTTGGATATCATTACCAGTACACTGCCTCAACCCAGTCCTGAAATACCCAGGATTATGGAAACATGGGCTCCTGTGTCATGTTTGATATTTGTCTGTAATGCTCTAGGAAATAAAAACAATTTAAATGACAGATGATTTATAGTACTTAAAGCTTAATACTTCTTAATACCTCTCCCTATGCTCCAGACACGGGTATATATAAATGTGTATCTGTAATAAAAAGATAGATAGATTCCAAAATTATAGCAATGATTATCCCTAAATGATGGGATCACTGATGATTATTATTTGTCTTTATTTTGTGCCTTTTAATCATAAATATGTTTCCAGTGAAAAAGAGCAGTATTAATTTTGAAAGAATTTTAAAAGAATAACTCTGACTTAATATATTTAATGTATATTTGCTTAGGTGAAAATGGGATGTCGCTGTTGATATACTGTATTTTTCTAGCCTAACAGACTCAATGATTACTTGCTTGTGGTTAGTATTCACCAAGCCTTACCACCTAAAGGTAACACATTTGTTAACCAATAATTGTATTTCCTCAAACATAGATACAGCATTGAGTTCAAACACTTATTCCCAGTCCAAATAGGAGGATGATTCATTAGCAGATCTTAATGATGTTTCTATCTGTTTGACTTCACCTGCATCTTATAAACAAAACAAAACAAATGTATTCTTTGAAAGAAACTGTTTATCAAAAGAAAATGTCTTGTGTCTGAGCCTTCCTAGTTAGCTGTAACTCTGAACATAATCACATCTAGTCTCCATTACTTTTACACATAGAGCAGAGCTATTCAACTTGCTGCTGTAATCAAGAATAAGGACCACACAAACCAGCAGTGGAAAACAATTTATTTCTTTAGGCTATGGTACATTTATCAAGATGCTTTGTTATTTTAAAAATCCTGATTTGGAGCTCCTGTGTATTTGTGTGTGTGTGTGTGTGTGTGTGTGTGTGATGCTTATGTGGTTGTGTACAATTATATGTCTTTAGGAACACCCAGAATTATACAAGCATTACATTTATTTCTTTTAATTTACTCAGTCTTTTTAATGCATAGTCTTCATGTTAGGGAATAGGAGCTATGCAAGGAGGAGTTTACTGGTTTATAGCATTAGGTTTCTATGAATATTGTGTAGATTCTAATCTCTGAAATGACTGCTATATAGACAAATGCTCTCTTAGCAGATAACACAAAAATACAATCACCAGTATTCTTATCTACAATGGTCCTTTGTACGGTTTATCTAATGGCAATGTGCCAGCACTTCCTGGTTAATTATAAATGAAGACAAACTAGAAATAATTATAGGGAGTGGTTTTGGGCTTCTTTTATCTTTTAATCTAGATGCAAGAAATTTGCTTACATAAGCATGGTAGAAAGCAAGCCTGGGTGTTCCTCTACATTTTTACTTCCCAAGTTAGCAAGATAAAGTAGTATTCCAAAGACAACTCAGATAATTTGCTGTTCTCATTCCCATGAACTGTAGTCAAGGGATCTAGAGTTTCAGCAATAGTCAGGTCATTAATTTCTTACTAGAAAATAATTGAAGTCAACTGATGGCTACGCTGCACATCACTTAAAAGTGCACCACATATTCCTATAGGACAATCTGGAGTCCTCTGCAAACAGTGAATCATAATACAGCACCTGCAGGAAGGAAAACATGAGTGGGTGTTCCAAATAAAACTGGAAGTAAAAAGCCAAATACGCAGCTCATTTCTATAAAACGTGGTCTTGTATGTCCCATTATACTTATCTTTCTAGTACAAAATTACTATGTAATTATGTGGCCTGAATCCAGAAACAACCGTTTACCTTGCAGTAGTGTTCATTTTATGATTGTTAACATCATTAAAAAGTGGGACAGAGGTACCTGCTCCCACAATATCCTCACAGGCCTGAATGCTTAAAGAAATTAAAGCATTATCTCTGGCAGTACGTGGTGGCTTATGCCTGTAATCCCAGCACTTTGGGAGGCCAAGGTGGGCAGATCACCTGAGGTCAGGAGTTTGTGACCAGCCTGGCCAACATGATAAAACACTGTCTCTACTAAAAATACAAAAATTAGCCGGGTATGGTTGCAGGCACCTGCAATCCCAGCTATTCGGGAGGCTGAGGCTGGAGAATGGCTTGAACTTGGGAAGCAGAGGTTGCAGTGAGCTCACATTGCACCACTGAACTCCAGCCTGGTCAACAGAGTGAGAGTCCGTCTCAAAAAAAAAAAAAAAAAAAAAAAGGAGAGAGATCTCCAGCTCTTTCTAAAGAAGTCAATAGTGAGATAGTTTGCGAGGAACAAAATTTAAAGTGGCTACTCTTAGCAATGTACAAGTTGGGGTTCTGATAATGCAGTCACATGTTTGATCAATGGCATTCATTACACCAGGGTATGATATTGTGTCAAGGAAGTTCTTGGACAAGGTAAACACTGTAGAGCTAATAGATTATAATCTGAAATATCTAACACTGATTTAGGCATCCTTAAAAAGTACAAGCACCTATATAGGGTCTAGTAAGGCAATACAATGTCAAGAACAAAAATAATTAGAAGGAGATGGTACTTCACTTTTATTACATACTAAGATTTAGCTTATCTTTGAGATTATGTTCTTAGAAAAAGAAAAAATTAAAAGATTCCTGTTACATTTCCATGATCACATTTGTGACATTAGATTTCTAGAATCGTTGAAGGAGAATATTTCTGGAATGGAAGAAATTTTTCAATATAGAGGAACTATTATATGGACTAGGCAAGGGAAGTTGCGTACCTTCAACTCAGACCATGCAGACTGAGATTAAGAAAAGCAGGCAGGAGTGGCACTAAGAGATGGCATTGGTTGGCATCTGGAGTTCTACTCAGTTGCCCTGTCCTGATGGGCTTGATCCTGAGCCCTGATAAAAGCTTGGACTCTGGCCAGCACACTGGACTGTGAGATAGCCTGGCTGTAGCCAGCACTGGATGAAGAGTATGTTCATACTGAAGACCTTGAAGATTATCCAATGAGAATTTTACTTGACCTTCATGTAGAAGTCTGGACTCTAACGATTAATTTGAATGATTGCCTGTGATTGGCCTGAACTTACTGGCTCCTTTTCAATCAACACTATGAAGATGGAAACATAATAACCTGACCGTGGAGAAACCTGGAAAACACCACCTGAACCAAGTGACCAAGGTTAACATCACCAGTGGTATGTTAATTACATGAACTCCCTGATACAATAGGACATGATGATATGAGACATTCTTCTACATATTTGTAAACTTAGTCTAGTCATGGAAAAACATCAGACAAACTCAACTTTAGAGATTTTCTAGAAAGTACCTGACCAGTGCTCCTCAAGCCTGCCAAGGTTATGAAAAAACTAGGAAATACTTAGAAACAGACATAAAGCAGAAGAGCCTGGAGAAACCCGATGACTGAATCTACCGTAGTATTCTCGTCTCCATCCTGGAACAGAAAAAAGACATTGGTGTTACAAATGGTGAAATATGAATGAAGCCTGCAGTTTATTTAATAATCATGGGTCAGATGTTAATGTAATATGTTAACATCAGTGGAAACTAGATTGGTATATGAGGGTAGTGTATTGTCTTTGAAACCTTCAGGAAATCCAATTTTATTCCAAAATAAAAATGTGTATTGAAACTACAAAAAACAAACAAAAAACAAAAAACAAAAAACAAAACACCCCACAACCACTTAACCTGTATCAGAAAAATAATTCCATAGCTCCAGGAATATAGAATGGAGAATGGGTGATGACCGAGGCTCTGGCCTGCTCCGTCGTTGACTTGTTGTGAGCCTTGTTGATGTCGTCTTCCTCCTATTCTTATTTCTTCCTCTCTGAGGTCATATACTGTGGGTGTCAGGAGCCTCCCTTAGCCCTGAAGCAGTTTCTAATATGATAGACTGTACCAAGCAGGAGTATTTTACTCCTCCTTAATGATCACTACTGTGGATTACAAAGTGGGGAAACATTGCAGAAAGGAACTACTGTCTTTTTGTTTCTATTTTTGTTTTTTTGAGTTTCACTCTTGTCACCCAGGCTGGAGTGCAATGGTGCGATCTCGGCTCACTGCAACATTTGCCTCCTGAGTTCAAGTGATTCCCCTGCCTCAGCCTCCTGAGTAGCTGAGATTACAGGCATGTGCCACCATGCCCAGCTAATTTTTTTTTGTATTTTTAATAGAGATGGGGTTTTGCTATATTTGCCAGGCTGGTCTCAAACTTCTGACCTCAGGTGATCCGCCCACCTCGGCCTCCCAAAGTGCTGGGATTATAGGCATGAGCCACGGTGCCCAGCCAAGAACTGCTGTCTTTTTGATACAGTACTGGGCCAGTACAGAGAAGGCAGGGAGTGAGAATTTACATTACTATTACTCAGGAGCATCTTTACAAATCCTGATGGTTTTCAATGAGAATGAGATACCTTGTTAAGAAATAGGCATGTCTCATCTGTCCCATTAAGTCCTTTCAAAGTCTGGTAGTCTTCTTAGTCTGACAGATGTTTGGATCTGTGGTCATGTGACAGGCTTAGCTTATAGAATGTTCCTTGTCTATCAGAGATGATGGGATATTCATGGGGTCTGGCCCCCATTGTATTGCATGACATAACTGAGTTGGTGTTGTTTAAAGGAAAGAGCCCTGGGTGGAGAATAAAGACAGGCAATATTTATTTTTCTGATATCTGTGTATTATTAGCTAGGCCATTCTGGGTGGGACATGTTCCTTGAAAGCAGTATATGTGAATACGGCAGAAATTCCCTGGGGCCAGTCCAGACTGAAAGGTTGTATGTAAATACAGGGAACTAAAGGAAAAGAAGAAAAAGTGTGGTTCAAGGGAACCAAGATTAGAAGCTAAGAGTCAACATAAAAGATAAAAGGATGAAGGGAATGATGTAAGGAGTAAATGAATAAAAAGAGAGGTAAACACAGTTGAGAGAACAGAGCTAGCAGCAAAGTGAGAGAGGCCGAGATCAGACAGTTTGGAAAATTGTGGATTCTGAATGGGTGGCCTGAGCCAGATTGTACTTTAATCACAAATACAAAAGAGTATATGTAATTCATATTTTCAGCTTTAAAAAGAATAAGAAAATTCACAAAACAGTTTAAGAAATAAAACCCTGCTGGGTGAATTCGTGCTCCTGCAACCTCTCTCTTCCCCCACTAGAGAGAACCTCCATTTTGAAATGATTCCTTCACTTCTTCTGTAGCACTTTTTTAACCTTTCACTATATATAATGTATCCCCATTTAGTTTTGTCTAGTTTTGAATTTTGTATAGGTGAAACTACACTCTTCTGGGTCTTGCTTATTTCATGCAATTTTGTATGTTTGAGATTCATTTAAGTTAATGTGTATAATTCTAGTTCATGCTCACTGCTGTTTACTGTTTTGCTGTGTGACTAGATCACAGCATATGAAGTCATTCTGCTACTTAAGAAACTTTGGTTTGTATCCAGGTTTCAGATATGTACAAATGGTGCTTATCTTTCCTTTCTTGTGCACCCATCCTGGTGCCAATGTATAGGTGATTCTCTAGGCTACACACTAAAAAATAAGCCAAATCTCAGAGTTTGGGCATACCCTAACTTGCCTTGCCATGCCAAGTTGCTCTTATAGAAGTTGTTATATATGAGCGCTCACCAGCTGTGACTGATCCTTATAGCCTTGCATACACAATAATGCATTTATTTTCAAATTTCCGACTTTTTGAGAGTGAGCCAGAAGGCAAAATGTTATTTTATGATGGTTAAACTTGAACTTAAAGAGTCAACTAGTTCAAGGAAGATGGCTAAAAAAAACATAAAAACATTAATTGCTTTTCAAAGTCATCTACTTATTTTAGCAATTTTTAAAATATTTCCATCCATGTGTCAATTGCTATGTCTTGATTTTGCAAACTGAGACATTACTTACCATATTACTCATAGAAAATGAGGATGTACCTACTCTCATTTCATACGCATGTACTTCCCAGCCTCCCGTGTTCCCAAAACAGTTATAGGGAACTTCTGTTAGGTCATTATATGATAATTTATATTAGCATGAGTATATAAAAGCTATTCACAGATGAGTAAAGCATAGCATAATTACTTTTATTACAAATATTTTGTTTTCCCCAGAGAGAAATTATTATGAGTTTTTTTTTTTCATTTTGTTAGTTTTCTATGTGGTTATCACTCACTCCACCCCTAAAATTTTTGCCAGGTGTGAAAATCTTCTCTTTATATATTTAAACATATTAGATATTAAGTGTTGAGTACATGTTATCATCTTGAAGAAATCTTGCCTCTGGCTTTCTCATCTGCTTTTACGTGGACTTCTCTCTCTGTCTCTGGGGAGCCTGTATTCTCTTGATCTCACATGACTCTGACCTGAACTACTTCTTCTCCAACTTTTAAGATCCTCTTGTCTTTGGTGGTCTTCATTTTCACTACAAGTGAGGATTTTTTTTTTTTTTTTTTTTTTTTTTTTTGAGACAGAGTTTCACTCTCTTGCCAGGCAGGCTGCAGTGCAGTGGCACAATCTTGGCTTACTGCAACCTCCGCCTCCCAGTTTCAAGTGATTTTCCTGCCTTAGCCTCCTGCGTAGCTGGGAATACAGGCACATGCCACCACACCTGGCTAGTTTTTGTATTTTTAGTAAAGATGGGGTTTCATCATGTTGGCCAGGATAGTCTCGATCTCTTGACCTCATGATTCGCCCACTTCAGCCTCCCAAAGTTCTGGGATTACAGGCGTGAGCCACTGAGCATGGTTGAGGATATCTTTTTATTTGTCCACTTGGGATTCATTGGCCTTCTTCAGTCTGAGGATTGGTGTTATTAATTATAGTAAATTTCAACTATTTTTCAATGATACTTTTCCAACATTTTATATATCCTGTGTGAAAACTCAGACTAGACATATATTTGAGCCATGCTTCTCAAACCCTGGGCTACCAAAAAGTCATCTAAAGGGCTTCCTATAGCACAAATTTCTACAGCATGGTAGGTTCACGTTTGAGTCCTGAGAAAATGCTGATGCTAATGCTGTTTGTGGATCACCATACTGTGTCAGACCTTCTCATTCTGTTTTCACATGTCTGCTAGCCAGTTGCTCCTGTGCACAATCTTTTGTTTCTTTGTCTCTTGGTGCTACTTTGCATGTAATTTCTTGATATTTATGTGTCAGTTCACAAACTCTCCAACTATGTCAAATATTGTAGTTCTAAAGTGGAAGATAGATTAAACTACTGAATGTACATTTGAGTTTTAAATTTCATTAATTTTCATTTCTGTAAGTTCTATTTCAGTCTTTCCCAGTCATTTTTAATAGATGAATTTTAATGTGTTATACCTTCATACATTCTTTTATTTAAATATTCTGAAACTTTCATACTCTGTACTTGTTATAATATCATCAGTCTTTGCAAATCTGATACTTTGTTGTCTCTGCACATTCCTATTCATAAGACTTATTTCCTCATGTACTTAGTTACATTTTTTTTTAATAATAAGCTCATGCTTAACTGAGATTCATCTGCAGGAATTCTTTGTGGCCTATGCTTAGAATGTGTTTTTCTGGAGAGAATTTGTAAATTGTTTCTGCCAGGTACTTATGGACACTTCTTATCTGATAACCACTTAAATTTTCCCTGATATTTTTCCTATTATATGAATTTCCTTTTCTTTTTAATTTTTCTTATTTGAATACCTTTTGGGGTATAAGTGAGTTTTGGTTACATGGATAAATCCTGTAATGGTAAATTCTGAGATTTTAATGCATCTATCAATGAATTCTGACTTCACTTTTTGGAGAATAGACTTTGGGTGAAGAACTCTTGAGAAAGACGTTTGGTTTTCCCTGCTCCACTTTCAACACCAAGAAAAGCTAAGTTTTCTGTGGACAGGGCTTTTTCTAGTTCATGCTCTGTGAGTTATTGCTCTTTGTTGATACCTGTTTGGAACAGGGCTCCCTGATCTGATCTTCCACTCTACCTGAGTTCAGGCTTTGTCCCCTGTCTATACGCGTGGCTCACTACCCTGGGGTTTGGAGCACGGAGCAGTGGAAAATGCCTGCTCTTAGGCTCACTCACCCAGATCACTCCTTGAGAAGACTGGCTTTAAATTGTTTACTTTATCACCAGCCTGGCGATGCTTTTCAAAGTTGTTGGTTTTTTTTTCTTTTTTTCATGACATGCTTTATCTAACATTTTTAGTTATTCTGTACTAGTAAGATTTCTTTGCACATCTATTATATCATGTTTTCAGAACCAAAATTGTTAGCTTTTTCTTTCTTTTGGGAGGGATGGGGGGATTTTGACATACTTTCCATGACTTGAGTGGCTAACTTCAGTTAATATACTAGGTCAGAAATTAAAAATTAGTTGTGTGATTTCAAGTAACTTGTATCATTCTTCTGCCCCTGGTTTTCTCAGATCGAAAGCAAGGGGACTGAGCTAGATGGAGTCCCTTCTCTGAAGTCCTATGACTTGAGGGTGGTAAAAATGATGCACAGATGGAAAGTGGAAGACAGATGAAACTACAGAATGTACTAGGACATTGAACAGAAATAAGTGGCCTTGGACAATACACTTGCTTGTGAAATTCAGCCATTCAGTGTTTCTTTTCTCTAATATGAAAAATAGTAATAAAGTTATAGAATTTTCTTCCAACCTGCTTTGTGTAGGAAAATTTTAAAGGGTTTATTGGATTATAAATTGCTTTACATGCATACTAAACATGCTCAAGCTATCATTCTCTCTGTAATTAAGTTTTTCATAGTCATCTGGTTTTAGCCAATTACCACATGGGTATTAGTCAAAAATATTGCCGTCTTCTCTTATTGAGATAAAAGTCTCCTAGCTATATAACAAGTATTTGCACACATTGTCTTCTCAACTCACGACGCTAGGTAGATGCCCTTTGCTTTAGGGTATTTAATTGGTATCTAAGGAGTCATACTTAGAGATAATGAATGGGCTTTCTAACTAGCTCTCTAACTCCTTTTGTATTTCAGCTGCTCTATTAGAATGATATTGATCCTTTCTGCATTTATTCATAAGGAAAAGCAATCTGGTCATCATCTTAATAATAAACCTAGTTAGATATCAGAGATTCCCAAAGATAGATTTCATTCCTTCAATAACTTTCCAATTTAATTCAGGAGACAGGACTTATGAAAAAGTAGTTCATAATATAAGATTGAAGACACTAAGTCTTAGATGTATGGTATAGACAGCAAATGTTTTAGAAATTTTGAGGAGAATGGTAGAATAGCCAGATGGAGAAGAATCATTATAAGAAGGGCAGTCCTTTCAGACAGTATGGTGTGGGCAAGAGAGGGAGAGATGCCCACAGCCAAATTATAATAAACAGCTACAATGTGTAGGGTTTTGTCTAGAATTGGCCAGTTGTGCTAGATGTAACTTTGTAATTTAAGCAGTGCAAAGCTGGGCCAAATGTTAGTCATGTACTTATATAAAAACCTATCTGAATTTGCATGGGAATAATACTCAACTTGGGCACTATTAATATTAAATCTTTCTTTGTTCAGCAGAAGGAACATCGTAGTTTTTAATTATGCTTATGTAATCTGAGCTTTAGCCTCCCTCCCTCAAGAGTCACCCTGTTCTTCTTTATTTGGGAGAGATAGGATCTGTCTCACATCCACTCCTGAGTTATCTGCCTCTCCGCTGATAGGGAAGTGCCAGGCATCTCTTCCACAAACCACTGCTTACTTGGCTCCTGGCCTCCTGAGATTTCCACAATAACTTTAGTGCAAGGGTGTGTGTTCAACAAAACACACTTTATTTTATTGCCTCCAAGCAACTTCAGTGCAAAGGGTGTGTGTTCAATAGGACACACTGTATTTATTGCCTCCAACCTTTTTCCATCCCAGTATAACCAGACAATGCCATATGGTATATCAGGTTTTTCTGAGAAGTTGACAGTTAATGAAAAGAGAATTCTAGCATAGAAAGCAAACACTTGAATTCTGTAGATTAAATATTATTTTCCCCATCATCCAAGGGAAAAGCATTAAGAGTTAAACACTTCACAGTGTCTCTCCTATTGAACATACTATCTATCTTTCCTGTTCTTCTTCCTCCTTAATTCTCAAATCAGAGCATAGAGAGAGTCACTTCCATTGAACCTCCGTAATGCAAACCTTAACCCTCTTTGAGGGGCTGCACCTGTTACCATAGGATTTGGATCTAATCTAGAATCTGTGTCTCTCCCTTTACTCTTTCAATCCCAGGGACGTACATACCAATAGCAGGACATTTCTCAATGTGTAAAGTATCTACTCTAGGCCACACACAGGGAGCTTTAGCAGCACAGTTCAGGAAGAATTTGGTGCTATAGTTTGTCAATCTTTATAAAAGCTTAAAATTCACATATGCCTTCTCAGTCTTTCTATCTTTCAGCAGATTTTTAATAATGTACACATAGACACACATGCCTCTCCAAAAACAAGTGTTAATTTTCAGATAAAGAAGTCTGGAACAATATTTGGCACTTTACCATAATAAATTGACTGTTTGTTTTTATAGATGTGATCTTGCTATGCTGCCCAAGCTGGAGTGCAGTGGAGTGTGTGTGTGTGTGTGTGTGTGTGTGTGTGTGTGTATATATATATATATATATATATATATATATATATATATATATGCCAGTTGCTTTTTCATGACCATTCTCTCCAGAGTCCTGGCTAAAAGTTTGAAATTGCTAGAGATTTTGTTGTTACTATTGTTGTTTATTTGTTTGTTGCACCTTGGGTTAAATCATGTTCTTAGGTACACTGTTTATTTACACTAATTTCCATTTGCAGAAATGGAGCAATATAAAGCTTTATGATCCCTGTGGCCAAAAAATCTGAAGGGCTAATTTCCAGTTATAAATTAAGTTCTTGGGCATTACCAGTATTTTGCCTGATAGAATATTGTGATCATTATTTTTTATTTTTTAGAGGTAAGTTATAAATTAAGTTCTTGGGCATTACCAGTATTTTGCCTGATAGAATATTGTGATCATTATTTTTTATTTTTTAGAGGTAAGGTCTTGCTCTGTCTCTCAGGCTGGAGTGCAGTGGCTGGATCATAGCTCACTGTAACCTTGGACTCCTGGGCTCAAATGATCCTCCCACCTCAGCTTCCTGAGTAGCTGAGAGTACAAGCATGTGCCACCATGCCTGGATAATTTTTAAATTTTGTTTATAGAAACGAATTTTGTTATATTGCACAACCTGGTCTCAAACTTATGACCTCAAGTGATCCTCCTACATTGGACTCCCAAAGTGCTGGGACTGTAGGCATGAGTCACCATGCCTAGTTAATATTGTGATTATTTTCATAGCAATTTAATACTAGCAAATATCTATACATTTGACATCTAGAGAGGGGAACTTTTAGGTGAAAGAATTATTGGACTAACCATGCACAGTATTATAACTTCCTAAGTAAGATTTAAATTTAAATGAAGCTTGGAAAAGACAAGTAGGAATAGAAAGGTTTTAAAGAATATGCTCTATAACATATTACCGCCAAAGACATAATGACTACATACATGTTAAACAGGAAGGCATCATAATATTACCAGTAAACTAACAGATGTATTTTTAATATCTAATCCCTAACAGAATTCGTATTTTCCTAGGTTTTGTTCCTCTTTGAGGTTGAAACTTTTATTATATGACCTCAATAGACTAATGATTCTGGAAAGGTAAAAATGTTACAAAATAGAGAAACAGCTTCTTTTTGTCTGTGTAAGAAATTATTTGTTTACAATCTTTTAAAATCTTAAGTGGAAGTATATTGTGTCAGCAAATAGATATTTCATGAATGGCATCAATTTATTATAGATATGTCAGCATGTACATCCAACATTAAGAAAACCTCTTTAGTTGGGATTAATATTATGGTATTGTTTTTCCTATATGTATTGCACCATCTTTGAAGCCAGGGGATATGTCTGCTAGTCTTTTCCATCCCATTTAAGACTGGACAAAGTACAAGACATATTGTAGGTGCTCTATAAATAGGCTGGTGGTCTGCAAGTACCCAGATGCTGTGTAATGATGTTACACGTAATAAATGATAGATGTTGCATGATGATAAAAAATCAAGAATAGCTGATGTGATTAGGTGGAGAAAAGTTAGGAAGTGACCTTAAAGGGAGGAATTCATGAGTGACTTTTTTTTTTTTTTTTTTTTTTCTGGAGATGGAGTCTCACTCTGTCGCCCAGGCTGAAGTGCAGTGGCGCGACCTCGGCTCACTGCAAGCTCCGCCTCCTGGGTTCACGCCATTCTCCCACCTCAGCCTCCGGAGTAGCTGGGACTACAGGCGACTGATACCACACCCAGCTAATTATGGTTTTGTATTTTTAGTAGAGACGGGGTTTCACCGTGTTAGCCAGGATGGTCTTCATCTCCTGACCTCATGATCCGCCGGCCTCGGCCTTCCAAAGCGCTGGGATTACAAGCGTGAGCCACCGTGCCCGGCAGAGTGACACATTTTTTAAATGTCTGATTGCATAGAAAAATGGAAGTCATCATGATAGTCCATGTGGCAGTGGAAGTTGGATACATCAGCAATGAGAATAGGAAGTGGAGTGGCATTTCTGAGTGGCTGAGACAATGTTATGCTATGCATTTTTATCATACTTTGTTATAGTTTTTTTCCCCCTTCTTGAGCTGTAGGAACAAAAGTAGAAGCTGATTTATGAATTGAGAGTATGGAGTGTCAGATTTCTGTAATGAGATTGTATATTAAATCTAATGAAGGGAAAATATGCTTACCCAAACCAAATGACAGCCCCATGATTGAATGTCTCAAGATCCCTCTCTGGATTTGTTTAGACAATATAGAAAGTAAAGTGACCTCCTCTTCTCTTAGGTTTGAGATCAATTTTGTGAAATGAAGACTTATGTATTTGATTATTACCATGACAAAACAATGTGATCATGGAAACAAACATGAACAAGGTAGAACTAGTAAACCAAGTGCTGTGTTGTGGGTATGGTAGAGGTTTGTTTACATTAATCACCTGTTGTTACATGTTATGATGACTGCTGACTTCTCACAGCAATTCAGTTCTGTTCCTCTACTTATTGTTTAACTTGAATCTTTAAGGTTAATTTGTGCAAGCACACATACGTATGTGCGCATGCACACCGACATGCATGCATCTATGTGGAGGTATGAACTCATGCAGCATCTTGAAGGTGACAGTGATATAAATGGGTCTTGTCTCCACAGCAAGTGCGTGTTCCATGAGAATGGCTTCTAATTGGTGCCTCTGTATTGCTGATGTCATTGCTGGAACAATGCAGAACGTGTTATGAAAAGCATTAATAGTAATCACACTTTTGCAAAGTCAGCCCCTGAAAAGCTTGATGTACCCAAGCTATAAGGAACCCCCCTTCCCCAGGCCACCACTACCCATTCTTGGGAAGGAAAAGAATAGAGCAGCAGTCAGCTTCAAGGACAAGAACTGGCATGAATGAAGAAAACCATTTAAGGGATATGATTTAAGGAAGAGTTCACTTCCCAAAACTTCCATTCATTTCCACCTAGCCTTCATTTTCCCATTTTTGCCTGAAATTTCACTATTGGAAAGTCATTCCTTACATTAAACCTTTTATCCCAAATAAAATGCAAATATCCAGGGGCTATGTCATTTACGTCCTCTCCTAATTATTTTCAGATCCTACCTCTGTAGGCAGAACATGATAGAAATGGAATGATTAAGGAGCATGGGGAGAACAGAGAAAAGGTGAAACATGAATCTAGAAGAAAAGGTTTTATCTATTACGGTTTTGCCTAGAGCTGGTCTTATAAAAGGAAGTAAACTGGGTGAATGTGGTTTTCTCTTAGTAGCTTCTTCCACTTGCTGTTAGTTGCTTCGCAGCTATTTTCTTCCTTAATATTCATGCATTTGAGGTCTGTGATCTGTAACCATGACTTCATGGTATTTAATGTTGCCACATGCAGATACTTTTAAGAACGACTCCATTAAAGATCATTTTCTCCTGGAGCATTCTGTGCTCTCTGGTGGTGTTTATCACCCAGCATTTAGTTTTGATTCCTGTAATGTATGCAGAACCAAAGGCACCCCTTCATCACTCAGATTCCACTGGGAGTTAGCTTATGTTGTAAAACACGGGAAACGGGAAAAAAGAACCAGAGAGGAGCAGAGTTGTACCTATATGTAATCCATCTAGATAAAATAATGTCATGGGACTCGTCCACTAGGAAGGAGGAGTGGGAATAGGTAGAGTCCCTCCCCTTGGGGTTGTTTACTGCAAAGTCTGGCTGACAACCACCTACTGCCCAATGCCCAACTCTACTGGGTTCTAATTGCTCTTATTCCATGAAACCAGCTTAGAGCAAGCCACTGTGCTCCCTCTCCCTGCAAATCTCCAGACTCCAAGAGATCAAGACCAGCCTGGGTAACATAGTGAGACCCCTTCTCTACAAAAATATTTATTTAAAAAACTAGCTGGGCATGGTGGCTTGTGCCTACAGTCCCAGCTACTTGGGAGGCTGAGGTGGGAGGATAGCTTGAGCCCAGGGGTTCAAGCCTGCAGTAAGCTACGATCATGCTACTGTACTCTAGCCCAGGTGACAGAGTGAGACCCTATCAGGTTAAGAAAAATTAAAAAAAAAAAGACTTATAAATTCCTCTGGCAATTATTTCAGATTAAATGCTGCAAGAACAGTGCTATACATATAGAGTTGCCTCAAATAAGAAATGTCTATGGGATTCATTGATGCAGATGTAGAGAGGCATTTATTGGAAAGGGACTGGCATACTGGATGCATTGCCCATTTCTAATGGTTGAAATAATGGGAAGTCCTTTGCTGAGAAGAGAGAAAACAGCATAATATTGACTCCATGTCTTGGAGTAGGCAGGTTGGTTCTAACGTCCTCTTTGTTTCTGGTTTCCTTTTAGGTTGGTATTCTTGAGAGAGAGTTTGTGGGGCATGGCCCTGGTCTCAGGAGGGTTCGGTAGAAAGAGACCATGACAAAAGAGAAATCTACTACTTTAACACTGATATCTGCAATGATTCGCTTTTCTTCCTGGCCTTGTCCTGCTTTAGACTTAATGCCGGTTTCCTTAGTCGACTTTTCTACGTTGATCCTTATGTCAGATTCTAGAACCAACCCCCTGCATTACTGGGAAAGATGAAGAGTCCTGGGCCAGCCTGTTCATCATGCACAGCACACAGGACTTCCTGTCAGCTTGGAGAAAAGCTTCTATCTAGTTATCTTTCCTGTCTTATAGCATTTTACCACTTTTTGTAACCATCCTCAGTCACAGGTGAAGTATGTGTCATTTGATAAACAATCAAACTAAGAAACATATCTATTTAGTTAAAGATGTTCTCACTGCACAGGCTTCCTTTCTTAGATTCCTGATGGGCTCCTCCATCAGTGAAACCTGGGACTGTCCTGAGCAAGAGGGTACATTCCACTTATTCCCTGATTCATGGTGCTTCTTCTCCTGCCACTCCACATGCTGGGGCTAAGGACCTAGCATCATTTTGCCAACATTATCTTCTCACAGGAAAAAATAGCAATGGGTTGCAAAATACATTTTCTGATGCCAGGACTAATTACTCTCATTAATGTGTATCCATTCCAGCATTTTCTCTATGAAATGCCTAGGAAGTAAACTCCTTTGTATCTCTTACGTTTAGTAGAGTCCAAAAGGAACTAAACAAAAGCTTTCAAAAAAAAAAAAAAAAAACTGTGCGTAGTGGTTTAGACTGATTTAAGTGAAATCTGGTTCTGTGATAAGACATGGTCTGGCAGCCCCATATGTAGTTAGACTCACAGCCTAGACCGGTATCATAAAGCCAGACCCCTGCTTTATTGAAGTTGCAGTAGTTCGTAAAGCAGATGATGCCCTCAGGTGATGCTGCATTACTGCCAAGGTTGATAGAGATTGCAAATGTGTGAATGAGAAGGTGAACAACTGTGTTTAGCTGTGATTTGTGCAAAAAACAAAGAAAAAAAATGAGCTTTAAGAGATGAGCCTTGGTTTAAAGCAAAATAAACACTGTCAGGGAAAGGGAAAGGGTCGTACAGTTCCAGGATCATGATGGGGACAGAAAGATGCACAGCCTGGAGCAGGTAACACTAAGTCCTCCCTGCATAAATGTATTGCACCCCACTAACATTTTTCCATGAGCAAATCTGGGCTAAAAATGAATAGCTCACAGCTCTAAAATGGAAAGTTATATAAACGGTCACTCTGCAGTCACAAGTTTGTTAGAGCGGTGAGGTTTTTACCACTCAGTTCCTTTAGAGCAGGAGTCCCCAGTCCCTACCACAGACTAGTATCAGTAGGTGGCCAGTTAGGTACTGGGCCCCACAGCAGGAGGTAAGAAGCAGGCGAGGGAGCATTACCACCTGAGCTCTGCCTCCTGTGAGATCAGCCTCAACGCTAGATTCTCATAGGAGCGCAAACTCTCTTGTGAACTGCGTATGCGAGGGATCTAGGTAGCACGCTCCTTATCGGAGTCCCATCTATCTAATGCCTGACGATCTGAGGTAGAACAGTTTCATCCTGAAACCATCCCCCACTTCCCCCACCCCAGGTCCGTGGAAAAATTGTCTTCCACAAAACCAGTCCATGGTGCCAAAAAGGTTGAGGACCGCTGCTTTAGAGCATCATGAAGGGGGGTTACTTATTACCAGCCAGTGTGTACAGATACACCAATGAATGGATTGACCTGAGGAGCTACTGATGCACACCAGATCTACTGCTGAGAGCAGAGGACAAACAGTCAACACATTCCTATTCTTTAGGTGGCTAAAGAAAATGATTAGCTGATCTTTTTAGTCCTTCTTGGCTAGGTATCCCTTCTGTCCTTATTCCAATTCAGGGTACTCTAGAAAAAGATTCGAACAGCTCACATTTCTGCTGGTCTTAAACACTGAACAGAGTGACACCATTGATTGCAATAGCAACTGTGGGATTTGACAGTTTGAGCCTTCTGGCTTAAAGGTAGCATGTGAGTGTTCATGTCCAGCTAAAACTCTGCAAGAAAATGAAGGTGTTCTTTTTCGGTAACCATGTCTGAGAGTCTTTCTGGCATGCTCTGGTGCTGGTGGTGGCGGGAGGTGTATGCAGTGGTGACATATGTATGTAGCATATGCAGCAATGATGTATGTAGTGGTTATGGTGTATACATGTGAATGTGGAAGAGAAAAAGACAGAAAAAGAGAGAATGATTTATAAAATAAGAGAAAGATTTTGATGGTAATTACTCCCCACAAAATGCCCCCATATCTATGTTAGGTCCTGTGCACTTTGTAAAATGATTAAAGGAAGTATGGTATAGTTATTTATTTTGATGTTCCCTACTCACAGTAGAAAGTTGCAGATAAGAGGTGGTTGATTTGAAAATATGAGGTAAAGAGCCTCCTACAAACTTTTATTTTTTAAAAAGAGTGTGGTTATAAACTGAAAAGAACAGGCTATTAGCAAATCAGTTGTAACCACCAGCCAGATGTTGAACTTTTGTATATTAAAAACTGGTTACAGTCCTATCTTGCATCCAGAAAATCATTGATTGCCCTCTTCAAGGGGTGCTGACATTCCAGATGTGATACTTCTGATGTTTGTGTACTCCACTTACTGAACACAATCTAAAGTCAGATATATTTAAAGGGCAGAATAGTTTCATCTTAACTCAAGAACTGCAGTTATTTTATAGTTTTACCTATAAAATTATCACTGCCAACCTAAAGCCCACAAAGAAGCACTATTTTCATTGATGATGATTCTACAGATCCTGGGGTAAAATGGGCTTTATTCTCAAATCAGAAACAGTTCTGCTGCCATGTTGCTTGGATGTTTGTTTTAATTGGGTTGAGTCCAATTGCCTAAGTCAATAATTGATTCTTGTTTATTTGTTTGTTTGTTTGAGATGGAGCCTTTCTTGCTCTGTTGCCCAGGCTAGAATGCAGTGGTGCAATCACGGCTCACTGCACCCTCTGGCTTCTGGGTTCAAGCAATTATCTTGCCTCAGCCTCCGAGTAGCTGGAATTACTTACAGCCACATGCCACCACGCCCAGATAATTTTTGTATTTTTAATAGAGATGCAGTTTCACCAAGTTAGCCAGGCTGGCCTTGAACTCCTAACATCAGGGGATCCACCCGCCTCAGCCTCCCAAAGTGCTGAGATTACAGGTGTGAGCCACCTCACCTGGCCTAATGATTGGTTCTTAAAAGTTTCCCACATTACCTCAACAATGACTTGTATGAAAAGGCATTTGACCTTGAAGATCTGGACCCATTAATCAAGTTGCCAAAGCTAGAAATTTTGAGTTATTTTTAGGATTCTTTCACTCATCTATTCTCTCAATTTATTTTATTTTATTTTTATTTATTTATTTAGAGATGGGTCTTCCTCTGTCATCCAGGCTGTTGTGCAGTGGTTTGATCATAACTCAAACTCCTGGGCTGAAGTGATCCTCCCACTGCAGCCTCCCAAATAGCTGGGACTGCAGATGTGCACCACCATGCCCAGCTAATTTTTTAAGTTTTTATAGAGACAGGGTCTTGTTTTGTTGCCCCAGCTGGTCTTAAAACTCCAGGCCTCAAGCCATCCTCCTGCCTTGGCCTCCCAAAGTACTGGGATTACAGATGTGAGCCACTGTGCCCAGCCTTTCCTCTCATTCTAAATTATCACTAGTTATCAATGCTATTTTATGTGTTATGCCTTCTCCAACTTAACCACATTGTGCTATTCAAGCTTTCATCCTTTATGCCTCTTAAAGGAGTTACAACTTCCTTTCTGGTTTCTCAAACCCCCAGTGTTACCTGTCACTGTCTGCCTTGCTGTCAGAATGAGTTTTCTTAAGCAGAACTCCTTTGGTTCCTCCTTTTAATGGCTTCTTAATGCCTTCAAGGTTGAGTGTAAGCCCCTTGAGTGGCATGCAGGATCCAGTACAAGCTGCTGCTGTTCTGGTCTCAATCTCTTTCAACTATTGATGTTACACCCAAATAAGACCATGGGTTTTGGAAATCTGCTATCAGATTATTTTAATTTATTGCTTTCTACTTTTACAGAAAGCTTTTCATCCTCCCATTTCATTCTCCAGTTTCATTTCATCTTCCAGTTTTATTTTCAACCTCCCAAAAAGCCCATGAGGTAGGGGAGAGAAGGTGCCATTTTTTTTTTTTTTTTTGCATTTTGCATTTTTTTCATTTTGCAGAGGAAGAATAGGGTTTTGATCTCACAGGGACTAAATAGGTAAGTATTACACAGAAGTAACTCTCAATAATGTCGATGTAAATTATTGAATTTATGAATTATCTGTGAGGATATATAATGTATACATTTATGTTCTAGCATATTACTGCTTTTAACCCTATATTTGTTTAATTATGAACTGTATATCCCTTTCATATGTACATTAATATGTTCATATATACATTTATTTTTCACAAAATAAAGAATCAAATATTTAATTCCAAACTTGGTTATACTTTTTTTTTTTTTGACAATTTTGATCATGGTTTTCCTTCTTGAATGGATTATTAGGGATATTTCCTTCTTGAATGGATTATTAGGGATATTTCCTTCTTGAATGGATTATTAGGGATTGACCCTCCAAGTGCCCTGAGATAAATCTATGACCACTTCCTGTTTCAAGCAATATTTTATGGTGGAATGAGGGTTGCATGGGAATTTAATTTTTTTTTTGTAAATGTATGCCTATGAAGAAATAATATGGAAATGTGGATTTTTAAAGGCACGTAAATTGCTAAATATTTTATCCATATAGGCATCACTAAAGTCAAATAACAATGAAGGATCGGAGTGAGGAGAATTGTGGACTAATCCGTACATTGCATTGGAAAGAAGTGTCTTCCAAAGCGATATTAATAGAATATTGTAAACTCATTTTAGTACCAAAATTTAAATAAAAAACGAAGGAGGGGGCCGTGGAATGGAGGCTGTTGAAAATCTCATTTTCAGCAAGTTTAAAAAAAAAAAAAGTCACAAAGGCAATTTAGTTTATTTTTTAAACATTCCCTGTAGTGTTGCGAAGCCCAAACCACAGCTCTGAGCTAGTTCATAACAACCAGAATGCAAAGGGGAGGAGGATAAACTGGATAGAAACAAATAGAAAACCATCCAATTTAATTGACCAGGCTGATTAAGATGAGAAACGTAAACACCCTCCCCAAATGAGAAAATGTTAGATGTGCAAAGTTACTTGTTTTTAGATTCCTCTTGGAATGTTTGTAACTCATGAAACTACCTGTGTTATTTAAGAAATAAACTGAAATGAAAACTCAATTTGGTTAGTGAAATTGCATGGTCAACTGAAGTACCTATGACATGTAAAGGCAATGTAATTTCATTTAAATTTCCCTCTGTGGATTTAGAGCCTAGAGTTTTGACACAGTGGTTCATTATCCATGATCCACACTGTGTAAGATTATGCAAAAATAAAATAGTTGTCTAACATAACTAGGGGAAGATAGCTGGGAAGGTAAAATGTGGTATGAGACTTAGCCTGCTAGCCATCTAGGAATAGATTGGTTTCTAGTTAATACATTAGTTTACGGAACTAAAAAACAAAAACAATATAGGAGAGTTTGTTTACTTCTTAGAGATCCAGAGCTTTAGACTTTTTTTTTCAAACTTGGAACATGTATTTGTTTAATGAAAATAGCTTTTTTCCCCTGCTTATAAACATAATATAGATTGCAGAAAATAGGACAGTCTAAATTATGATAAAGTAGCAAACAACTTAGAAATCTCAGCTGCTTAACACAGGAAAGATTTATTTTTCTCTCATGCTATAGGGCCATCACAGTCAGCTGGGTGCTGTGTGTTAGATTAAACTCTTACTATAGTTTCAAGGCTGATGGCGTGGCCATTTTCCAAAACACTGTTAGCTAGCTGTTGTGGCAGAGGGAGAAAAAGAAAAGTCTGGAGGATCTCAATACAGGAAACTGACTTCTTTGTCCTGGAACTAAAAAGTTTCTTCTACTGACAACTAACTGGCCAGAACTAGACAGGTAATCCTGCCAAACTACAAAGGGGCCAGGAAATGGATTCTACCTGTAAAACAGAGAGCCAGAAATATTTGATGAATAGCTCATACAGAAAATTATAGCAATCTAGGAATCTATAAGAAGAACATACCAATCACCAAAAATTTTAAATAACATTTGTTGACCTACCTTCCAGGTATTAATCTGTGTCTTTGAATGTAGACATAATAACAGAACAGTTTGTTGATCTGCTTTTTATGCTCAAGAATGTCCCGTGGAGATATTTCCAATTCTATTACGATAGAAAGGCATATTTTTTGATGGTTGCATAGTATTTCATTGAGTAAATGTGCCATAATTGATTTAATCGATTGAAGAACATTTGGTTTGTTTCTAATTTCTTCACTACTATAAACAAAGTTGTGATTAAAGTTATTCTTAGCACATATCTCTGGATCTTTTACTCATGATTATTCTACTGGAGTCAGTGGAATTTTACATTAAATGATAGAAACATTTTCAGTTTTGATAAAAGTTGTTAAGATTGTTCTACACAAGGAATGTACCAATTTCGATTCATCAAAAGTGAATAGAAACTTCTGTTTCTATACTTCGGCAAACCTTAGATTCAATATTTGCCATGGCAACAAGTAATATCTCATTTTCATATTCATTATTGGTAAGGATGAATGACTTTTCATAGGTAAGTTCTTCATTTGTATTTTTCCTCCTTTATATGATCTATTCAAGTACTTAGATCATCTTTCTGTTGGAATTTTATTTCCTATTGATTTTTGGGTGCTTTTTATATATTACAGACCAGGCAGTACATACTGGTTCAACATACTGACCATTATTGCTCTTATTGAATGCAGAATATATTTAATATCATCCTTTATGTTGGTATAACGACACTTTGTCATGCTGCAAACATTTTTTAAACTTTTTTTCCATATTTACCATTTTTGCTATATAGAACTTTTAATAGTCAGTCTTTATGGCTTCTCGTTTTCATACCATGCAGTAAATCCTTCCTCATCCTAATATTATAAGAATATTTACCCATGCTTTCTTATGGTACTTTTGTGGTTGCACTTATTATATTTTAATATTTTATGTGTCTGGGGTTTGTTTTGCAGTTGTGAGTGAGTTAGAGATGCCACTTTATTTTTCAAGAGGACAGTTGACTCTGGAGAAGTTTTAGTGAATATTGAGAAAAGTTAACAGAGTAGGAAAGTATAGTTTATTGTTATAATTATTTGCATTAAAAATAACAAAGACGAGTGGAATCCTTTAAACTGATTTTAATTAACACACTGTGGAAGGAGCTTCTTGTTGAAATGGAGCCTGGCACCTTATCCAGACTCACTTTTTACTACAGTGATAATTTTCAGTACTTAAAATGGTTTTTTTTCTTGGTTTTCATGATTCATGAATTTCTGATTTGTCTGTTACCTTATGATCAGCATACTTCTGCATCTTCCTCTTCCCTTTCTTGATCTTGAAGTGCTTCTTTTCTTCAGTGGTGTGTCCTAACCCACACCCCCTCCACTCCCACTTCTTTCCATTTTACACTTTTTGCATGATTTCAATCTGTCTATAGTTTCTGATAGAATGTATGCTGAAGGCTTGAATAAATATGTTCAAAAAGTAGTTGAGTAAGTCTGGAGCTCATGACTTATCTGTGTTGAAGATATTTATTTCAATGCCTTATGTGCATTTCAAACTTAACTATATGCATCACTGAATTAATTATTCACATCCTTAGCTTATTTTTCTATGGCCATGTTTAGTTTGATCTTTCTTGTTCTCTCTTTTTCTCTTTCTTCATTTCAATCTATTGATTTTCAGGGTGCTCTTTGTGTATTAGGGACCAAGCCAATAGTCAGTACCTAACAGTGCAGCATGCAATAATGACCTTTTTACCTGGTATTCCTATATCACTTGTCTAAGTCAGAAATATGGGTGCCAAATTTTGATGCCCGTCTCCTTAAATCTAATAGCAAGTCGGTTGCAAATTTCTATCCATCCTATTTTACCCCCTAATTCCTTTACAAGATTCTTTACTGTATACACATTATAAACCTTCCCTTCAAGCCACTGTAATTTCTCCCTGCCATTGTTACAGTGTCCCAATGACCTCTCTGTTGCCAGCTGTGCCTGCCCCTCCCCATCCCACGTGTTCTATACATTATATCAAAAGTGATCTTTTAAATGTAATATTATTATCACCAGCTCTTTAAATGTTTTCAGTGAATCTCTATTTCTCAGATGATAAGTTTCAAATATTTTAATGTCAAACAGGTAAGGAAATCATCCGTCCCTTATTTATGCAGAAAAAAAAATCCAAGTCCAGTTTGACATGTTGAGCTGAAAGTACCTTTGAGGTACACAAAAGTAGACACTGAGTAGTAAGTCTCTGAGTACCAGAGTCTGTAGCACAAGAGGGTAAATGAACTGAAGATGTCAATCTGGGAATGTTCAGTGTATGACCATGAATGACATGAGTCTGGATATGATCATGTGGGGAGGTGTTTTGCAGTAAGACGTGGAACAGGGCCTAAACCTGAGACTTGAAGAAATACAACACTGAATGTTTCAATAGAGAAGGAGTGGCCAGAGTGGGAGGAGGAAAGAATATATGGTATTATAAAAACAGGTGAAAGAACAAATTCAAGAACAGCCATCATTACCCTTAACAGTCAAATAAGAATACAGATCAATGTGCACTGGATGTAATAGCTTGAAAATCCTTAATGACCTTAGCAAGAGCCACTTCGGTGATTTGATAGAATGGATATGATGATAAGGGGTAAATATTTGGTAAATAATTCAACATACATTGGCCATGAAGGGAAAAGAGGGATTTTGTTTACCTATTTTTTAAAGATGGCATAATTTTGATTCTACTTTGAAGACACATGTACATGTATGTTTATTGCAGCACTATTGACAATAGCGAAGACATGGAACCAACCCAAATGCCCATCAGTGATAGACTGCATAAAGAAAATGTGGTGCATATATACCATGCAATGCCATGCAGCCATAAAAAGAAATGAGATCATGTCCTTTGCAGGGACATGGATGGAGCTGGAAGACATTATCCTCAGCAAACTAACACAGGAACAGAAAACCAAACACTGCATGTTCTCACTTATAAGTGGGAGTTGAACAATGAGAACACATGGACACAGGGAGGGGATCAACACATACTGGGGCTTGTTGGGGGATGTGAGGGCAAGGGGAGGGAGAGCATTAGGACAAATACCTAATGCATGTGGGCCATAAAACCTTGATGACAGGTTGATAGGTGTAGGAAATCACCATGGCACATGTATACCTATGTGACAAAGCTGCACATTCTGCACATGTATCCTGGAACTTAAAATAAAAAGATGGCAGAATTTTGAATATGTTGGCATATTTAAGTTCTTTGATGTTCAGTTATTTTTAGATGATAAAAACATAGTTAACGATGTCTAACTCACCAAGTGGTTCAAGATGAGAAATAACCTAGAATATTATCTGACACATCTAATACATATTGGACCATCAATATGTATAAAATGTGAGTCTCCCTTCTGTCCCTTTTCTTCTCCTCCCCTTTTCCTTGCCCCACCTCCACTAAGTCGGCCATCCTTCATAATAGTAAAACCATTGTGCTTAGTTACAATGGAAATGCGTTTTTGTCTGTCTTATTAATCCGTGATCTCTTGAGTGTCTCTCTTATATTTGTTTCCTTAATTGCTAGGCATATTCTAATATAAATGTATAATCTCAGCTCATTAAATGGAATTGCATTTTCAGCTCTACAATTTGGATACCAAATCTGTTGACTCCTTTTCAAAATATGTTGACTTGACTTTGTTCTTTCCAGGTTGGCAATGGTTAACAAAGCAACAGGTTACATTTATAATGGGAAGCCAAATGAAAACAAATAATATGAACAGCAACATGTCTACCTTTGTATTGTAATAAAATAGCAGTTGATTTCTGCATAAAGAACTTTTGTTTGGAGCAGGTAATGACAAGTTTAGTCACAGCTTTATTCCTAATTAGTATTTTGGAGAGAGCACAAGAGGCGATGTGAATTCCTGTCTAAAATTTAAAAGCACTATCTGAACCACTGATCTAGAAAATAATCCATACAAGACTTTAGAGTTTGAATTTGGTTGTTTTGCAGTTGTTTTATTATATTAAGCATGATTTTCAAAATGTTTTTCTTCCTTCATGGTGACTTTGTGTCTGTCAGCTGAGGGGAAACTTGGATAGAGTGTCTAGTAATCAAAGGAATAGAAGATGAATAAGTGTAGAGTCTTTTTGGTTTTTTTTTCAGGACGATTAACTCAATGGCATCTACTTGGAATACAGATGCACTTTGCTGTTTTAATTTTGATAATGCTGTAAGCTGGTCTCCGATAATTACCTTCTATAATTGGAACAAATTTATAATTTATGCTAATTCATTCTTAGTCACCCAATATGTGGAATCCGAGCTCATCCATATGTGTCCCTGCATTTCCTTTGGATATCATTACATTATTAGCCTTTTACTCACTGACAGAAATATTTTTATTCTTTGTAGACTTGATTTTTCCAGTGGTACATGTCCATGTATGTATGATACGTGTCTGTGTATCATTAATTGTATGTAACTCAGGCATCCGCTTTTAACACCCATTTATGTATGAACATTTGGAATCTTTAATGGTTTTGTAAGATGTTTTCTCAGCACTTGAAGATATATTACATGGTAACAGGAACAAGAAATGAAAACATAATTAATATTCTCACATCACCACTTTAAAACATTATTTACATACCTCAGATAATGGAGGGAGGGGGTAAATGTGAATACAGAAGCAGTTTTCATTGCCTTTAAAAGCCAGCTCCTTATAATCTATCTTAGAGAGGTCTGCCCAGCCAAAAATAATCCTTTAAGATGAAAGGGCACATCACACTATGTTTTAGAGCACTCTGGATATCAAGCTTTGGCAGCAGCTTCTAGGTGATGCTTCACCAGAGATTCAAAAGCAGATTGTTTCCCTCTTTGCAGATGGGAAAAAGCAAAAGTAGAAGTAACAAAGAGCAAGATCTGTCCCACTATGGAAAACACAGCTGAAAAGCAAATGGCAGCATGTAACCTCCCTTACAAGCTGTCTTTTGATTACATCTCTCTCCCCATTCTTATATTTATGTTTCTTCTGTTTAATGTTCTTTTCCTCTGATCATCATTCTGCAAACTCTTTACATTAAACATGTTTCATTCTTCACTCATGACAGTGTTACAGTTTCAGTAAACAGTGGATGAGGATGTTCGCTTTCCCAGAGACCATTTACTTGTCATAATGAATTTTAAAAAAAAATAGTATGAGACTGCACCTGACTTTCACAACTGAAGCGGGGAAAGTAAAGGACAACACTATCTGACAAGAGACACACAATGTCAGAACGTAAAATTCTGTGATCAGTATTCAGGCTTCTGCAGAGGGACGGATGTCTGTCATTTCATTCAGCATCAGTGAGTGTGATTCTGTCTGTGATCATGAGGTTTTCTATCATTTGCTTGGTTCTGCTGCAATGGCTTCACAATTAAGCTGAATTTCTGCTTCCTTTTGTGATGCATAATCAGATAAGTAGAGCTAAATTGAAGAAACTGCAGTGTAGGTGGCTTTAAAATCAATCTGTAGAGCCTGGAAAGAAAAGCAAGACAAAAGGGGAAACATGATAGTACTGTTATAAATAACTTGAAAGAAATATTATCAAGGAGAGAGGAGAGGACAGGTGACATCTAATCTGAAAGTGGTGAAGCAAGTAATGGCCTGAACTAACATTAGGCAAGAATATGCCCCATTGTGAGCAGAGAAGCATCACTGTGCAATGGTTCAGTCCCTTTGGAGACTTATTAGACAATGCCAAGTCAAATTAGGCAAATATTAAAGAGTAGCCTTTCACATAGTCACTAAGACGCCTAAGAAAATGGCTAATGCCTTGTGGTAGAAAAAATATATATTTGAGGGCTACTAATTCTAGTTCTACCATTTCCCAAGCATATAGCCTTAGGCAAATCATATAATCGGTAAAATGGGAAGAATAAGATTTTCTTTGCCTATCTTGGGGTTGCCGTGGGGATCAAATAAGATAGTGTATTGAATGACAATATGTTCACTTGTGAGTGTAAAGACAATGGCCGACAGCACTGTGGTTTTCTTTGCCTTTTCCTCATGATCACAAGATGGCTGCCATATTGTTAGAATCACATTGGTGTCCAATACAGTCACAAGAACAGGAATACCAGTCCCTTTTCTCAGAAAAGCAAATGCTTTCCTATAAGCTCTCCAGTTGACGTAGATCCAGTCAGTCTTCTTAAACATTTTAGGACATTAGGATATATCGCCACAGCAGGACTTCATGGGTACGTGCTGCACCCATTTCTACACAGTGCCAAAAGCAAAATGAGACCCCAGATAATGTTCAGGGGGCTAGCTTGACTTGGCATGACCTATCCGTGGACAGTTACTGAGCTTGAGTAAGTTTTTGATGTCAAAATAATTCAGGTCACAGTCTGAACATTTGACAGTAATGATATAACTGGAGTGTGTGCATTCAACTGAGAGCTGTCCTTTAAATCACCCACCTGGGAGACAATACCCTTACTCTAACAATGTTGCCATTCCCAAGAAAATTGTTTGCAATTCTTCCTTAGGAGTGATCATAAAAACCTAAAATACATTTTCAAAATTTTCTTTAATGGTGATAAGTTTCTGTATTTCAATGTAATTTTGCAAAGAGCCAACAGTCGTTCCAACCAAATCTAGCAAATGATAGGATAACTGAGTTTAGTGGATAAAAGCAAGACTTAAATTTGGAATCAAATTATGTCTATATATGTTTATGTGTATAAATGTGTGTGAGTGTGTTTGTGTATGTGTGTGTGTATATATGGTTTAGGCAAGGTACTTAACATCTGTGTTTCTTTGTCTATAAAATGGGGGTGATAAAAATGGTATTTACCTCCTAGAGATGCTTTAAGGATTAAATTAACTAACACATGTATAGTGCCTAAAAGAGTATTTGGCACATGGTAAGTGTTCATGAAATGCTAGATATCATTATTAGGCTGGGAAATAATCCATTTGATCAAAACTCACACTATAACCTAAAGCGAATGAGAAATGTATTGGTTAGACCAGAGTCCTGGCATGTGCGAGTCTAAAGGCTTCCTCGTGCTTCCGGGAATCCCATCTTCACCTCTGCCTGGTGCAGGCTGTCCCTGCCTCATGTCCTTGGGTGCTGTCTCAGTTCAGCTGCTCAGCAGCTGGAATGCAGACCTCATCCTTCTCCCCGTTTTCTCACAAAAGCACAATCAATCAATCAGTCTTGCTTTTTGTAAGATGCTAACTTCAAAAAGCTTTCAGTTTATGCAGGGAGTGATCATGTTGTGAACTTCCGTAGCCTTCCAGCTTTTCCCTGGCTCTACCACTTATACATCTCTAATAGACCTGTCTCTCTACCCTGTCCCACTAGATATGGTTGTCTTCCCAAGACGTTTTTTACTATAGTGTGAAAAAAATATTTATTACTCTAATATAATTCACAAATCTTAAGTGAATATGTGAAATTCAGTATGAAAAATGTGTAGCCATTATGAAATATTAGTGGCTCCCAGAATATATTGAAGAACAGCTCTCTCAGCAGTCTTACTCTTCTAGGTCATTTCTATGCTCAGCTCTGGGAACTAAAGCAAAGAATAATGGACCCCTCCCTTACCTCTATCCGTAAAATACAGTTTGAAATGTTCTCATATGTGTGCATGTATGTATATTGCACCAACCTCTAAATCTGCATGGACAGCAATTTGGGCTAGCACATTTATTCAGCAGGTGCCATTGAACATCCTTAGATGGGAGATACTTGAGATATTGTTCATGTTCTTAAGAAGCTTGCCGACAAGTAGAGCAGAAAGAAAATGATCACAGGCAATGAGATGAATTGAGACACTTTAGAAATCATAAAGCTGAGGTTGCATCTATAATATATATGAACAACTCCATTTGATACTGAGTCTACCAAATCCCAAGAGAGAGGGCTGGAAATGAAGTGTAGGAGCACATGGTCGATGATATCAATTAATGGGCCTGATTTGCATTTTCCGTGGGATATGAGGGTAGATTTTTGGGTTGGTCCAGTCTAGAATTCAAAGGTCAAGGGGCCTGGGGTCCTGCATATGAGGAAAGCTGGATTTTAAAGCAGCTTTCTCCTCTTTCTAGACTAGTCTTTGGGTTTTGTTTTTTCCATTTCTAAAGGATTAATAACATCACTCTCCTTTTCATTCTTTTATAGAACATTAAGAACAAGAACAGAAGCATGAAAATTCTCACATATTGTCTGGTGGAAATAAACATTTAGGTGTAAGGTTTATGTATATACATACTAGATGTCTTTAATAAAAGATCAGAGTAAGTGACATATTATGACACATGCAGACATATTCATATGTTAAGCCAGGTCTCAGGTAAGATAATCTCCCACAATGCATCATTCTATTCCCCTTCCAGTGGAGGCTCCCTCTCCAATCTGTTTACATCATGCTGCCTATTGGTGAGAAAACTAGAAGCTCATCAGTTGCATACCTTCTGTCCCCAGCTAACCAGAATGACTGATCAGGAACCTGCTGTCTGGCATGAAATCTAATTGTCTTTGATGTTCTGCTTTTCCAGATTTGTTTATAAACTGGAAAAAAAATCTACAAATTGCAGACCATCTGTACATAACACTATGCTAATGAATGCTGGCGTTCTGAAAATCCATAAGCTCATTACCTCTAAGTAACTAGTTTCTTTGCATGTTCTGAACTGGGATTATCTATGTGAACCAAATAAGTAGAAACCAGATAAAGAATTGTTCATCCGAGGGGTGAATGCCTCCAACAACCTTCAGGAATGTTAGGCCTCTCTGTCAGAAAGATGACCTGTTAGCAGGAGGTCATGTGCATAAGTGATACAAATGTCTGTTAGCCACAAGGTGGTCAATTTATTGATCCCATAATGCTAATTTGAAAATCTGTATTGCTTTTGTTAAGAGCTTAATTAGGGATTTACAGTGTAGGCAATTTATTGTTAAATAATTTCTGAACTCAGCATACATGCAAACCCTTATCATACCTGCAGAATATTGGATATAGGTTCAAAAGTTATGTGCTTGCCAGTCATTTCCACGAGAAAGCCATGAGAGTGGGCAGTAGCACATATGCACCATAACATTCATGGATGGTTGAGGAAAATGATTTAGTGAAAGGAAATTAAATCCAGTGTAGGGCATTGAGCTCCTCTTTGTGATAACATTCACCAGGGGTCGGAAGTCTGGTGTATTGTGGTTTTTGTGGACGAGGGGGGCAAATCTACATCTCACTCATGAATATGTTTTTTTTTTGGTCCTCATAATAAATTTTGTAATATACGGGCCATCATATAAGAATCAAAAAATATTACATTGAAATAAACATCTCTGGCTTTTCATGAAAAATATAAGATCTGACCACACTGTGCCTGTGTTCTCTCATGGTAATGATAGTCTGACCCTAACTAGTGGCTACACATTTACACAGGTCTTGCGGTCTACGTTTTGCCACGGTCATCACATTCCTATAATTTCTGATGCTAAAGCTAAATACTCTGTAAATTAAAGACCACCATGACACATGAAAAGCAAAAGAGATTATTAAGCAAAAATGAGTTCATTGTCACTTTTCATTGCACTATCATTTTTTAAAAATACCCATGCCTCTGTCTAAAAAGACAGAAAATGCCACATTTTTTAAGAAAAATGAGTGTGAGCTCATTCCTCTGTGGAAACGCAGAACAGTCCCTTGTCTTTAACATGCAAGCAGTGCTCGTGGGGGTCTCGTACCCAGCACCACTTCACTGATTTATGTTACCTCCCTGGCCCCCAGGAACATTGGAGTTTGCAACTGCTGGTGTAGAGAATTTTTTTTTCCTATTTTATTTATTAAACTGTTCTACATTAGGGGCACTTAGCTCATCAAAAATGTTTTAAAGTTTCTCTAAGTGACAAAAGCATAAATCCAAGCACAATTTGTCACTTTTATAAGCCCAGAAAATACCAGACTGATTTCCTCATAAAGATCCTGCCATCAGTTAAATGGATAAACTATTAGGTTATGAATAAAAAAACAGTTCCACAGTTAAGTGTCTACTACTATGTTGATTGTTTATAGACATAATTGGATTGAAGGACCCCAGTCATAACACCATAAACATCAAGTATACCAGCATATATATATATATGCTGATATGCTGGGGTCTGTATATATGTAAAAAGTTATTTGATGCTTGTCATTTCCATGAGAAAGCCATGAGAGTAGGTTTTTATAGGGTGTGTGAGTGTCTGTGTGTGTGTGTGTGTATGTGTGTGTGTATGTATATGTGTGTATATATGTGTGTATGTGTATATATATATACGTGTGTGTATGTGTCTGTGTGTGTGTGTATAGATAGATACACACACCTAGGACACCTTATTTACCTTATCAATAGTTTTCAAACTATAATTTTGGAAGTCCTAGAAGCAGACCATAGTATATGTCTATAGTGCCTATGAGTGATTGGGGGTAGACCGTACAGCAGGGCCAGCTCATATGATAGCACAAGTTGTGCACCAAGCATCTTGAGCATACATCATTTACATTGACAAGGGAGGATGTGAATCATCTCTTCTGGAGTTGTGCAGTGGACCTGGCATGACCAAGTTTATGCATCTTAGGGTCCCTCACATCTGCAGTTGAGATACCTCACTTCTGCATCAGTCATAATACCTTCCCTTTTTTAATCCTCTTTCATTTTGGGTTTCAGATAAGCTTTGAATTGAAGAAACACTCTGCAGCTAAATATAAATTTGAAAATCACTGTGCTACATGATAAATAAAAGAGATTTTTTTTAAGCTAAAGTAATTTGTTTTTAGATTATGAAAGATTTTACCTTGAATTTGCCATAATTAACTATCAGAAAAAAAGAATAATTACCCCAGTTAAGACTTCTATAAACACTGCATTCTCTTCCAATGTTTACGTTAAGCATACATATGTTTATTATTGTTTTTGTTTCATAAATTTATGATAACACTAACCATAATTTTATATATTTACTCTTTCATGTATTATGACCACTTTTTTATGTTTTTACTAGTTGAAACCAGAACATTTAATGTCTACACAATACTAAATCAATTGCTGAGTCCCATTATTTGTCATGTAGCTTTGGCATGCTTTTTCTCTTTCCTCCTTGCATCCTTTCTTTTTTCCTCTTTTTTGTTCTTTTCTCTCTCTTTTTTCTCTTTCTTTCTCTCTTTCTTCTATCAAAAATAGTTTATTGTTGTTAAACTCTCACCCTTAATATTTTCTTTTGGTAAATTCATAAGCCCATAATGACGAGTACAAATGATATAATTATCTTTAAGACTATCAAATAGAACCAGGCACTGTGATTCATGCCAGTAATCCCAGCACTTTAAGAGGCCAAGGTGGATTGCTTGAGCCCAGGAGTTCGAGACCAGCCTGAGAAACATAGTGAAACCCTGTCTCTACAAAAAATAAAAATAAAAATAACCTGGTGTGGTGACATACCTGTAGTCCCAGCTAGTCAGGAGGCTGAGGTGGGAGGATTGCTTCAGCCTGGAAGGTCAAGGCTGTAGTGAGCTATGATCACACTACTGTGTTCCAGCAGTAGTCTTTTGAGACATTGTGTCAAAAAATAAAAAGGAAAAAAGACTAGCAAACAGAGGTAAGCATTAGGAAGAAAAAGCAGGAAGGGGTGGGGTTTACTATTTTTGAAAGGGTTGTTAGGTAAGGCCTCTGTGAAGAAATAACATTTGACCTGAGATTTAAATGCAAAGTGGGATTGAGCCATGGTACCACCTATGGGAAAGTTCTTCAGGGCAGAGGAATCAGTAGGTATGAAGGCTCTGAGGTTGGAACTTGCTTTGAACTTTAGAAAGTTCAAAGGGCATGAAGGAGTACAGCATGGCTAAAGCTCGAGGCTCTGAGGTGGCTAACTCACAGAGGGTGCTAGAACCCCCATAAGGATTTTGTTAGCCTAGAGGTTTCATTCTAAGTAAGATTCAAAGCCACTGAATGATCTCAAGCTAGAAAGTGGCGTGGTCTCATCCCTTTGTAGAAAATCAACTGTAGAGGTCAGAATAGAAGCCACAGACAGACCAGTTGGTGAAGAAACCACTGCCAAAGTCCTAGAAAGAAGATCATGGTAGGACAGTGTCTTAGTTTATTTCTTGTTGCTCATAACAAAATACCTGAAACTGGGTAATTTTCAAGGGAAAGAAATTTATTTCTTACCGTTCTGGAGGCTGAGAAATCCAAGGTCGAGGAGCTATGTCTGGTGAGAGCCTTCTTGCTGGTGGGGACTCCCTGCAGAGTCCAGAGGTGGCACAGGACATGGCATCACATGGCAATGAGGCTGAGCAGGCAAATATTCGAGGTCAGATCTCTCATCTTGTTGTGAAGCCACCAGTTTCCCTTCTATGATAACCCATTAATTCATTAATCCATTCTTTCATTCATTCATGAGGGGAGAGTCCTCATGATCTGATCTCCTCTGTAAGACCCAGCCTTTCAATCCTGTCACAATGGATGTTAAATGTCAACATGAATTTTGGAGGGGACAAATATTCAATCCATAGCATGGTATCAAACAGTAGGTAAAATGTTCTCTGGTCTGCACTCTCAATAAAAAACAAACAAATCACTAAAATAAAAACTCCATGTGTGTTTCAGAGAGAGATTTTAATCTTGGCTATTTTGGTAGGAAACATATTGCTCTAACTTCTAACTTATTAATTTTAGACTTTATTCTTAGTGCTACATAATATTTATTCAATTGTTTAATTGTCATGTGTTTTGTGGATTTTTTTTTATTTCATGTACTATGTACTCATCTTTATGCCAGATTTACTGGAATGGGTTTTTATCATCAACTTAAATGAAAGTTTGAGCGTTCATATTATTTTTACTTATACCATTCAATTATTAACCTTATATCTATCAAATTTATGGCAAATATTTTCCTAGTTTGTTGGCCTCGTTCTTTTGCGCATGATTTTATTTTTCTTTAAGTTTTCAATTTGAAGCCAAGTTTCTACTTGACGGTTGTACCTTTAATTTTCCTCTGAGCCAAGACTCCTTTAGGGCAGCTTTTCTTGATTTCCAGGTGCTAGGACTCCTTTAGTTTCAATCTTCAGGAGCACTGCCCACAGGGCTATCTACTTGGTGTGAATAATTTATTTATGGGTCAGTGCCAGACTTCTCTACTTCCTGACAAACTGTTTGAGGAGAAGCATGAAAGAAGAGGACAGCTGAGCGGGGAACATAGGAGAAGTGCTTGCTAGATGCTACAAATAGCAAGTGTAAGAAATTAATCAGAAAGCAGGCAATTTACCCCTGAATTTCTGACCTAGGAGGAGAGTGGAGGTGGAGCAAAAAAGTTCCCAGACATGCTTTCAGCTGACCAATTTCTTCCTTGCAGTGATATAGGAGTGATGGGAATTTAAAATACCTAATTCTATTGACTTTACAGTAAGTGTTACACCTTAACATTAACTGTAGAGGCAAGAATAGAAGCCACAGACAGACCAGTTAGTTAAGAAGCCACTGCAAAAATCCCAGAAAGATCATGGCAGGGCAGGGTCTTAGTCCATTTCTTGTTGCTCATAACAAAATACCCAAGACTGGGTAATTTTCAAGGGAGAGGAATTTATTTATTATAGTCATTGTCTTGAGACAATGTGACTCTCAACTCTTATATTTTGGTGAGAATGTGGATTTACTTATATTTCTATTTTACCCATTCATTGTAAGATCCAGTGAAAGAAGAGATCATCTTGGTTTTGTTCACCTGGTTTTACCCAGCTCTCAGTACAATCTCTGATACTCAACAGATGTTTAGGTATTTGTCAAATGAACAAATGGATGGCTCTGAAATATGCAATGGTAGTAGTGAATGGAAGATATTGTGTCACAGGCTGGTAGTCAGATGTATTATAAAATTGGTTCCATTGCCCTACTTTGTTAAACAGAGCAGCGCTTTTTGGCTCTGATCATTGTTAGTACCTACACTTCCAGGCTGGTGCCATCAGGAACCCTGGGATTTGGTAGTGAGATTTGCTTTTTTACTTCATTGTTTGGTACCACTCGGCTCTGACAGCTTTATTTTACATTTTACTGTAGTTCTCAGATCTCTTCCTTGTGCTAGTTGGTATCATTTTCTTTCAAATTAACCTCTTCTAAAGTAAGTTTTGGATGGTGATGATTTGGGATATTTAAGCTCTCATTCATGGGGTGGTACTTGGGGTAAGTATGGAAGGATCCTAATATGTTTTCCCCTGGTAAATAAATCCCTTTTCAAAAAGACAAACAAATCATTATTAAACCAAATAATTATAGAAGAGACGACCTTTTTTTGGGGGGAGGGGCGGACGGAGTCTCGCTCTGTCGCCCAGGCTGGAGTGCAGTGGCGCGATCTCAGCTCACTGTAACCTCTGCCTCCCTGGTTCAAGCGATTCTCCTGCCTCAGCCTCCTGAGTATCTGGGATTACAGGCACGTGCCACCACACCCGGCTAATTTTGGTAATTTTAGTAGAGACAGGGTTTCACCATGTTGGTCAGGCTGGTTTCCAATTCCTGACCTCGTGATCTGCCCGCCTCGGCCTCTCAACGTGCTGGGATTACAGGCGTGAGCCACAGCACTTGGCCCAGATGACACGTTTTATTGGTGATAAATTAGCATTCTTTAGACTTAAGCAATGAAATGAAGTATCTTATTCTAAAACCAGCTTTCAGTGAGCTGTGCTTGTGGTGAGCAGAGTATGATGAAATGCCCCTGATGTGTATGCTCCTGTGTGACTTCTCTTTGATGTCATCACGGCCATTGCTTTCTGTGATAAATTTCAGTTTTTATGTGTCCGTTAAATTACTGTGTTTTACCTATGCTGATAACTAGAGCTGAATGGTTGTTGTCAAACAAGAGATGTGTCTAGTACTACCAAGAGGCACTAGAGAGTAGAGATGTTGCTTAGACATGGAAGCAGAGAGTGAATAAGGAAATAACACAGATCAGAGGAAATTGGCATGTGATGAAATAGAGGTGCTCAGGGTGGTATATCTCCACTTGAAGTCAATTGAGGATCCAGGGAGCAGAGGGCTTCCATCTGCGTCTTCCTTTTGTGTTCAAGGAAAGAGAAGTTTGGACCAAGGATAGGACCAAGATAAAACTGGGAAGAAGAAAATAGGTTCTTCAGCATCTAGGAGAAAACACATCCGAAATGGGAGTACCCTGTGCTCAGAGGATGGGGAAGGTGGGCTTCTCCAGAAGAAGGGCTGGGCCTCAACTGTGTCAGCTACCTAACCCAAGGCCTAAATGTCTCTTCGATCACTGGAGGAGTAACGTAAATGATCACCAAAGAAACTTATCTCAAAATCTACAGAACACTGAGCTTTAAATTTAATTTATCTGCTTATGATTGCACAAATCTGTATTACTTTAGCCTTGGTACAATCTCAAACCTTTATCAAAACTTGTTTAAATTCAGGCATCTTGACTTAAAACCTTGTCTAATAATATAATATCCTCTCACACAAAATACAAGTTCTACATTTATATGTTAATTTTCTGAGCTCCACTTTGGACCAATTATTGAAATATCATCATCATCATGAACGTTGTAATGAAATGAAATGGCCTAATTGCAGTCACCTCTTTTCTCTCCTCCACTGCATTTTTAGAAAATGGGTCAAAGTCAATGTAGGATATTTGTGTTCTTTTCCTGCTCCCAACTTATTAGCTTGAGTATCCATTTCCTGAATATAACCAAATTTACCAAATAAAAGGGACAGGATATGGAATAAAGAAACCAATCATTGCTGTTGCTCTATATTTTAGATACATCTCTCTCCCACACCCGAATCTGCTCACTTTTCAATTCCAGAAAAGAGTTCTGATTTTTTTAGTGACTTGTAAACATTCCTTTCTTCCTGTAGGTGGAATGGCTGAAAAATGAAGAGCCCATTGACTCTGAACAAGACGAGAACATTGACACCAGGGCTGACCATAACCTGATCATCAGGCAGGCACGGCTCTCGGACTCAGGAAATTACACCTGCATGGCAGCCAACATCGTGGCTAAGAGGAGAAGCCTGTCGGCCACTGTTGTGGTCTACGGTAAGACCATTCCAAAGGCCAGGAATGGATAGGGAGGGCAGAAAGAGGTAGAGGGATGTGTGTTTTATTAAAACTTTCAATGTCGAGAGCTGCAAAGACCTTGGGGTTCATTCACAGCAGTGCTCTATCCTGCCTCCCTCGTCTGGCAGGCAAAAAACATCACTATTTCTATTAATGTGTTTGCTGTTCCTTCCAATATTGCACTTCCATGTGATAGTCAGTGACATTTCCAATCTCTCTTTTAAAAATAATAAAAAGCTGTTTATTTTCTTCCATTATGTTTATATTTGAAAAGAATTGAGATGGGCAACTTCTGCTTCCCACGCCTCTCAAACCCAACACTCACCCCAGTTTTTCCTAGACCTGCTGTCAGGTAGTCTCTCCCCTGGTATGTGAAATCCTCCAAAAACAAACAATACTATTTGCTGAATATCTCAGGTATTGTATAAAAGAAGTTCCCAGCTATTTAAGTAAAGGCATTCCCTTCCACAATAGAAGAGCCCTGGGATTTATTTTTGAAGCACTTAAAGTCATAGAAATTCAAATGCTGATATTTTCTTCTTATACTCTGGATTTTCAAGTGCTTTAGAGATTTATTGATGAGTTCTTTCTATTTCTTATAATTTCCTTGCAAGGCAAATTCTGTGTCCCTCCTATTTCAGATGAATAGGCTGAGGACTGGATGAGATGACTCCCCCACTGTTGTCTCATAATGGAGCAGCCAGTGGGGGCTGCACAGTCTCTCGGTCCCTGGATGCCTGACTCACAGCACCTGGCACAGTGGCTTGCACATAGTAGGCAATCAGTAAAAACCTCTCTCCTTTTTTTCTCCCCTCCCCATTTTTCTCTCTCAGTGAATGGAGGCTGGTCTTCCTGGACAGAGTGGTCAGCCTGCAATGTTCGCTGTGGTAGAGGATGGCAGAAACGTTCCCGGACCTGCACCAACCCAGCTCCTCTCAATGGTGGGGCCTTTTGTGAGGGAATGTCAGTGCAGAAAATAACCTGCACTTCTCTTTGTCCTGGTGAGATATATGCAGATTCCCTTTTCCCTTCTGATCCACCAACACTATTAAGCTGGTGTGAAACAATCAATGTTACCTTCTTTTCCAAAGTTACCCTCTCCCAAGTTCTTAGAATAGAACATTTATCCAAGGTGCTAATGTAAAGCTCATTGTCATGGCAGCAACATGGGTGAAATACCACGGTGCAATGTTTTGGGGCATATTTTTTAATACTCAGATGACACTGAACATTCATCGTCAATAAGCCAATTGCTATGAAGTCTTGTTATACTGCTAGCATTTGGTTGGGCTAAGCCATCCCCTTCTCTCCTTGGGTTCTCCCATCTTGTGGCCTTTATTTGTATAATAGTTAGCAGGGATTAGATAAGTTGTCTTAAAGCACAAAAGAACGGGTACCAAATGTTTGACTCTTTATCATTAGTTATCAATCAAATAACTTTATCAGTTCTAGCTTTGTATTTATTTATAAGACAATTGATAGAGACTGTATACTGTCACAGCAGTCTATATTTTACATTTGGTCTATGCTTGCCTTTCTTTCTGTAAAAAGAGATACTTCATTTACCAAGTATGGCTTTCATAAATTCCTTTGTCTCTTACTGGCTGTAACCCAATTTATACAACGATAAATAGATGAGATGGAAGATGACTTTCTTCATGAAATGCATATCCTCCCACTGAGAAATAAATTGACCCTGGGTCTCACATGCACTACAGAACATTAACTCCAAGGACACTGGACTAGAGTCTCATGTCTTTATAATAAAATTGCAAATTTAGTTGCAATCGAAGTTAAGGTGGGGCTCTTCCTAGCAGCATATTCTTGGAGTTTCATTTTGGACTTATGTTCAATAAGCATTTATTGAGTGCTTACTATGTGCCAGGTACTGTGCAGGATGCTTTTACATACATAATGTTGTTTACTCCTGTGTTGTGAGTTTTATTATCCCCAGTTGGCAGACATGGTAAAGTGAGGCTAAGTAACTCGCCCAGGATTGCTCAGCGGATAAGTTGGCAGATCCAAGACAAGGACTCAGACATTTTGCTTCAAGTTCAGTATTTTTTTTATAGTACCCTATTCTTGATTAATTGCTTTAGATTTAAAATTGCAGTATCTTAAATAACCCACATAAGCATGGTTGAACTATTCCTAGGAGGTAAAGGGCAATTGCCTCAGACATCTGCCATGATCTCTAGGGTTGCTTTTTAGTGGAATTAAATTCAGTTTGTTCATTTCTACATACAGCAGCAGTCCATGACCCAAGAAATTCTATTTATATAAGTCCTGGTGTCTTGGGGTTTGACTGACCTGTTTTAGTTTAATACTATCAATATATTTGGGTTTAACTTTATATTGTTTAGGGGCTTCTAGGGCTTAAAGATAGTTCATTATACTCTGTTCTAAACTGTCAACCACTAAGAAAGTGGCTGATTGTCAGTGGTTACTGCACACAGTTTATCTGTCCACCTAAGATGCACTTGGGCATGAAAGACTGGGAAAGAATGGGTCATGACAAATTTTTAGCTGACCCAGTGGTGCTGGAAATATGAATGCTTGCCTCAATTTGGTAATTGGTCTCATCCTGAAATAGCAAGAGTATTATACCACTGCTTTTGTAAGCCTGTCTCTTCAGGAAAGAAACCATGGAGAGAAGATAAGTGGATATGTTCTTTTGTTTCTGTTTGGTGGTTATTTCCTTAAAATCCAGCTCTAGAACAACAGCAGTCCTGGGGTGAGTCTCCTGACCGCTACTTGATTCATTCTAACAATGGTTTCTTTTGTTTCCCTTTGAAGTGGATGGGAGCTGGGAAGTGTGGAGCGAATGGTCCGTCTGCAGTCCAGAGTGTGAACATTTGCGGATCCGGGAGTGCACAGCACCACCCCCGAGAAATGGGGGCAAATTCTGTGAAGGTCTAAGCCAGGAATCTGAAAACTGCACAGATGGTCTTTGCATCCTAGGTAACACTTTTGCTTTAACATCTTCAGTGTTTGTTCATAATACCATTTATGCATCTCAAGAAAGTAAGCTACAGCCATTAATGTGGTTAAATAAGTTAGCAGAAAGCCAAGCTGCTAAGGGCAAAAATAAATTAGGTAAAAAGTGCAGAAAAGCAGACAAATGCATTTTTAATAGAGATGGTATAAGTGCATATATTGTATCACTGTGCATTCTGTTGATGTGTATACTTACTAATTTGATAACATTTTAAGAGTAAGAAAAAATAGTTAAGAAAATACTTCAGACTTTTAGAAGCTACCATTTTTAATTTTGGTGAAATTCTGATACTGATCACTCTGTGGTTATATTTCCCCCCAGGAATTTTGCAAACACAGTAAAGCATTTAATACATCTTTAGAGACCATGGGTTCTGTGGCAAGGAACATGTCTTATTACTGTTACCTTAAAAATAGGCCGGGCGCAGTGGCTCACGCCTGTAATCCCAGCACTTTGGGAGGCCAAGGCAGGCGGATCGCGAGGTCAGGAGATCGAGACCATCCTGGCTAACAAGGTGAAACCCTGTCTCTACGAAAAATACAAAAATTAGCCAGGCGTGGTGGTGGGCGCCTGTAGTCCCAGCTACTCAGGAGGCTGAGGCAGGAGAATGCCGTGAACCCAGGAGGTGGAGCTTGCAGTGAGCCAAGATTGTGCCACTGCACTCCAGCCTGGGCAACAGAGTGAGACTCCGTCTCAAAAAAAAAAAAAAAAAAAAAAGTTATGGGGAAAGGAGAGTGATACCTGAGGAAGTGGGTGGCTTTGTATCACAGTGGTCTGGCAGAGTAGCAAGTAGAATGTTTGTTTCAAAATTCCCAAGTCTTGGCTTTATTCCTGAGATTACATTATTACCATCACCAAGGGACTGCCTGCCTGGGTTAGAAGGCATGGGAGGGTCAACTAGAGTCAAAGAGAAATAGGTTTCAATTTGGTGCTCTTCCTTATTTACTTTGTGTTCTTTGGGCAAGTTGCTTAACCTCTTATCTTCTCTGACTATAGTTACCAAATATGATACCCACTTTTTAGTATTGTCAAGGCTAAATGATAAAATAACATATTTGAATGTTGTATGGCACAGAGTAGGTGCACACTTGATAGGGATCTCTTCTCCACTCACCCACTTAGATGAGTCAAGGTGTATTGATTTTGCTGGGGTCTTTAAAAAACACGAGGTCAGGTGATCGAGACCATCCTGGCTAAAACGGTGAAACCCCATCTCTACTAAAAATACAAAAAAAATTAGCTGGGCGTGGTGGCAGGCACCTGTAGTCCCAGCTACTCGGGAGGTTGAAGCAAGAGAATGGCGTGAACCCGGGAGGCGGAGCTTGCAGTGAGCCGAGATAGCACCACTGCACTCCAGCCTGGGTGACAGAGCGAGACTCCGCCTCAAAAACAAAAAAAAACAAAACAACAACAACAAAAAAAAACACACACAAGACTGAGCACTTACTTCTCTAGAACTGGTCGCCTTCTCGGAAATTTCTCTGGGAAATATCCAGCAAAAAAAAAAAAAAGATACCATAGCTTACAAGTTTGTGATTTTCTCAGGGAGATGCATCACATTTTCTTTGGGAAGATGACAGTATGTAGGAAATATCTAAGTTGGGTTTATTCTTCTGCTTCAGTATGACTGAATACCCTTGAAGGCAGGCACCTGCTACCTGTTGTATTTTCAGACTAATTCTGTATGGTTCATACATTGGTTAAAATGATTAGTACATTGAAATGAGCACTTCCTGATAGCCTATAGTGCCTTTATTTGCTAGTACAAGCACTGATTACCCTGCATGCATCAGATACAATGCAGGGAGCTGTAATGGAAGACCACCTACCCACCAGTTGTAGTTTGGGTATGCTCTCCAATAAATGCACACCAACCATCTGCTGCCTTCAGAAAGCTTTCCCGCTTCCTAAATGTAAGGAATCTCAACACAAGCTCAATAGAAGGATATTTAAAGAAATGTGCTTCTCACCTCTCTTGAATACCACCAGATTTTTCTAATACACACATTTGAGGTGTGACTGTTTTCATTTCCACTACAGGAAAATACAAGGAGAACACTTAGAAAACTACACATGGCCAGTGTCCATAGGACGAGTTCATTTAATAAGCCAATAAATTGTTTAAAGCAACTACCTGAACTATGACCATGAGTGGCTTCAAGGAAAGAACTAAGCTTTTTGAATTTTACAAGTACATATACATCTGGTCAATTTTATGTGTCAACCTGACTGAGCCATGGGATGTCCAGATATTTGGCCATGATTATAAATTAGTACAGTTGGGCAGTGAATTTTATGTCTTCTAAAGAACCATGACAATATAACTATTTGGCTACTGGTTGAAATTTTTATAGTCATAGTAATAACCTTCACTAACAACCACAGGTTGTACTTGCACTTGGGGAAAATCAATGGATATCAGGCTTCAATCTTAATTGACTAAGACTTAATCTGAGAATTACTGATTGGAGACAGATAATGGTTATCTCTTAATGTAAGAAAGAATTGTTATCCAACACACAAATATTATTTTTTTGCATTTGCATTGTAATAGTTTGTCATTTACCAATTGAATAAGAGTTCTGTTTAAGGCTGAAAGAACTTAATCAGCACTGAGAGTGTACTGGCAAGCCTCGATCCTAACTCTGATATCTGAGATGCTGTATTAGTCAGGGTTCTCCAGAGAAACAGAACCAATAGGATATGCACACACATAGAGGAAGAGTGCAATGGAGAGATATTTAAAGATATTTATTATGAAAATTGGCTCATGTGATTCTGAAGCCCAGCAAGTCCAAAATCTGCAAAGCCAATGTCCCAGTTCAAGCCCAAAAGTTGGTAGGCTGCTATGGAACCAGGAACATCTGATGGCCCAGTTGGAAGGCTGTCAGGCAGGAAGAGCCAGTGTTCTAGTTGGAAGGCTGTCAAGAAGGAGCATTCTCTCTTACTCAGGGGAGGGTCAATCTTTTGTTCTATTTAGGTCTTCAACTGATTGGATGAGGCCCACCCACATTATGGAGGGCCGTCTGCTTTTTTTTTCAGTCTGTGAATTTAAATGTTAATCTCATCCAAAAACACCCTCACAGAACTATCTAGAATAATATATGACTTGATATCTGGGCACCCCATGGCCCAGTCAAGTTGGCACATAAAATTAACCATCATGGATGCATATGTGCTTTTGTGAAATTAAAACAGCTCAATCCATTCCTATAGTGGAAATAACATAGCTAGGAAGATAGGCTTGGAATGTGTAAAAAGATCTCTGTTAAATACCCCCATGAGTTGAAAATGCTACATAAGCCTTTTCTTTCTATTCAATCTATTAATTTCTTCCATTTCCTTTTTCACTTCAGCATGTTTTTTCTAGCCTTCATTGTATGCATATTAGTATATTTGTCAAATATTATCAGAGGCTTTTGATGGCTATAGTGATGAAGAGTTTTGAAGGAGAAAGGGTGAAGTCTATGAGATTATTGATGTAATTGAGATATATTTGCATATCAGTGGGAAACGGGTGTGTTTGTAAAAGCCCAACTCCAGGATGTATTCTGTCCTTTTAGATAGAAAGTGACTACCTATATCAACAAAAATGAGTAACACCAGACATGGTGGCTCATACCTGTAATCCCAACACTTTGGGAGGCCAGGGCAGGAGAATCACTTGAGTCCAAGAGTTCAAGACCAGCCTGGGCAACATAGCAAGACCCTGTCTCTACAAAAAATAAAAATTAAAAAAATATAAGCCAGACATGGTGGCTTATGCCTGTAGTCCCAGCTGCTCTGGAAGCTGAGGTGTGAGGATGAAGCTGCAGTGAGCCATGATCGTGCTATTGCAGCCCAGCTGAGGCAACAGAGTGAGATCCTGTCTCAAAGAATAAATAAATAAAGATAACACTTCACTATCTCTTCAGGAAGCAATGGACAGTAATCCAATTAAATGATGCCAGCATCACTCTGAGGCTCTCACTGGTACTCTGTCGGAGTGCTCTTGGTGAAAATAGCTGTGCTCTGAGGATAGAGCTCCAGTGAAGGCTGGCTTTGATTAAAATAGCATTTGGCAACAGCTTTATGGAGCAGTAGCTTTGTTGAAGAATCTAGGTCATATTACAATTTGGGAATTTTCTTCATCCTAATTTTCTTCCTTGACACTCAACATGACCCTAAAGCAATTCCTCAATTTCCACCTTCTCGTGGAGGATTCACAATGGCATTTCTTGGCTCTTAGATGACCTACATGTCTTTGATTTTATTTAGCCTTCAACAAAACAATTGGTTTTTCTTTGTTGTCTCTGAGGGTTGCATTTCTCCTAGAGATGAAGCTGCCAGCTCTGAATGATCACTTTAATATTTGGGTGTTATTGTTGCTTGGTCAGTTGTGACTAGAACACAGAATCTTAATGTTACACTGTCACAGATGGCCACACCTAGATGCTCTCAACAAGAAAATAAATACGGCTGGCACAGTGGCTTATGCCTTTTATGCTAGCAGGTGGGGGACCCAGGAGGGAGGATCACTTGAGGCTAGGAGTTCAAGACTATCCTGGGCAACATAGCAAGACCCCGGTCTCTACAAAAGAAAAATGAAAAACTAGCCAAGTGTGGTGGTGCATGCCTGTAGTCCCAGCTATTTGGGAGGCTGAGGCAGAAGGATCACTTGAGCCCAGGAGATCGAGGCTGCAGTGAGCTATGATTGCTCCACTGCACTCCATCCTGGCTGACAAAGGGAGACCCTGTCACTTAAAAATCAAAAAGTAGGTAAATGCCCCAAGACTGGTAAGAAGCAGATTAGGAATTTTGGGGCAATAACAGTGAATCCACGAATCTAAATTACAAGCATAAACATGCAGTGCCTTTATACTAGAGTATTGCTTTTCCAGAGGAAAAAGGTAATGATGTGGTATGACTGTCAAGAAGCAAGAACTTGTTGATCCATGTTTTCTGAGCTTGAACACCAGAATCAGGTAGTTTCCTGACCATTGGACTTTCTCCTTGCTGTACATACCTGCGTTTGTGCTCTCAGATCACAGCCAGAGGGAAATAAGCTGCGCATGCCTCATTGACAGGAAGAGAAAGGTGAAAATAGCAGGGTGTTTAATTTGATCCTGAGGAATAAGAGAAGCCAGCTCCCTCTCTCTTAACCCCAGCAGATATAAAACTAAGGGCATTGGCTTGAGAAGATTAAATGGGTATGCTTCAGAAGGGATTAGCACCTAGATGTGTAGTGAGACTAAAGCTAGAGAAATGCCACAGGGGCCTGAAAGAGGAAGTCTCCAAGGCTTAGCTACCTGATAGCTAGTCCGTTCGTCTTGTCAAGGTATAACATAGGTCAGTTCAACATTGACAGTTCAAAAACTGAAATATCAGTAAAACGGTGGTTTTCACTTCTGATGGCTACAGTGATAAGAAAAGTTTGAGTTGATGGTTAGGAAACCCCATCAAGGATAAAGATGTCTACACAATAGCAGGTTTAAATAAACATCCCCAAGCTACATCTAATAATCTAACCACATTGTCTATTCAATGATCTACTTAAATGACCTAGACGAAGCACCTGAAAAGGTGAACCTGTAATCACAGGAAAGGCATGTTTGCTTTGTTAAGCATTTTCTCTTGGACCATTCTAAACCTCATTGTTATCCATTACAGTAATTACCTGAGTTCCTTCCCTGTATTTCCTAGGGCACTGAATCAGAGAAATTTCATCCTGGAGATAGCTCTACACATTTAAAACAACTTATTTCTGTACTAGTGGTTTTATGGAATACTTCTTTTGTTTATGGGATTATAATGGATGAGTGTCCCTTTACCCAAACAAAATCTGTCAAGTCCTTTCTTTGGTCAGAGTCAGAAATCATACTTGACTCAATCTAGACTTTTTGTTGGACAAGTTCATATTTCAAAACCAGCTGAACCAGCCACACTGCACAATTGCTTAATGATAGCGTAGTTAAACTCTCTAAAGTCAAGAAATGAAAATGCCATTAGCAAGTTAACATACCAGCACAATATATTTTTATGTGGCCATGAAGCATCCTACTGCTCGCTAATTCTCCCAAGTACTTTTAATTTATAGGACATAGTAGGTGCTCCTTTTTACACAAAGACTTTTTCCTAGAAATACTCAATAGCTTGCCTTTCTGCATAACAATTGATTAATTCATAATTTGCCTTCATGTATACTGCATAGCAAATGTGGATATAATATTGCAGACCCACAGGAGTCATAATAATGTAGATTTGGGCACATATGGTGTCATTAGCAGCTTAGCAACCATCTCTCCCCCATGCCCCAAATAAATGCTTTCCCATTATGGGACCAAATATGAAGACCAGTGAGGAACAAGCTTTAATAAGACAGAGTGGAGTGGCTCAGGAGTGAAGTTTCTTAAAAAGAAAATAAAGCAGACATAGTGCAATATTCACGTGTCTTCGTGAAGGCTTTAAAAACTATTTTTTTTACAAAGCTAAAACTGTCATTTTTGTGCCTCTCGATGGGCACTTGCACTCAAGTGCCATATCCTGAGTGGATTGGACATAAACAAGATCAAGAATAAAATGCACGCAACAAATTACCGTAACGCTTCTCCCTTAGTTGCCCATCCACTACTGACTTTTCTATTTTTATGCCTTGTTAATAAAAAGAAAAAGACATTTGTTTTTTTGAACATGATCTCCCTTCTCAATGAAGACTGGCCTTCATCCATTGGTTTATGATGGATGCGTATTTCATAAGCTATTAAAAATCTGTGGCCTTTGTTACCAACCAGGTCTGAAACACTTCAGATGCCTTTTGTCATCCAGAAAACTTTTTCTGTTGTCACCATCTTCTATTTCCTCATGGATCTGTGCCACAGGTACAGAGCTAAGACACAAGAGCCTAGGTAAGAATTGCTTTCTCAGCTAACAGAAATGAAGGCAGTTATTCTGCTTGTCTCTCTTTAACGATATCTCCTTCTACCTACATTTTCCCATTGCTACCCACTTTTTCCCCCCAAGATATTTCAATATGTATTTTTCCACTATGCTTGCATTCTTTTGGTGAAATTAGACAGGAAGTCCTATGTAGCACTTCAGAAACATAATCTCTGGAAGTTTGTTTCTCTCAAGCACATCTTGTTAACTTTGTTCATTTTATGAGAGAAGTCAAAATAAAACACCTCCACTGTAAGTAAGGGCCCTAAAACTGAATTTGGGCAGCTGGAGAGCAGGATGCATGTACCTCAAGGTCATATTACTTAGAGAGCGAGGAAAAAAACGAAAGCAAAACAAAGTAAAACATAACACAAACCCAAGAAAACTAAACAAACACATAAGAACGAGTCCCTGTGATGATGTAAACTGGAGACAAACCCATTAGGAAGCTTAAAAACATGTCTTAAATTATAATCTTAGAACCAGCTCGTCGGTGAGAGTGCAAATCCCTAACAAAGACAACTTTTACAGATGATATCCCCGAGAAACACTGAACTGGGGACTGTTGGAAGGTACAGAGGTTGAGCTTCAGTGAGGCTGGCCTAGGTTGGGCCTAGATTGATCTGGCATTCAGAACACAGGCTAAATAGCCCTCAAAGCTCCTTTGTGACTGAGTTAAAACCAGCTGTTTTCTTTTTGAGGTACTCAAAATGGACAGACAGGAACCTAGAATTGGAAGAAATGAATGAATTGAGCCTGTTGGATGTGAATATCCATCCTTTAAATGAAGGATAGGTTGAAGCCTCAGGGCTCTGCAGTGAGATAGTTTGAGTTTGAATTCTGATTACAATACTATAAGCAGGAACACCTTGAACAAGTGTCTTAATTTCTCTAAGCTTAAATTTGCTTATCTATAAAACAAAAATTATAACAGTATCTATTACAAAGGATTCTTTGTGAGAAGATAAACTAATCTGAGTGAAGCATTTTCCCTCCATAGTAAGCACTCTATTATACAAAATAGCAATAACTATAGTGTGTGTGTGTGTGTGTGTGGTGTTTTGTTTTGTTTGAGACAGGGTCTCACTCTGTTGCCCAAGCTGGAGTTCAGTGGCACAATCATAGCTTACTGCAGCCTCAAACTCCTGGGTTCAAGTGATCCTCCCACCTCAGGCTCCCAAAGTGCTAGGATAACAGGTGTAAACCACCATGCCCAGCACATGTGTGTGTTTTCTAATAAAGGAATTCTTGTGGCAGAAAAAAAATGTTTTCCATGTTCTGCAAGAGTATCAACAGTGAGATACTTTCTATGTTTCATTAACACGTTTCCTAATATATCTGGTTAAGATAGTGTCTAATGAAATAAAATGTACTTGTCATTAAAATCTATAGAAGACATTATTTATACATTCATTACATTCTTTATACAAACTATTTTTGAGCAGTAATTTGAGAAATACTGTCCGCTGTCAAAAAGAGTTTGGGAGAATCCTAACAGTTCCCAAGGTATCTTAAACTTTCTGTTGGACAAAAGAATCAATATCCTTTCCTAGAGCTTCTGATAAGTAGCTGAATGAACTACTCTCCATTTTCTATCCTTCCTCTGCTCAGCTGGTAGGATTTGGTCCTGAGAAGGTGACAGACCAGGGGATCTATAAGGTCCCAACACGTTCTAAAATCTTATGATTCTAACTAACAGTTAAAAACAACTCAAAGTCATACATGGTTGTGCACACCTATATAGTCCCAGCTATTCTGGAGGCTGAGGCAGGGGGATCACTTGAGGCCTATAGTTCAAGGCTATAGAGCACCATGACTGTGCTTGTAAATAGCCACTGCACTTCAACCTGAGCAACAGGGCAAGACTCTGTCTCTTAAAAATAAAATAAAATAAACCCTCAAGAGAAAGGCTCAGGAGAGGGAAGGAAGAACACCTGAACCACAGGTGAGAAAAGCAGTTCTTGCCATATTGAGAGTAGGATATACAGGCTTCTCTCATTCATAAGAAATACATGTATTCTGACAACCTGGCCAGAAAGTATTTTTATATTATTTATTTATTTATTTATTTATTTATTTATTTATTTATTTGAAATGGAGTCTTACTCTGTCACCCAGGCTGGAATGCAGTGGCACAATCTTGGCTTACTTCAACCTCTGCCTTCTGGGTTCAAGCAATTATCCTGTCTCAGCCTCCCGAGTAGCTGGGATTACAGGTGTGTGCCACCATGCCTGGCTAATGTTTGTATTTTTAGTAGAGATGGGGTTTTGCCATGTTGGCCAAGCTGGTCTCACACTCCTGACCTCAGGTGATCCACCCACCTTGACCTCCCAAAGTGCTGGGATTACAGGTGGTAGAAAATATTTTTTATAAAGCAAATCCTAATTTGTCAACACAAATTCAAAAATTCTTTCTCAATGGAGTCAGGAGAAACGAAATCCAACAACATATGCATTACTAGACTGTACTAGACTGTATAGCAATTTATAGATTCCGGGATTACTGTTCTGTTGTGAACCAGTTCTAGAACAATGATTTGTTGCATGCCTGATACTTCTCTTACTCCACATTCCCAGATTCCAAAATTAGCAATCTTGCCATATTTATTATCAATATTTAATTTTTTTTTTTTTTTTTTTTTTGCTGTCAGTTATGATTGATATCCAAGGTCCCTTCTAGTCAGGATGTTTCCAAAGTTTAGGCTTTCTGTCATATAAACAAAACTATCCTCATTTTATTAGTTCTGTAAATTACAAATTTTACATTTGCAGTGTAATTAATCAGGATTCAACAGCACAAAACCCCGGGTAAGAAATATTAGTCTGGACTAGAGAAAGATTTAATGTCTGAGATCATAGAGTGGTTTGGCTATAAAAGAAGTGGCAAGAACCCAATCAGGGAAGTGATTTAAAACTGAGTAATCTACTGTTGTGAAAAACTCAGTGGCCTCTGGGGTGTGCTGAACAAAGCAAATTAATAGAGATAAAGGAAACCTCTTTGTTTTGATTCCACCTATTCTCTTTAAATTACAAACTAAGTACACGTCTCTTCAAGATCATTACGAAAGGTGATAAATATAATAAAGATGAGACTAACATCATCAATAGACGCTATCATTAACTCTATTAACCCTGCCCTTCCCCATTCTCCAGAGTGTCAGTACTGTGAATAAGAAAAGACCTGGCCTTCTTACGTGTGTTTAGTACAGGACAGTGTTAGTGTTCAGTGGAATGGAAAATTGCCATGATCATTTAGAAAGATATCATAGGGTAGTAAAAAGAGCTCTAAACAAAGAATCAGGAGTCCTAGGTCCCAGTTCAGATCTTTTGTTAACTAGTGTGTTACCTTGGGCAAATCTCATAATCTTGCACCTTGTGTCTGTAACTGTAAAATGAGGAAACTGAGCAAGAAGATCTCTAAGTTTCATTTTAGCTTAAAAACTTGAGATAGATAGATACACATACTTATATATATACATACACACACACACACACACACAACATAAGCACATTAAAATAGATACACATATATATACATATAAAGTATGAATATACATTGCAGCTATATATTTACCAGCTTCCAGATATATATGCACACACATATTAAACATATATATACACATATATATAATATGAAAATAACACCACTGACATGTCAGTGACTTCAGATTATGTTTTTTTTTTTTTGGAGATTATGTATTTTTTAATGAGTTTTGAGGAGAAGTTTATTCTCATTCACACCTAAAATCAGCCATTTGAGTGGCTGTTACGTAAGGTGACTTGGGCATCTTTTAGATGTGAAACAAATTGCCCTACCCCAACAAAACAAGTTGCTGGCCTCACTTAGGGACTGACTTATCAAATCCAGCCTCTTTAGCATTGTACTCCAAACTCCTCATCAAGTAGCCACAACATCCTATGAATTCATGTAGAACATAGGAAATTGATGAACCTTGACTTTGTAATATTTGTGATTGCAATTACGGACACTGTATAAGGCTTAGCAGCACTGATTCATTTGACAGATATTTATTGAGTACCTACTATATCCTATTTATTGTTCTAGGTACTGGAAATAGGTAAACAAGACGGATGTAGACCCTATGTACAGGTAATTTGGTCTGTAATGTTAGATAAATGTTTGGTCTAGCATGAGGACTAATGAAGCTGAAAAATAATTTGGAAGTCAAGGGTCCTCAATTTACAATTTCCCTTTAAGCATTTTTTAATGAGTCAGGACTGATAGCCTCATATCAGTTAAGTATTTTCTTAGTCATCATAACAAACACTTCCCAAATCTCAACCCCCACCATCTTCCCTCTCCAAACCTCCCTACCTCCCTCCTGAGCAATTTAAGGAACAACCAACCCTTGACACAGCAGGAAGCCACTGTGACCCTATGGCAAGGCTGGCACTTACAAATAGGATTCCTTTTTTACAACTTTATTGAGGTATACTTGAAAGTTAAAAATTGTATATGTTTAAATTGCACAGCTTGATGATTTGATATATGTGTGCTTGTGCAATAGTTGCCACATCAAGCTAATTAGCATATCCATCACCTCACATAGCTCCTTTTTTTTTTTTTTTTAGTCCATGTGTGGTGAGAACATTTAAGTCTTGCCCTCTTAGCAGATTTCAAGTATACAGTACAATATTGTTAACAGTAGTCACATTATTTCACATTAGATTTCTAGGACTTCTTTATCTTGCCTAATTAAACTTTTTACCCCTTGACCATTATCTCTCCATGTCCTCCATCCCAGCCTCAGCCCTCAGCAACCACCATTCTACTCTCTGTCTCTATGAGTTTGGTATCTTTAGATTCCTCATATAAGTGAAATCAAACAGTATTTATTTTTCTGCATCTGGCTTGTTTTACTTAGTATATTCTGCAAGTTCATCTATGTTGTTGAAAGTGGCAGGATGTCCTTCTCTTTTAAGGTGAATAATATTTCATTGTTTGTATATACTACATTTTCTTTATCCATTCATTTGTCAACAGGCATTTAGGTTGTTTTCATATCTTTGCTATTGTAAATCACGTGGCAATAAACATGGGAATGTGGATATCTTTTCAATATATTAATTTCATTTTGATATTTTTAAACAATTTTTAAATATTTGAATATCACTCTTGCCTCAAGTCAGTGATTATCATGACATTAACCAATACATGATTATCTTAAGCTTGAATTATAGAATCTGGACTTTTTGTTCCATTTTGAATATATACAGTATATATTTCTATTGTGACTGGAAGGTAGGGGATCAAAGCAAAAGAATTCATAGGTTAGAAAAAGGACTTTATTATGCATCTTCCCTTGGAGCAGAGTTGGAAGCATTGCATTTTGTCACGTTGAGGCTAATTACTGGTAAGAAAGTCTCATAGATATTGGCTTAAAAGTGTTTGCAGTGGCCCAAGACCATATTTTACTCTGCATATTCATCACAAAAACTAACACACATGGAATCAGTAGGAATGGATAGACATCACAATGAAGTTGGTATCAATCTAGATGTTTCAATGATTGAGCTCAAAAATATGTAAATGCCACTTATGAGCATAGTCATTAAGGATACTTATTTGTCCAGTCCCCCCAGTTTGAAAGAAAAAAGAGGGAAGACTACATCTCCTGAATGCACACTAATTATGTGCTTTGACTAAGGGCAATTCAGGAAGGTCATTGTCATCAGAAGTGACATCCTTGAGCCATCTGTTTTGGTACCCTTCTGACTTCATCTAATTAGCATGATGGGATCTTGAACAATGCATAGTTAGAAGATGTCAATAGAACCGTTTTTCATTTACTAATGTGCATCTCAACTCATAGAAGTTGTTATTTATGTGGGTGATTTTGCCATTCAGCCCTGGAATTCCACTAATCCTCAGATTTCTCTGGGGAAACCAGTGATTTCTCTAACCGACATCACCAATTGGAAAACTCCAGGAGGAATCTCTAAAAACTTCCTATTCTCTGTGCTTGTCCTCCATGAGTACGCTCAGATTGCATTTTAAAAGGGGTAATAGATCTTGTGATGTCTATACAGGCTGGGAAGCTGGGGGGAGTAGGGTTGAAGTGAGAAAGCAAGAACTGAACTAACCTAGTACTAAGTGGGATAAATATGGTCTCTGAAGGGTCATTGCTGACCAAGATCTTTAAAAATGAACTGAAAAGAAAAACGCAATAAGGAAACTAAAAAGAGTCAAATCTAGAGATGGGTTATATCTTAATCTTTTAATATTTCTGCATTTTTAATCACTGAAATAGTTTTAGGATGTATACAAGAGTTGGAGCTTGTTTTCCTGCATGTTCTATGACCTAAATGAACTTTGAACACTCGGAGGAGAACAGAATCCCCACTTGCCATTGTCTCCCTGACATATTCCGGCATAGTGTTGTTGCCAATGCAAAGCAGACTTCATGTTTGTCTAATTATCCTTCACTGCTAATACAAGGCCTATCTGCCAGGCCCTGGGAATTCCTGCAGCCTTGGATAGCATTCAGAGGGCATAACACCAGCTCTTAATTATTTCTAGTTATGAGGGGAGAGGGAAAGCATGAATACATGCAATACACTGATAATCAATAACCTCAATCTCTTTTCTACCAGTCAGCAAATAAACAAATAGCTCTTAATTTTGTTCCCCCCATCTTTTTCTTGCTGTGACTCTGTGGTCGCAGTGTCACACAAATAAGCATTTAAATATGATTTACATGTTAGGGACCCATAACTGACAGTGATTTTTAAAGTATAAAATATATCAAATGAACATTTGTGATGTTATTAATTTTTGGAAAAAAAATACGTTGTGTTTTAGTGACTATAAGTTAGTTAGACAAACTGTCGAGAGAGAGAAGCAATCCCTGCAAATGGAGTAATCACCAGAGATTTCAGGAAATAATCAGAAATCCATCTGTGCCATGGAGTCAGGAAACTTTTCTGTAAGAACCCTGAAGAGGGAAGGGCTTCCCAAGGCGAGACAACAGCCTGAACAAAAGCTTTGAGTTGACGATGGAGAGAGTTAATAGATTTATCAGACTAGTACATGGATTTGTACTGAGGTGCTCCAGAAACTAATTCATATCTGGCATGGTGGGACCAGAAATGCAAGGCCATAAAGGTAGGCAGAGCAGTTGACCATGACTCAGAGGCAATGTGGAGTCATGTTAGATTCTTTCATGCTAATATTAGAGAATTATTGCAACAAATAAGGAAATAAGCCAGAGAATAGATACAAAAGGCAGACTATTCTATAGACTTCAGAATCAACTCCTAAATCATTTAAGAGTACAAAGAATGTGAAGGGTAAGTTAAAATACAAAACAGTTAACACATATCTTTTTGGGGGTGGAAAAGGTTTCAAAGCATATGATTTATGACAAACAAAATAATTAAAGTGGTCTTTGTAGGTAAAAATACGGGATATGACTAGTCTAGTGAAATGAAAGAATGGTAAACATTGACTGTAATGACGTATTCGAATTGCTGCTGGGAAGTGAGTTGCTGCCCCACTGGGTATTTAGTCTACATTTAAGCAACCCTACTAACTGAATCTTAAAAATGACATAGGCCCTGGTATCAAACATATCTATGCAGTATTCAAAACCAGTGGGAGCAGATTTCAAGTAATCACCAGCTACAGCTTTTGAGGAGCAGCCCTCTGTCTGCAGCCCTCACTCTATGGTTGGAGATGAACCCTTCTGTCCACATGTGCCATCTTCCCCCAGGGCCTACTCTCTGTAGTCCCAGGGATGTGGGCTGCATGCAGCTGACCACGTTTGTTCTCTAGTAGAGGCTGGATATGTAGGGATGATGTTATAAATAGCTGCTAAGAACAATGGATACTATGGAAATGGTTCAGGAGCATGGAATATAAAAAAGGAAGCAAGAAATTAAAGGTGAAAAAGAAATGAATCATCACCAAAAATAAAAGGTAGATTGTTCTCTTTCTCCATCATATAGATATATACCTCCCCCCTCATATACACAAGGGCAGACACAAAGCAATAGCTGCCTTACAGTACTAAGTGACAAAAGCAGATTGCAGAACAATACATAAAAGACAATTCCACATTTTTATAGGTAAAAATGATAAATCACTGGCAATTTTATGTAGTTTCATATCTATAAAATCACAGGGGATAAAGAGCTAGGCTTGTATATATAACTTAACAGTGGTTATCCCTTGGTGCTGGAATTATGCTTTTTTCCCTTTGTGATTATCTATTATATATATTATATACAATATATAATATATATATTTTATTTTGGATGCACAACTACCTAGTAACTGTGTAAGGATAAAAATGAAATAAATGAAAAAAGTGAAATAAAATGTGACAATTTAAAACACTTAAAAATGTTTGCATTTTTAACTTATAAATACACAAAAAGATTATAAGACTGAGTTATAATAATTTATCATCAATTTCCAACTTACTCAGAAGGTACCAATCAGTATATGTTAGACCCTGGGAAAACTGCTATGATTTTTTTCCTAAACTATAGCTCAGCTTCCACTGGGTCAAAATTGCAACATCTCTCACCTGCAAGATATAGGAGAGACCCTTCTGGGACCATTTATATACCATAGCTACCTCAAGGCATCTTAGGGAGGCAGAGACTAACTAAAATTGACCACACAGATCCCAGATATGTTGCCCGAAAGTGATCATGATCACAAAAACCCAAACCTCAAATAATCAAGATCTCTTGGAGTGGGGCCCAGGTATGAGTATTTGTTTGAAAAGCTCCCCAGGTGATTCTAATATGCAGCCAACACCACTAAGCCAACACCACCACCAAGAACCATGGCCCTAATGGATTAATTTACTAAGGGTCATTTTAACTTGGCCTTTGGAGAGAGGTAAAATTAAAGCAGAGAGAATGTAGTTGATCAAGGATGTTCCATGGCCGGGAGCCTTGTGAGAAAATGATTATGCAAACAGAATAAAAGATCATAGAGTGGGTACTTCTTGCAAAGTCAGTGAAGTCAGTGGGTAGCCCTCTCTTGTGCTCATTGTAGAACAATCTCGATCAGATATTTCCTTTTGGGAAAATGCTCTATGTTAGCAGATTCCTGTCAAGGTACTGTTGTTTCACAAAGCACAGCAGAATCCAATTTTGATGCTGATGCCAGGGGACTAAAACCCTCTTGGGCACCAGAGATTTCCAGCCATTTCCATAGGAGGATACACACTGATACAGAAGATATGCTGGAACTTAGCATAACAAGTCCCACTGTAGAGAAGTGGCCGTTTGAATAATTTTTACTCTGTAGAATGTCTTTGGTTGCTGGTCTGCACATTTACAGTGGGTGAAGGCAAGGGAGCCTGCATTCTAGCCCCGCCCTAATTTTTAACATATCAGGAAACTGAAGTTTTGATTTGCGTTGGTCTCATATTAGCAGAGGCCGGAACTAGATACAAGTTTTAACATGCATTCAAGAATCCCCAAAATTCACTAGAATTTCTGATTTGGAGTTGTGACTTCTCTCTAAGCAGCAGCACAAATAGGCATTTTTTTTTTTTTACTCTGACAATGATCATGATAATCATAACAGGTTGAAATTGTGTCATTAGCTATCGATTGTTACATTTATTGATGACAAACATGTGCTAGCTCTATGCTGCATGGATTTCCAGTTATCATGCTTAATCAACAGTAGCAACTTTTAATGGGAATTTGTATTCCCATTTTACTGTGAGAATACTGAGGACACACGGAATGTAGACAACTGAAGGTTTAAATCCAGTTCTGATCCTGGTCTACTAATGCCACAATGCCAATAAAAGTGGCTCCAAAGCTAGGTTAGAGGGGGAAGTGCCGCACTCATGCCTTGTGTGCCCTTGTTGCCTGATTTCTCTGTCTCAAGTCCATGGCCCTGGGCTTTTCAGTCACATTCGTTCATTCATTCTTTCAGAGCTATACCTGATAGAATTCTACTACTCCAATTTTTTCATAGCCTGGCTGTATTAGATTTATTTTTCTGTGGCATAGTTATATATCTCACCTGTTTTTAATGGAGTTTCATTCTGCTACCCAGAGTAATCTTCGTTCCTGTGGTTTAGAAGGAAGAAAATACTGTTAAGCTCAGTCAGAGTTCTAAACAGATGTTCTACATGTCTCCTAGTGTAGTTGTAGCAATGTATCACTTTCAGACATCTCAGCCTTGGCCTGCCAGCCTCGCTGTGCCCCATGCCAAATGCTTTCAGATACTGTGCAATAAGCAAAAACTGAGGTTAGCTTAAAACCACCAAAGTCATTTTATTCTGATTCTTGAATGCATTAGCATCTGGACTTCGAGAGGGACCACCTGCTCTCAGGAAAACTAGTACCGTCACATCTGTTCAGTAAGGGAAATGCAAGTGTTCTCTGTTTTAAGAAACCTGACTATGTAAAAAAAAATCTGACTATGATCATATCAACATCAACAAATTATTATCTTTTATAAGGATTTTTCTTTTTAAAGAAATATTTGCCAGAAATTACCCTTTACCTCTTACTTTGCCTTTCTATTTTAAAAAAATAGTGGCCCATTTTCAAGAGTGTGATTTATACACACCTTGTGAAAGTGACTTCCACAACAAATCAGATGGCAAAACACACTGGAGCTGCATTTATAGCACACTGCATTCATGTAATGCAAGAGCATTCCATAGAAACCATGTTAAATGCAGGAGTGAGTTAGGGTGAGAAAGACTCTATGGAGAACTCAGAATAGAGCTGTGTTGATCTGCGTGGGAAGGGTGATGGTGCAGTCAGTCAGATAATATTTAAGTTCTCAAATGTGTACCGTACAGGATTTGCTTCAGTTAAAAACATAATCCAAAATGACAGTTTCACCTCACATGGCTCACCTTCGGGCAAACAGAGAAGGGGACTGCGTAGGGTCCCCCTACCATTGTGTGAGTCTGTGAATGATTATCAACAGCCTGGATCCCTGTAGTCAGACAATGACTCATCTAAACCCTAAGAAAGGACTAATGAGAAGGAGGAAGCACCATGCAGATCTTCTAGAATCTTGGCATAGCGTCTGAAGGGCAGTCACCTTGGGTTCCTGCATGGTGGTGGAGTTGTGTGAGCCTGAGATGGACGAGGGCAGGGGGAATGGGGAGAACAGGGACTGTGGTATGACATAGAATAAGCCACAGAGGCCCAGTCTCAAAGTGACCTGTAAGATTAGATTATTTTAATGATGGGAGATAGGACAGGAGACAATGAATGGGGGACACTGGGGGCATTGAGAAAATTCCTCAGCTGAGCTCTGACTCCTGTGGCCATGCTGAATGCCTTTTTTTTTTTTTTTTTTTTTTTGAGACGGAGTCTCGCTGTTGCCCGGGCTGGAGTGCAGTGGCACGATCTTGGCTCACTGCAGGCTCTGCCCCCTGGGTTTCAAGCCATTCTCCTGCCTCAGCCTCCCGCGTAGCTGGGACTACAGGCGCCTGCCACCTCGCCCGGCTAATTTTTTACATTTTTAGTAGAGACGGGGTTTCACCGTGTTAGCCAGGATGGTCTCGATCTCCTGACCTCGTGATCCGCCCGCCTTGGCCTCCCAAAGTGCTGGGATTATAGGCGTGAGCCACCCTGCCCAACCTAATGCCTCTTCTCTTAATCCACCTTATCTCATGGGTGCACTGCTAAATACTGTGATTATAAAATGACAACTTTTCCATTGAGAGAGATGGAACAGATTTTAGCAGATAATGGAGATGTGAAACAAAAAGAGTGGTTTCGTAAAAACAAAACTAACGTGTTCACCGTGCCACACCCATACCTGACAAGAATGGATAAACAGGCAGAGTTGGGGACTTTTTATCCAGTCTGTGATCACTGCAAACCAAGGCAGGATCCCTTTAAATATTTATTTGCTGGTTCATTTTTCTATCATCTAGAGTGAAACAGCATCCTTACCTGAGCAGGCTTCTGGTTGTATATAATAGAGTGACAGGCTGAAAGCTCACTGCTTTTCTCATCCTGATAAGAATCTAGCAAATGCAACAGAGAGAAATGCTAGTAAACCCACAAGAAAATAAATTTTTAAATGATGAAGTAATCATCTTACAATTATTTATTTTTCAAAAGAGAAAATTTTTTTAAAAAATAGAATGAAAAAACTATGGACAATGCCATTCCTGTTGTCCATAAAAATGGAGAAAATGTTTTATTTATAGAGGTAGATATAAAGTGAAACAGGAAATATATCTGCTCCATGTAAATTTATTAAATGCAACTTTCTTTTTCTTTCTTTCTTTCTTTTAGATAAAAAACCTCTTCATGAAATAAAACCCCAAAGTAAGTTATTTTTCCTCTTGTGAATATAATTTATTCTCATATTTGCTGCCTTGCTGTTGTATTTGTTTAGGAGCTGAGCAGAATTGAAGTTCCTATGAAAGATCCAGGGCTTTCGAGGCCTCTCCTCATTGAGTTCAGAGTCACATATCAGAGGTTTAAATCCAAAAGAAATATGCACACCCCTCTCCTCCCTCCCAGTAAAAATAAATCGCTCCTCTTGATTCTTTCTGCCTATAAGTCCATTTCTCTGCAAATGTCATCTAGGATTCTTATTTCTGAAGAGATTTATCACATTAAAATTAATAAATATTTGTCAGTACACACTTTCTTGAGAGCAGCCTTGGGCAAAAGCCTGACTACAAGTCTCTCCACCTAGCATCTTACCTCCTGTGGAATCCATGGCAGCTGGGCAGATTAGGATCCAGAACTCCATGGTGAAATAATGACGAGCTGAGGATTGGGGTGTTGGTACTGGCTTAGGCTCGTTGTACCCAGGCTTGCTTATGGGAGAGGCCTTTGCATTGTCTTCATTTTATGCTTCCTGCAGAGCTGGAGAGAGGAGATGGCTGGAATGGCTAGCAGTATGGCATTTGACCTTATGCTCTTTAGTATCACCTGTAGGCCTTTTAAAATTCCCAATTTCCAGGCTGTATCAAGGCTATTGGAATTTAAGGTGGAGGGTTTTCAGGACCCAGGTATCTCTATTTTTCAAAGCTCCTCAGGTGACTCCAAGGTGCAGGTGGGGCTGAGAACCATGATTTTAGAAAAATGTTTCTCAAAAGGTGGATCAGAATCCACATGCATCAGAATCTCAGAGTGTGGCTGGAGCTTGTTAAATTAAATATGCACCACCTCAGAACAGAACAAATAAATTTGAATTCCTGGTTGAGGAGCTCCTAAGAATCTATGTGTTAATATGTTCCCCAAGTCATTCTCATACATCAGAAATATGTAAAGGACGCTAGGGAAACTTCAAGATACTGGGGCAACATTAATACAGCTCTCATTAGTAGGAGATTAGACAACGGCCTGGCTGGTTTGGTTTGTAAAGCTTGTGAAAGACGTCCCTGCCTAGCATCTCTCATTCTAGTATCAACTGAATGACTTTTGATCTTTTAAATCTTAGGGTATTAAAATTCAAAGAGCTTGGAAGAGTTAATAGCTATTATGAGCTAACTTCTTTGAGAGAATTAAGACCCTGTGAGGATAGACAGAAATAGGTAACTTGGGACAGGGGTCACAAGACATGAGGGAAAAATCCAGTAAAGCCATTCTGTTCCTATTTCCTTATGTTGCTTCAGGAAGGCTGGAGATACAAAGATATCATTACTTGCAAAGTCTAAGAATTTGGGAAAACAGCAAAAATAAACATTTAAACTTATTTCCCTGCTGTCTGCTGCCCATTAAAAAAAATCATTACTACTTAAGTATTGGTCCTCTGACATCATGCATGTTTGATTTTGAATTTATGGGAAGACTGAGTTTGGGGGCACCTGGCTGTGTATATGTGTGTTCATGTGTATGGGCATTGAGGGAGAGAGAAATAAACAGATCACTGAATATTTGGCCTGTGCTTGTGTCAGGACCCTCAGGATGACAGGTGGAGTAAGTGGACTCTTACCTTGCTCCCGGCCACATGGTGCATGCTGTCCACTGATTCTGTCATATAGCACAAAAAAGATCATAGGTATCCATGGGGTGGCCAATGTGAGAGTTACTTAGAAATGCATGTATGTGTTTTTAAAATTAATTTCACACTTAGTTTGTGAGTCCTGTGCCATTCTAATTTGGTTACATCTGTACTTCCAGGCATAAACCCCGCAGAAGCCATTTCCAGTCCTTAGGGACTTCAGAATTAGTTTTTGCTTGGGGTTCTCGTTCCTGAGCACCATGCTTAATTGCTGGATACTGCAACGGAATCGCTTAAACTGTTTTAATTTGTGATTTCTCTAAAAATAAGACCTTAGAGAATCAATGTGATTGCAAAAGGCTCCCAGAGGAATCCAATCGGGGTTCTGTAAGCTGCATGGTTAGGAGTGCATTATAGAAATTCAGGCTGCAGTTGTTCAGTGAAAGAGGGGCTTAATGTGAGACTACATGAATCATCACTAATGCAAAATCAAAGTCAATTATGAAGATAATTGAGAAACAACCTGTGCCTATATATAGCCATACACATGATCTTCCATAAGGCCTGGCAGATAGAAAACATCACTCAGAGCTCTGCACAGAGTGCTCCATGAGCAGGCAGGCAGAGGCACGAGCTTAGAGTTGCGGGGAGGTGTAAAAAGAAAGTGAAGTCTTAAGATATCTGTTGGCAAATCATAATGACAAACTGGGGAAAATATGTGCACTGCATAGCTCATGAAAGCACTTATTGTAAATGAGATAATTTAATCAATTACGTTTCCTAATGTACTAAACCGAATGTTTCATTTTCTGCTTCTGCACATCTTAAATTATCTTCAGGTGCTTTATGAGATTTAATCATAGTTAATAGAAACTTCATTACCATCAAATGTGCTTTCAATAAATGTTGTGTAACAATGTCAGGAGGTGCGGTAAAATATAGTAGGTTCTGAATGGCAAACACGCACCCCTAGAGTCAAACTGAAAAATGGTTGCCTTGAGACAATAAGACTCCTTGGAGGCTTGGAGAATACCTTTTTCTGAAAGGCTGTGAGCTTCTGAGTAGCAGCTGGTTTGGTAAGTTCACCTGAAGGGGTGAAAAGGATTTAGCTTTTCCCTGGAAAATGACTCAATACTATACAGTCTCTCTTCATCTCCTTTCCATGCAGTTTTGTACCTAACAGAGATGAGTGTTCAGCACAAACTCAGTTAATAGTTCTAGAGCCAGCTACCTCCAGGATATCTTCAGTTGAATATGTCCTAATAACCTGAATCTCAACTTCCTCAAAGTTGAAATTATCCTTCTCTGTCCCTGTCCTTAATCAAATCCTTTTCCCATCTTCTCTATTTCAGGGAACAGTATACCATCAACTCAGTGTGTAGGGCAGAAACTTGGAGAGCCTCCTAGAGCCCTCTTATTTCCTTCATCTCCCTTTTCCTGCTCAATACCCAACAATTCATCACAATCTGACTATTCTGCCACCTACTAGATCTCAAAAGTTCATCAGCTGATCTCCATCTCCACTCTGCTCAAACCCATCCCTTCTTTCCTTCAGCAACTTACTGAGTGCTGACCTTATGCTAGGAGGTGTTCTGGGTGGTGGAGAATCAACACTGAGCAAAACACATACAGCTTCTCCTTCTATCAAGCTTACGTGTTAGTGAGGAAGGACAGGAAAAAACCAGAAAATGCATAGTGCTGAATGGTATTAAGTGTTATGAAGAGAAGCAGAGCAGGGTGGGGGGCTCTGACAGGGTTAGAGTGAGTGATGCTTTTTGATGTAAAGTGTTCAGGGGTTTCTATAATAAAGTTATGTAGCTGGACGTGGTGGCTGAGTCCTGTAATCCCAGCATTTGGGGAGGCCTAGACAGGTAGGTCACTTGAGGTGAGGAGTTCGAGACCAGCCTGGTCAACATGGTGAAACCTCACCTCTACTAAAAATACAAATATTAGCCAGCCTTGATGGTGTGCACCTGTAATCCCAGCTACTCGGGAGGCTGAGGCAAGAGAATCACTTGAAGCCGGGAGGTGGAGGTTGCAGTGAGCCGAGATTGCACCACTGCACTCCAGCCTGGGCAACAGAGCAAGACTGTCTCAAAAATAAAACAAAATAAAATAAAATAAGTTATGTTTAAGAATAGAACTGAGGGGAGAAAAACAAGGAAACAAACATTCTGGGTAGCTTGGGGATGAGCAGTCAAGGCAAAGGGAACAGCAGGACACAAATGCTATGAGGTGGGAGTTTGGTTGGAGTCTCTGAGGGCCAAAAGGAGACCAGGATGTCTGCAACAGAATGAGAAGTGGAGAATAGTAATAGCTAAGGTCAGAGAAGCAAGGTGAGGGAAGAAAACTTTGTTTTGTTATAGTTTGAGTTTGTTATAGGTCACTGTAAGGACTTTGACTTTCACTCTGAGGAAGCTGGGAAACCATTCAGGGCTTTTATTTAGAGTGACATGACCTAATATATTCAAGGAAAAGCTCTTAACTGCTATGTTGAGTGTAAACCTATAGGGAACCAGGGCAGAAGCAAGGAGATCTATCACAATGACCTATTATAACAATAATCTGTTATAATACCTAGGCTCTTAATCTAGCTCTAAGATGATTGTGGCTTGAGCCAGCTATGTAGCAAGAGGAATTGTAAAAATGGGTCATATTCTGGATGTCTTTTGATGTCAGAGTCAAAAGGATTTTCTGATGTTTTGGGTGTAGAGTACAAGAGAAAGAAAAATGTTATGGATGATTCCAAAATTTTGGCTATGCAACTGGAAGAATGGAGTTGGCCATTACTGGTATGGGGAAAACTTGGCATAGCAAAACTGGAGGGAGAATCAGGAGTTCAGTGTTATAAATGCTAAGTTTGAGTTACCTATTAAACATTTAAATGGAGAGGTTCAGTAGACAGCCGACGTTGGCCAGACAGTCGAGAAGTCAGAGAAGTGCAGGCTGGTACCATAAATTTGGGGCTTGTCAGTGTCCCGATGATATTTAAAGCCCTTAGGTTGGATGAGATCACTAGATAATGGCGTGAATAGAGAAGAGAAAAGACCTGAGGATGGACCCTGACGGACATTAACATTTAGATGTAGAGGAGGTCAGAAGTCACTACAGAGAAGAAAGAAAAGTAACAGCTCAAGGAGTAAGAGAAAAACCAAATGAAAGGAAAATGGTGTCCCAGAAGAAAAGTCTAAAAATTCAGGCCATCTTCATTCCCACACCAGGATTTCTAGAGTTGCCTCTTTGTAGCCAGTCTTGCCCTGCATCAGTTTATCTGATCTATCTAAAACAAATCCTGATCACATTACATTCCTGTTTAAGCCTCTTCAGTAGCTCAGCATTATTCTTTTTTTTTTTTTTTTTTTTTTGAGACGGAGTCTCGCTCTGTCGCCCAGGCTGGAGTGCAGTGGCCTGATCTCGGCTCACTGCAAGCTCTGCCTCCCGGGTTCACGCCATTCTCCTGCCTCAGCCTCCCGAGTAGCTGGGATTACAGGCGTGAGCCACCGCGCCCGGCCAGCATTATTCTTAAAAGGAAGTCTAGAGCACTTAACATGTATATGATCTGGTCCCGGCTTTCTGTTTTTGTTTTGTTTTGTTTTGTTTTGTTTTGAGACCAAGTCTTGCCCTGTCACCTGGGCTGAAGTGCAGTGGTGCGATCTTGGCTCACTGCAACCTCTGCCTCCCGGGTTCAAGCGATTCTCCTGCCTCAGCCTCCCAAGTAGCTGAGATTACAGGTGTCTGCCACCATGCCTGGCTAATTTTTGTATTTTTAATAAAGACGGGGTTTCACCACGTTGCCCAGGCCCGTCTTGAACTCCTGACCTCAGGTGATCCGCCTGCCTTAACCTCCCAAAGTGCTGGGATTACAGACATGAGCCACCGCGCTGGCCCCAGCTTTCTTTTCTTTATTACCGTTAAGTATTTTCCTTCCTACCCTCTCACCATTGCTGTATTCCTCAGCAAAACAAAGCCCCTCAGTTTGAATGCCTGGTGCTCATGTTGGCCTATAGTTTCCCTTATGTGTTCTGTTACTTCTGACTAAGTCTCTTTCCCTCATCCTAACACTTAACCTGCTTAACTTATTCTTCCTTCAGTTTTCAACTTAGATTTCATGTCTGCAAGGCCTTCAACCTACCACCCTAAGTGTGAGTTAGTTGCTCTTGTAAGTTGCCTCCGTATCAAACTATCCCGTTTTTGTTCTATATTTTCATTGCCTTTATTCTGGTCTGGATTCCCTATCTGATAGACATAGTCCCTGCCATCTGACATACAGTATAGAGTTTTATTCATCATCACACCTGTTCAATTTACCAGAGTCTAGCATGTAGATATTCAATTAATATTTGTTGTGCTGTGGTTTTCATTCTTCCTGCTAACTTCTCACTGGACCTTTTGGTGTTAAAGAAAAAGAAAATTGGCCATGCCTGTAATCCTAGCACTTTGGGAGGCCAAGGTGGGTGGATCACAAGGTCAGGAGTTCGAGACCAGCCTGGTCAATATGGTGAAACCCCATCTCTACTAAAAATACAAAAATTAGCCAGGTGTGGTGGCAAGTGCCTGCTGTCCCAGCTACTCGGGAGGCTGAGGCAGAAGAATCGCTTGAACCCAGGAGGCAGAGGTTACATTGAGTCAACATTGCGCCACTGTACTCCAGCCTGGACGACAGAGTGAGACTCCATTTCAAAAAGAAAGAAAATCAAGATTTTGCTTCAATATAGTCAATTTTATTCATTCATGTAGAAGACATTTATTGTACAATTGTCCCATACAAATAATCTTGGCTCCATGAAACAAGAAATGCATCTTCCCTACAATTTTAATACAAGGCAGAAAGAAGATAAGTGATTTGAGAAAAGTAAGGAAACTTCTTGTAACAATCATCTACTCTGTGCCAGACACTAGGTTAAAGCCCAAAATGCATGTGTCTTTAAATCATTTCCACCAAACAATGGCCTGAATGCATCCTTAAAGTCTGAAAAGTAGGTATGCTCTTCTCACTGAAGAAAATTCCATTCTGCACCTTTCCCCAAAATGCAGAGGGTTCATTCAGAGTGAGATCATGTTGATCCATATTCTTTATGATCTTCACCAGGTACAGAATTCCTCAGAGGATGTGGGGGCTGTACTGGCAATTTAGCATGCTCTTTTAGGCTATGGAGACTTGATTAGGATCTTGAATCCACAAAACTGTCTGTGTCTTTGGTCATACCTTTCAATTCTCAAAAGATTTCTAGGCTCTCCTAAGCTAACATTAGGCTACTGGCATTGAAGCTGATGCTCTAACCACTGTCTCAAACTCTTTTTTTCCTATTTTTTGTCCATTTTTCCTCATCTCCTGCTGATCATTTTCAATTACATAAATATAGCACTTTCCGAAAATTGCCTGACTTGCTTCATCCTTCAGAATCATTCCTACTGTGAATCAATTCAATCCATATATATGTGCAACATTTGTATTTTTTTTTTACTATTTTCTATTTTTTATGATCTAATGTTTATTCCAGCATAAGTATATATCTTTTCTTACTACCATTTTCAATGATTTTGCTGACTTTGCCCTTAATGGACATGATGGGAGTTTGTTAATTAAATACCTCAGACATAAGCACAGACACAAGTAAGTGATAAACTATTACTAGTGTGTTCTTTAGCACCAGAATAACTTGGGTGCTTGTTAAAAATGTGAATCTACAAGCTGAATCTCTCTACCTCTCAGTAACTAAAAATCTGTAGAGTTTATATCTTCAGTTTTCAGAATAAGACATGAAGTAAAGTAGTTTTTTCTAGAGCTGGAGTTCAAATTCTGCTCTTTTTGACTCTCTCTTCTGTTTCAATTTTGTCTCCCCATCTGATTGGCAAAAGCATAGTTCTTTTACAGTTCAAAGATGACCCTCCAATTACATTCAATTTTCAAAGAAACATCAAATAAAGTTTAGGATAAATATGCCCCACATATCGCATGGGAAATACTTGTGCTAAAGCTACTCATTTTTTATCTGAAATTTAGAGTTAACTGTGTGTCAAACTTTCATTTGTTCAATCTGGCTAGCTTACTAAAAGGAGCTGTAAACATGTCTGAATGGGCACTATCAAAAATATTTTATAAAATAGACGACCTTTGTTGCCAACCTTGGAAGGATGGTTGGAATTGAAGCAGATATTGGAGGAGAGAGCCTCTCAGTGAGGGTGAAAAGTTGGAGCCAAAAATAAAAGTCTGCAAAAGTACATGGTCTACTTGAAAAAAATAAGTAGTCAGGTTTGACCAAAGAATAGGGTTCACCTAGATGAGAAGTGGGTAAACAGCATGAACTGTAGTGTGAGCAGAACGTGAAGTGTCTTGAGCAGTGAAAGAAGTCCACCCAGAGTGGATCCAGTCCATCCTGCAGAGTCATGAAAGGTGTCAGGGTGACTGTACTAGAACAGGGTTTGGGAAGTCATCCACAGGTAAAATGGTTCAAAGTAATCAAAGACTGGGGGTGTGGGTGGAGGGGACTGGTCCATGTGGATATCCACTGGGATGTCTCCTTTTGAAATTGAGATGAGAGAGGCACTAGACACAATCACTCAAATATGAGAATGGTTTGAGGAGGGAGTGAATGGAAACAGATTCAGAGATGACTCTTTGATCTTGAGCCATGTCCCTGGTGGTGTCATTACCAGAAAAGATAATTCAAGAGAAGAAAATATTTTGAAGAGGTAAGAATGAGTGATAATGATGAATCTGTAAATCAGATGACAAATGTGAGATGTGAGCACAAGATGCAGGTGGTTTTGCCCAGCGAGCAGGAAGGAAATATGGCATCAGATCTTCAGAGAGAAGATGAGGCAGGAGATGTTAATCTAAGACTGTTCAGGATCAAGGAAATCGTTGGCACTGTCTGTATGTGAGTGATTATCCAATTAGATGAGAACAGAGAGAGGAAAAAGGGCCAAGAACTGAACTTTAAAGCCTGCCTATTTAGAACTAGGAGAATGAAGGGTAGTTACTAAACAATCAGTAAAGAACAGGTCAAACTTCAAGAGAATCAAATTTAAGGGGCAGTTTTTTTCTAAGAGGAAGTTTGCTATTCTTGTCTATTGCTGCAGAGCAGTGGTAAAGAATAAGATGAAGAATGGTATAGTTGATGCAGTTGCAAACGACCTTCAAGAGAACAGTGGTTTAGGCACATACAGACTTTACAGTGTATGGAAACAATCACATGATGTAGCAGTAGGGAGGTAGTTAAATAAGTGATCATGCAACCTGAGTATGGGCTAGGCAAATGAAAAAGGAATGAAGCCGGCCAGGCGCAGTGGCTCACGCCTGTAATCCCAGCACTTTGGGAGGCCAAGGCTGGCAAATCACCTGAGGTCGGGAGTTTGAGACCAGCCTGACCAACATGGAGAAGCCCAGTCTCAACTAAAAATACAAAATTAGCCGAGTGTGGTGGCGCATGCCTGTAATTCCAGCTGCTCGGGAGGCTGAGGCAGGAGAATCACTTGAACCCAGGAGATGGAAGTTGCGGTGTGCCAAGATTGTGCTATTGCACTCTACCCTGGGCAACAAGAGCAAAACTCTGTCTCAAAAAAACAAACAAAAAAAAGAATGAAGTAGGCATATTATGTTCTGATAAGTGATTGATAAGATAGCGTACATTTTCTTAAAGGAAAGTATAGGAAAGGAAATATAATATAGAGCCTTTAGTGTAGAGAAAGGAAAAGAAAAACAAATGGAGGACAGTTACATATTTTTTTTTCTGAAAGGGCACACAAGGTACTATCAATAGTTACTACTTTTGGAGAGGTGGTAGTTGGAAGACAAGCTTGCTTTTTGCATAGTATATGTACCTGTTTATACTTCCTAGAACATTTTCTAATCTTATATATGTATTACTTCTATTTGTTCTTTTTTATGTTAACAGTACAGTGTTAACTGATTGGGGAGATTATGGAACAAGTATTAAGAAATATTTAATGTTAAAAAATGCTTGAAGTTCTTGTAGAAAAAGAGCTGAGAAATCAGTAGATGTTAAAAAGGCGGCATGTTTGAGAAGTTTGTGAGAGAGTAAGTTGAGGGAAGGATTTGGGGAGAGGTGATTAGAGAGACTAGACTGTGTTTGTAGGCAGGGGGCAAGGCCCAGCTGTGGAGGAAAAATTTGAAGATGCAAGACCAAAAGAGAATAATGAATGAGGCCAGGTCCTCATGGGGCAGCTCTTCAGGGAACAGAAAAAAAAAAGAAAAGAAAATTGGGTGAAGGAACAGAGGAATTTTGAGTTGCAGGGGAGTGAACTCACATAGGATGGTCTCCATATTTTCAACAAGAAAGAGGGCAGGTGAGGAGTAGGGGTCTTGAAGGAAAGGAACAAAGTTCAGAGCAGCTGTTGTGAGGAAAGCACAATTTGGCCATAGAATGTGAATATAATAATTACTGAGTTGCAAGGAAAGCCTGGGTGAGGTTGCATAGCATCAGTTTTTTGATGATGCCAGTGCTATAGTTAGTGACTTCCTCCAGCAGGGCAAGTTAACCCAGGTGCCGGTATGGAGAGAGCAGAGAGGAGACGCAAGGAAGAGACACCGTGTCATAAGCAGCTTGGGAGTGAAGACAGACATGTGTTCAAAGCCTGACTTTGCCATTTTCCAAGTTACTAACTTACTTGACAATGCGTCATCATCAGTAAAATAAGATATTAATATATAATACCTACCTCATAGATTTTCTTTATGAGGATGAGAATGTGATCATCTGTGTAGTTCTTAGAGAAAGAGAAGTCAGCATAAGGTTAGTGCTCAGTTACTGAGTTACTGTGGTTCCTGAGAGTAGTCACACAGTGTGATCAGGAAGACAGAGGTCAACAACTGGATAGAGAGTGACCAAAAGCATTGATTCTGGAGCCAGACTGCATGGGATTGAGTCCCAGTTGGACTACTTACCAATCATGAGGCTTTGAGAAAGGCAAGTAATTCTCTCACCTCAGTTTACACATCTCAGTGAAGATATTTTTAGAAGGTTGTTGGAAGATTAAAATGAGTTAATAAATGTAAAGTCCTAGAACAGTGCCTTCTAAGTGCTTTTTAAGATATAGCTACTATTGTCATTAATTACAACAGTAAAACAATAACTACAATAGCAAATTGAGATTTTCGAGGTTGGGAAATTGGAAAGGCAGAGATATTACGAGATTCTAAAGACTGCAAATATAATTGAAATTGCTTAGCATGGTTGGCCATGGCTAACTACTTAAAAGCTATTTTCTGATGCATCAAATTAAAGGAAAAAAAATGTTTGCTTCTTGATGACAACATATATAAACAACTTTAACAATAACTTCTGTTTCATCATATTTCAGCATGCAATTAAATATTTTGGCAGGGCACTTTGTATCAACACCACCTCCTGTGCTGAGGGTGCTTCCTGGGGCGCTTGTTACCTGGCCTTCTATGGGATTCCATCTCCATGGCTGGTTGCCTCGTTTTCTGTTTGTCTTACCCTTCTCAGGATGTGCTGTATTTACTGTATGGATTCCTTAGTAATTCACTTCCTCTTACATATATACCAGTTCAAGTATGTTTGTTTTTCTGAAATGGGAGCAATGGCATTCTGCAATATCCAATGGGAGATAAAACAGAATATCATATGTTTGGAAAGGTACTCGCTACGCTCCTATGTTAATTCTCAGTCACTTATCCAAATCCTGCAACATAGATTCTAATCTGGTATATAGTTAAGGTCATAACATGAGCATTGAGTTAAATTTCCATTAGTAAGTGGCTGGCATTAGTACATCTTTTAGAGGGGAGTTATGTAAAGAAAAGGAGGAAAACCAACTAAAAAGCCCTTCTACAGAGTCCTTTGGACACATTGATGACAATAAATGACTGGATATGATTATCATGCATAAAGCCATCCACCTTGTTAATACCCATTCCCTGAACTGTGAAGTTCAAAGGGTCTTTGAAAGGTCATTTAGTCCTTCTCCCCAGCTTTGGCCAAAAAACTAAAATAAAATAACTGGAGAGTACTGTAAAGTCGTGCTTTCTTTTAGAGACTTTCTGAAAGGAGATTTCACAATCTCCCCCAGAAATACAATTCAGGTTTTTAACAACCCTCATTGTAGAAAAGGTCATGGTAATATCTAACCAGAGTCCCAACTGCTATAATAAAAGGTCATGTCCTCTTTTGCAGTTCTTGTTAAAGATGGTGAAGAGGTGGTTACTAGCTTCATCATAAATGAATGGTCACTGAGCACCTACAAAGACGGTAGTCCTCTTCTCTCCTTATAACAACATTTTATGTATTCAAGATCACCAGGAAGTCACTTTAAGGCTCCCTTGTCTTCAGGCCAAATGAACCCACAAACATTTCCTCTCCAGGGTCCTAGTTTCCAGCTCTCGATTAATCTTTTCAGCCTTCTCTGCAGATGCTCTGTGTCCCTTCCAGCCATGAGCACATTCCTCAGTAGTTTCTGACTAATTTGGAATACAAGAGATTTCACAGTCAGTGCTCTGCATTGTTTGTGGGGTTTGGGGGCTTTTTTTTTTTTAACACCTGTAGAATGTAGACAGTAATTTTTTCTACCACCTGGTGAGTCCTCCCAAGCTTTGCCTGAAGCTTTTGTGACTCTGGGAGAGAGGAAAATAGGGATGAAGAAAACAGGAAAGACATTAGTAACATATTGATATGTAAAGCTTCGTTTATGAAACAGAAAAGGAAAAGTATCCTGTGCCCACAAAAAGACAGAATAGTCTGCTCAGTCAGGGCTTTTGTTCAAAATCACTTTGAGCAAACAAACCAGCCACACTGTACTTGAGAGACCGGATAGGTATAAACGTATGTGTAAATGTAAATGAAAAGAGAGTCCTGGCAGCAGGGGTTCTAAAATCAACCTAAGACTGTGGTTTCTTTGATATTTCTCTTCTCACAGTTGGAGGCCAGGCAGGCAATCAATAAATAGCTGTTCATGATGATTGGCAAGTTTCCCTGGGAAGTTATAGAGATATTGTAGCTTTTGAAGAGTTTAAGGCAGTTAGGGAAAACAAAGCAACTCACTGGCGTTTGAAAATTAACAATAAAAAACACAACCCAAAATGAGATCTAGGAAGTACAAGTGATACAAGTTGTTCAGAAGACCATAGGGCGGCAGCACTGGCTGGATTGTCCAGGACAGGATCACCTTCATGGGAGAGGAAGACTTTGCACTGGGTACCCTGACTGATGGGTAGATGGAGAGGGCTAGGGTCTAGATGCCTAGTGGAGTAGGGGTCGGGGGGTATATGTTACACTGACCACTACATACGGCCTTTTGTTAGCGAGTGTCCATCTAGCAGAGATATCAATTACAATTGCACTTGGGATGAATGACAATGCAATAAAGGGCTGAAAGGCTGAGCGCAGGAATGGTCATGGGAAAAGTTGCCAGTCCCCCGGAAGTGACTGCACCTTGCGGTCCTGTGGCTGGAGCAATTCTCCCAGGAATGAGGGGCGGAGGCTTCCAAGGTTCTTTAGGGAGTTGAGTGTGTTCTTGTGTGCGTGTGATGATTCTTCAGGGGCACTGCTTACATGCACATGTGCTTATACACACACACACACACACACACACACACACACACACACACACACACGACTTTCTCCCTTCTCTCATGAAGTCAGGGTAAAAAAATCTAGAACTAAACCTTGGGGCCAGTACTGAACACATGAAAGAGAATCACTTCAACTTTTGTAAACACACAGAAATCTTTACAAAGAAAGCCACTGTGTACTCTTGGAAAGAAAGATCAGAAAACAATGGGATGGAGGTGTGGGTGTGAAGAGGAAAAAGAATGAGGTGAAGTACAACCAGGTAGATCGAAGAGAGAAGGGTAAAAAAGAAAAGAAAGAAGAAAGAAGCACAGTGACCCAACTGTAGAAGAATGTGAGCTGTGGGTAAAGTCTGGTTCTATCTCCTGAAGTGTAAAATGTGGCTTTGAGGACTCGTGTATACCTCTGTGGCTGCACTTGAAGTACCCAGATCTCATCACTACCTTGTCCTTACCACCTTTAGACAAGAAATGACTGAGAATAGGAGCCACGTGTTAATTCATCCATGCATCCTCATTGCTGCCCCTCAATAAATGTTTGTTGAATTAGTGAAATTATTATAAGCTGAATTTTATAATTCCCAGGACAAATTGTTCTGTAAAATAATTCCCATTTTGCTTATCTCTCTATAGGCATCCCTTTCCTCTGCCGCTTAGCTTGTAGATCAAGCCATCCCAGTGTCAGGTTGAGCCTTAGGGAGCCAGTGCTCGCCATGCACTGGCTTTCTTTCCCTACCCTGTCCCTGAAGTTCCTCTACTCATTTTTAAAATTTTATAATTTAGTATTTTATTCCTTTAAGTCAAATGGATTCTACAGATGTTCCTGGGAGAGAAAACACACTGAGCCATATCAAACATTGATACTTTGGTCTGCAGGCATACATAGGGTTATTCCTAAAAGCAGGATCTATATCTGGAGGGAGAATGAGAATTCTGGTTACCTGGTAGGGAGGGAGTGAAACATAAAAGACAAAATGGCAATCCAGGGGAACAAAGACAACTTGTTCCTGCTGTTTGGTTTTGTCTTAGGATGTTCACTGCCACTGAATCCATTTCCAGCCCAGGCGTCTTGCCCTGGTCATCCTCCTGGCTTCTGGTCCTTCCTATTTTAGTACCTGGAAAACTGAGGATGTCTTTGTCTCTACTTTGTCAACTCAGCAACAAAGGAGCTGCATTCTGCACACTGCCAGGCTGTTTCTCTGTATGTGCTCATTTGCTGAGCAGGTGTGTTCTCCCCAGCTACACCTTTTAAGGTGAGAGTGTCATCAGTCAGCAGTGCCCAAGGAACTGGAGGAAAGGGAGGAAAAATGCTAGTTGGTTTTAATCCAAAGTTCCCTCACTGCTTCCCATACACTGGCATGATGCATCTGCTGTGTTCTGTGTCCTCTGTCTGCTCTGGGAATAATTATTCCCTCCAAGACACTTAATTGAGTAGAGGGAAGGTGGGAGCTTAAGAATGATAGCTGCCCTCCTTCTTACCACACATGACAGAGGCACACGTGGAAACTGAGGCTGACGTTTATCAACTCAGCCATGGTTATGAGTGGTTGGAGAAGTAGGCTCCATTCCTGTCTCTCTCACATTTGAATCATCATGAAGCTGGAATGGAAGTTTAAATCACACCCTGTTTCTCAGCGGGCACCATGCTATTATGGTTATTAAATGTATTTGATAAACCTCTGACCTTTCAGATGCTGTTTTTTTTTTTTTGATGGTTGTGTTCTCCCTTGAGAATTATTTTTATGTGTTTATTGCCCTATTAGTGAACCAGTTCTGCTTGATTTCCTCGTTCACTCTTTAATTTGGTAGCACCCTATTTTACAGTCCACTAACTGTTGAAAATAAATTCACTTTCCTTGTGTGGTTAGTATTACTCATTTGATAACATAAGTACCATATTAGGGTGCGGTGAATGCATAGTAAGTGCTGCACAATTACAAGGTAAATATATGATGGCTTTATTTTATCCTCTAAGCCCAACACAGGGGTGACAGAGTAATTACTGTTGGACCCATTAAGTGTACTTACCACATAATCTGTAGGAAGATTAACTATGTAGTTAGCACTTGCCATCCTCCATTTTCACACACCTTCTAAGATTACACCTCTTTGAGACTTATATTATCTCAGATAAATCTCGTGTGCTGTATTGCAGGAGCCATCATGGATCTGCTACAGGAATAACCACATCCAACGCACCTCTAGAAAAAAGGGTGAAAAGCAGCTATAGCACATCTTGCGGGGTGGGGAGGCACCCACATTCTAAATTCAAACTAACGCTTTTATTTTTGCTTTGCCCATGCATTCAATAGGATGGAGTAGGAGAGGTATGGGAGAAACAGCATGTGCCGTCCTAGCAACCCGTCCTCTTCCACAATAAATTATTAGAGTCTAGCATTTAATTGGTGTCAGAAAACATCTGCCATGGACTTAACAGCACCTGGGACCAAGACCTTCATATCCCACAATAAAATTCTCTCATAATGACTGTATGCCCTAAACTGATGTTGTCAGTGTACTTTTAATCTGAATGATTTGTACCAAAGCTAAAATTCATATTTGTGAACTCTGGTCTTTCTCTCAACTAATAGACTTTGTGTTATCTCCTTGCCCTAGACTGCTCTCTGCAAAGGCATGTGCCCCAGGTTTCACATAAGCAGAGCAGATCACCCATATTTTATCACTGTGTGTGGGTCTGCCCTCGCTCTGGTAAAAGTGTAAAAAGTGTTTTGCAGGTAAACATGACATCCTAAACTAAGGAGTTGTCTGCTCTTACTAGAAAAAAACATTATTTTCTTTGCAAAATTGATTATATTCAAGAGTCTATTACATGCTAAGCTACCTTAATGCAGTTAAGATATTTGCCTAGCATCCCTTTGATTTATACAAGGCATTTTAGAAACACGATTACTGTGTGAAAGTGAGTACAACTTGTGTTCACTGTACATCTGTCATTGTCTCTGAGCAGTAGCTCCAAAAATCCAATAGCATTTCCTTTTGTATTCCCGAGTGGTTCTTTGACTTTGTGCCCATGCTGGTCACTTACAATTTCTCTTGTGTCTTTCAGGCATTGAGAATGCCAGCGACATTGCTTTGTACTCGGGCTTGGGTGCTGCCGTCGTGGCCGTTGCAGTCCTGGTCATTGGTGTCACCCTTTACAGACGGAGCCAGAGTGACTATGGCGTGGACGTCATTGACTCTTCTGCATTGACAGGTGGCTTCCAGACCTTCAACTTCAAAACAGTCCGTCAAGGTCAGCGGCATAGGTCCCTCCACACCTCGTCCTCAGTGCCATAGACTACGCTCACACTAGACCCCAGCCTTCTCCTGGGCCCTGTGTGAAGGTAGCTCTTGGCACTGGGAGCCGCTACCAAATTGTCTTCACACATGAACAGACCGGGCTGGGTGAAGTGGTCTGCTTAGGTCCTTGTCTGCCACAGGGACAAGAGGATCTCGGTTTATTATCAGCAACATTTTCAATGAGGCATTTCCATTTTTGATGTAGGGTCAGCCTAATGAGTTATTTTATTTCAAATTATCCTTCTTTTTAAAAAAGTCCTTTTGAGGATGTATATTTAATTTAGTTAACCAAAGTATTGGTCATTCAAGACTGAGGACTAACACCTATATTACAGCCTCCCAGGTATATTTATTACCCTATTTATGAAGTGGAGTAATTTTGTTATTTCTATTTTAAATAAGTAAACAGATTTTAGAGAATAGATGATGGGTCAGCTAGCCAGGGGAAAAAAAATGAAATTCCAGCCGAAACGACTCTCAGCTGTTGCCAAGTCCAAGCAATCTTTAGTTGTGGGGGAAGGAAAATCTATCATGTCAAACTGTATCATGTCATTTTCAAAACAGAGTCATTTAATTCTGTTATAGGAACCAAATCTATTCCTTATTGCAAGGTGGGGATGAAACATACACAGCTTTCATTTTAGAAAAAAATGAAACCGTCTCTTTTCAGAGGATGAAGTTTTCTACCTTGACCCTCATCGTCAATATCGTCACCTTCATTTCTGTTTATTGTGCATCAGTGGTGCCTACAGCGCGGAACCAGAAGTCTCAGTGCAAGGCAGTGATTGAGTAGACAGGCTTCCGAAGTGGAAACACAGGCATGCTGGAAAAAATTGAGAGATGGCCAGAGAGATGAGTACCTTCCCTCTTGCCATTCACTTCTGGGCACCTCAGAGTTAGGCCTCAAAAGAGACACATCCCCTACATTTGGACATATAGTTTAGTATATGTAGTTAATTGGAAATAAATCCAAATATAGAACTGATTTTTTAAGTGGTGTTACTCAAGCTGGAGTGCAGTGGTGCAATCATAGCTCACGGAAGCCTCCCACCCATGGGCTTAAGTGATCCTCCCACCTCAGCAGCTGGGACTACAGGCACATGCCACCACACCAAGCTAAGTTTTTGTTTTATTTTTATTTTTTATAGAGACAGGGTCTCACTATGTTGCTCAGGTTGGTCTCGAACTCCTGGCCTCAATGATCCTCCCACCTCAGCCTCTGAAAGTGCTGGGATTATAGGAATGAGCTACTGGGTCTGGTCAAGAACTGATTTTTATGCTACCTAAAAAACTAGAAACATATTTTCATCAAATAATAAAATATCAATATCTTAGACCATAACACTTGAAAACAGATGAGCTGTATTAGTGTGAGAGACAGTTTTGTGCATAAGTCCGTAGGCTTTGAAGTTAGATTTTAGTCTAAAACTGCTATCAATTAGTCTGTTATCCTCTTGAGTCTCAAGTTTTACAGCTATAAAATGGGGTTAGTAACATTCAACTCAAAGTGTTCTGAGGATGAAATCACCTGGAATAACATGGGTAAGCCCTTGGCATATGGAAAGCGCTCACAAATGCAGCGAATAGAGTTCTAGACGCTGGTTGCTTCCTCTTACCCTAGTACAGGATGCCAGCGTGTTCCGTGGAGCACCAGGCAGCAGGTGAGAAGGGTGGATCCCTGGCCTACACCTGTCTGGGGAGTGCTGACTTGCCTACACTTAAACTCAACTTATGTGTATTGTAAATCTCTAAGACAATATTAGTCTTACCAAACTTACCTGACCATTTTGTTTTATTTTTATTTTTAGCCAAGAATATCATGGAACTAATGATACAAGAAAAATCCTTTGGTAAATGCCACTCTCCCTGCATTTATTATGGTAATCTGCCTCATGCTGATATCATGTGGTTTTCACCTCCACTGTCTTAGAGAGATCCGTTTTTGAGCAATACATCCAGTGCCCCGGCAAGGTGAACACTGAGCCTTTTAAATAGAATGCCATACACAGAACAGACTAGGGACTTGAAAAAGGATTTCCAAAGAGAAGACTGGGGTGACCAGCGGTGGGTGACTGTCGCTGGTCAGACTTCAGTCAAGCTGGCAGCCAATTTTCTCTGACCGTGGATGCTATCATATGTACATATGTCCAGAATCAGGCATTTCCCGCTCAAGTGCTGTCTCACTCTAGGAAATATTTTTGCTTCCTTGTGTCACTTAGACTAGGCAGATCTTCTAAGCGTAGCCAAAAATTAAACTTCAGAGGCTAGGGCTTGAGATAAAAGAGCCAGGTGACTGAGGCATGTGGCTTTTGAGGTCTCCGCAGAACCTCCTGTTCTAAACTCTTTTCTAATCTAAGATGGGTTTTGGTCCTGCTTCTTTCCTGGGAAGACCATAAACAGGAGCAAAGTGGTCACCTGAAGAACTCAGTGCAGACCTGCTAGAAAGCGCAGCTCCCTGATGGTACCTGGGTCTTGATACAACACACTCATGCATGGAAAAAAAATAATAATAATCAAAGATCCTTTAGCTCTATAGCATTATTTATTTCATCCAATTTGTATATTTTCCTCTGTGATTCTGGATTCTTAGAGCATCACAACAAGAGATGGGAAAAGTCAGGGTGATAGATTTCCTACTGGCGTTGCTGCAAATTATGAAAATGGAAAAACAATAGAGGCTAATACAATATGGCCAAGAATTGCAACATTTTCAGAAAGATCATACTTTAAACATTTTTGTCAGGCCCCAAAGGAAAATTGTTTAATATGGTTTGGGTTTCAATTTGAGATGTCATATTGACGGACTGATATGGGTGTGAAGCTTGGGACTGAGAGTTATTTTGTTATTTACTAATAAATGAGATTACTTCATCACAAGAAAATATCACAGCATTTCTTTTTAATATTTGGCTTGGAAAAAAATGGCGAGCCCCAGCAGATGACAAAGCCCAATTTCTCATGTTTTTGCAAAGATATTATATATACTTTTTCCCTTTGAGACAGAAAGGAAACCATTCTAAGCTGCTCCCTATGTAGAATCTAAGCTTCTCACTGTCTCTGGGTGGTGCATTTTTTCCCTCGCAGAGTGACATATGAGTTATTAGAGCAAATTGGCTACTCAGATGTGGTGAGATTCATGAGGTGCCCTGACCCTTTTGCTCTGAGGACACATCATTTCCTCCCCAGCTCCAGAATCTGCACAGAATTCCGTATGAAATGCACTGGAACCGATGTAGCTTCTGTTATAAACAGCACTACCTAGTCACCACGCTTTGTCATCTCTTGCCATTTAAAATGAACAGATGTTATTTTTGCTCAAAACTTGACTGCAAAACATCTCTCCCCCCTCTTTTTTTGTTATTTTAGCTTCTGTTTGCCAGTTGAAATAATCACATAAACAATAATACCTGAGTTCGTTGCCAGAGAGAGTGCCAGAAATACTTGTTTTGAAAAGATAGCACGGAAAGATCTCTGGAAAGTGAAAGATTTGGGTCAGTGGCATTTAGAGAATGGACGGTGGAAGCCAGGGCTCTTGATTCAAAAGTTCTAGTCACTAGCACCCAACCTGGCAGGGTGGTCCTGAAGAGCTAGCTTGGATTGGAACTGCTGGCACCTATGCAGGCTGTTGCGCAGTTTGCAGAGGCAGAAGTACAGGAGTAACTGAGATGCCTTTTAGTTTCTGAGTGACAGATCAATTTTCTTTTACCAGGTAACTCCCTGCTCCTGAATTCTGCCATGCAGCCAGATCTGACAGTGAGCCGGACATACAGCGGACCCATCTGTCTGCAGGACCCTCTGGACAAGGAGCTCATGACAGAGTCCTCACTCTTTAACCCTTTGTCGGACATCAAAGTGAAAGTCCAGAGCTCGTTCATGGTTTCCCTGGGAGTGTCTGAGAGAGCTGAGTACCACGGCAAGAATCATTCCAGGACTTTTCCCCATGGAAACAACCACAGCTTTAGTACAATGCATCCCAGAAATAAAATGCCCTACATCCAAAATCTGTCATCACTCCCCACAAGGACAGAACTGAGGACAACTGGTGTCTTTGGCCATTTAGGGGGGCGCTTAGTAATGCCAAATACAGGTGGGTGGTAAGTGTGTGTTTGTGTATTTTCCATCATTTAAATGTTTCATTTTTACACAGTTACTTCCCATCAGATTCATTTTATGATGTTTACTCTCCCCTCATCAGACCTGCAAACACTGCGGCTCCACTAGTCCACTTGATTTACACAGCAAACCAGAACCAATGCTGAGATTAGATTTTGCAGTCTTCATCTCAGCATGGATTGAATGCTCCCTTTGATTCCCTGTTAGAGCTGATAACTATATTTGCCTGAAAGGTTTGGGTAGTCCCCAGGCTTTAAGCCCCTTTGGAGTATATTTCCTAGGCATGATAAGAAAGCACTGAAAAAATTCTCTGGCATGACAGACCAGGGCCCCATGTTTATACCTAAGCATGGTTTATGTACTAGTTTGATAATTTAGATAATTTAGTGAAATGACATCTCATCAGTAACTGACCTAATGAACACTCCATAGCCCTTGCTATAGTGTTACTTTCTGGTGAGCAACGATGAGGGGTTGTTGTAGAGTTGCTCTTTTGAATTTAAACTTCAGTTCCAGGGCTATGTCAGTATAATGAATTCTCACATATTTTGTTCCTCCTTTTAGCTGGAAGAGAGGAGATTTTCATGATGTTTTGACATGATACTTAAAGTATCCAGCCCAGATCACTTTTAAAATGATATCCTTTCTATGGATTAGTTTTCAAAGTTGCTGCCTAAGACCTAAGTGGATGGTAGACAAGGTCAATTTCTGCTCGGATTTCTAAGCAATGAGAATTAGGTAGTGCACTGAAGCAGGTAGTGATCTGTTGGCTGCTAAGAGGGAAGAGTATCTGTTGGATCTGTAAGTGTTTATCAAACAACAGGTCAGCATTGAGTCAGGGACATTATAGTCTAGACAGATGTCTCTCTAGGGTGGAGCTAACCAACCTCTCAAATCGAGCATTTCATTCCATAAATAAAATCTGTAATAGGACTAGTCTGATTCTACCATTCTAGCTAACTGACCCCTCTAGTAGCTTAGAGACTGGAGACTGAAATTCATTTCTAGTTGATGAATGTTGTCTTGTTCTCCCCTAGAGCAATTACTTCCTTAAAATCTTCATTTCAAAACATATTTTACTTCATCAAAATAGCCCTCAATGGCAGCCGTAATTGAATGGTTTTGTTTTTTAAATTTCTAATTCTCTAAATCTTCATTGGTCAATGTTTTAGGACATGGTAAGGATCTTTGTTCAAATGTGTATGCGTGTCAATGTGTGAATGCCTACGCATGATTTAATTCTTCCAGTTGATAATTGGAAGATAATGAGTCAATCAGACATATTTACCAATTAACTTTTCTGTAAGAATTCATAAACTAGACATGTGAGTCCTGAGGAAAGAAAAAGAATACAACCCTTGCCCTAAAGAACACGACGTGTCAGAATTATATAAAATTTGGCAGGGTGTAGTGGCACACACCTGTAGTCCCAGCTACTCAGGAGGCTGAGGTGGGGAAATCGCTTGAGTCTAGGAATTCGAGACCAGCGAGGGCAACATAGCAAGTTGCTGTCTCTAAAAAAAAAAAAAAAAAAAAAAAAATATATATATATATATGCCATAAAAACAAAAATACAGAATCATATAAAGCCATGCATTAAGTTATGCAATTATCTTATCTCTTTCTTGCTCATGCTTGGCACTTAGAAGGCTCTCAGTTATTAGTTGATAAACTGCCCATTACTCCTTCTCTCTCTTTGCATCCTCCTTTCTTAGTGTATGTATGTGTGTGTGTGTGCACATCTGTTTACACATATGTAGAGGGAGAGCCATGACCAACCCGTTCATTGGCTGTGTTTGTCGTTCATCAAAGAAAGCGAGATGAAATCATGATGAACCAGAGATTTACCTTCACCTCTGACTTGAGCAGCACTAACGTTGAAAACTAAAAGTTCTGACAGCATTGTCAGTGATTCCCAAACAGTTTCTCCTTGAAATGGGGCATTTTCAAAGCTCCTGACAAGGAGTGTTGGACAAGATTGAAGCTGTTCACTGGGAATAAGTTTGATGTAAAATAACTGTGGAGAAGTAAAACATATGCTCTGTTATTTGCAGGAAATAAATGCAAAATATGCCCTAGGGAGCTAAAGTATAAAGAAAGCAAGGCACTGAAATTAGATTGCTCTAATGCCATCCATCCTAAATTATTGTATGGTGCCTAGCAATGATTTCTCCAAAAGGTTAGGGTGGTCTCCACACTCTAGAAATTATTTATTATTCCAAATATAAAACAGGAAGCTCAGACTGGTGCTTCTGTGGTCATATCAAATAAAAGGCTGTCAGGGTAGCAGGTGGAGTATGGGGTATTATATTTTTCTTTAATCAGAGGTAACTGGCCAATGACATATTGAAGTGAATTCTACTTTAGAGGATCACAGGCATAAAGCTGTCCCACAGTATCTCTCATTCTTCACTATCTGTAACTTGCCACTCCCCATGTGCCTTTGTGTATGACTATTTCAGACTCCACGTAGTATTTGCATGTTTGGGCAGGAGGAGTGGGGGAAGTATGTTTGAAAGATAACACCATTTCTGATTGAAGAGAGAAAAATCATTTAAAGCTCCAGTGATCCCATAGATTCAGGTTGAATTCAGGAGTATTCTGAATAATGTTTCAATCTAAACACAGATAATTAAGCCAACTTGAAAGGAATAAGGTGTGATCTGCGCAGACAGCTCTTTCTCAATTGTCCTCACACATCTTTCTTCTGTTTTGCTATGAGAGTTGGCCATCAGGCTATGATGATCTACAGAAGCTAACATGTCTCGGACCCTGTCTTTTTTACTAAGAATTTTGAATCCTATTTCGTTTATATCTTCATGATGTGTTTATTGGCTTCCTGCTACACGAGTGGCATTGTGATAAGTGTAATTGATTTAATATTATTATTGTTGCTTGATGATAGTTTCCTGTACTTCTAAGTCTGAAAAATACAGACTGCATGTCTCTGTCATCGTAATGACCTAGACAGCCTGAAAGAGCGGCAGCAGAGAGGAAGTTTTAGGTCAAACTAAGAGAAGACAGAATGTCGAGGGCATGTATTTAGGTTGACTTCCGAGCACACTGGATGTCCTGTGTCTTGCAACTTGTGTTTAGCAGCAGGGAGGTTTATAATGGAGGCCCCTTCATTTGGCAACTACATTTAAGGAAGAATAGACAAGGGAGGGAAGAGTTGGACTGGAGGTCTCTAAGTGTGGCAATTATAGTTCTACTATTGACATTAAGGTTCAGAATATAAATGGACCTCCATAAGGCCAAGCTGTAACCAAGATTTAAACGTGCCTTATTCTTAGTGCTGGTGAAAGATACTGATAACTAGCATATTACTGAATAATGCTTACAAATGTGAATCATAAATGACTTGTTTTGCAATAAGGTTTACGTTTTTTGGTTTTGTTGCTGCTAACAGGCACATAGAAGGAGATCAGGAAAGACTGCCATCTCTAGATTTAAATTATCATCAGCAACCTGAAACTCTTCTGAGCGATTTACATTAGCTCTAATGAAAGGAAAAGAAGTTGAGAGCTGCCTTACTCAAAGAATAGGAGGTTGCCTTGAGATTTTATTTTGTAAGGATCTTACTGTTTCTCTATTTCATTTCTTTTTATAAACAAGAAGCTACATTAAAGAGAATCCCTGCCCTCCTTAGACTCTTCTTTCTTGGCCAAGGTGCAGTATTTTCTTCACAGCGTTTTAGAGGAAGGAGAGGACATTTAAGATGCAGTGAGATGTGGCTTCCTGTGCCTTCCCTTCCTGCATTGTATGATTTTATGGAAGTAAGGCTGCTAGTTTTTCCAATCTGACATTGACATGACTCTAGTTAAGTAACCTTTCGCCTTAACCCTTTCTAGGTTCTGTTTGCTAGAAAGGGTCATGGTTGTGCAATAATCTATAAGGCTCCTAAGTACATCAGATGCTTTCACTTTCTTGACAAAATGCGACACCCCACTGAGTACCACCTTCAACTTGCTTCCAGATGCACTACTGGTAAGACAGCTTCATCCTGGGTTCTAGCACAGTATTAGATCACTCACTCACCCATCATTTCATGTAGGTTTTCAGGAAATAAACAGATAGTGATGAGATATACATTTTTTTAAATTTTGGAGCAGATTAAGTGATGTATGGATAAACTCTTGCATTCTCAGATATGTTTAATACTGCCTGGTCTTAGAACACTCAATCTTTTAAAAGAATTAATGCTGGGATGACTTAAAATAAAAAAAAAAAACTAATTTGAGTACTCAGTTGAATAATATGCCCTTCCTTATGTCACTGTTATAAAACAATGTTTTTCCTGTTATAATCTTGAACCTTAAACTTTCCAAGGATTGAGATTTCATAAATTGCCATGAGAAAGTAGCTTGTTTTCCAGGTATCTGTAAGGTGCTCGAGTGACAAACTTCATGATAATTGGAAAAATCTATGAATAACCTGTTGGCTTTTTCTGTTTTAGGGGTGAGCTTACTCATACCACACGGTGCCATCCCAGAGGAGAATTCTTGGGAGATTTATATGTCCATCAACCAAGGTGAACCCAGGTGAGAGACAGAGAATAGCATATTAAAGAAAGTGGCTCACGCCTGTAATCCCAGTACTTTGGGAGGCTGAGGCAGGCAGATCACTTGAGGTCAGGAGTTCGAGACCAGCCTGGCCAACATGGCGAAAGCCTGTCTCTACTAAAAATACAAAAAAATTAGCCAGGCATGGTGATGCATGCCTGTAATCCCAGCTACTCAGGAGGCTGAGGCTGGAGAATCGCTTGAACCTGGAAGGCAGAGGATGCAGTGAGCCAAGATCGTGCCACTGCACTTCAGTCTGGGCAACAGTGAGACTCTGTCTCCAAAAAAAAAAAAAAAAAAAAAAAAAAAAAAGGGCATTTTAAATATGGACTGGAACTTCTGTAGAAAATCTGAAACTATTAAGAGAATGAGACTTAGAGGTGTATAGATAGATGAGATCATGAACTCCTTGACTCTAGAAAGGAAAAAAACAATTGCAAAACTACTGGCTGAAATGAAACCATACATGACTCCACAGTTTTATGGTCACCAGTCTCTACACAAGAGACACCAAATGGAAAACAGTGAATCGTTAGGTCAGAAGCAGTGCCACTCCATAAACGCTGACTGTCTCAGAGTCTTCCTCTCCAAAGAAAATATCCCCGGAGGCACTCACTGGTGCTAAGCCTTAGGCAAATACATACGATGATTGATTCGTGATCCTTTTACGGTAGGCAGAAGACCTACTCTATACTGCCCGAGAGACAATTTCTTAGGCAATTTTAGGCAATGTGAAAATATGACCTGAAACATCAACTGCTTTCAGGCCTGACAAATTTCAGCAGCATTAAATTCAATTACAGGAACAAATACAAATCTTGTCACATTCCCTTTTAATGAAAATAGTTGGTTATTTTCTTAGTGCAAGTATAATATTTTTGGAAATGTTGTCTTCCTCCACACAAGATAAACCTGACTCCTCTTCAGAAAGCAATTTCTCTCATAAACTGGATATATACCTCTAGCATTTTTAGTTATAACATCTTGCTTATTTTAGAATAGATTATTTTTGTTGTTGTTAGCAAAGAACACATGAAAGAAAAACACTGGGAGGAAAAACAGCCAGAGAAACAGATGGTTTAAACAGATTTTGATAGCTATTTCTATAAAAGGATTTGTTGGTACTCAATGGTTTTAACTTTCTGCTGTACAGGGCTCGAGAGGCATGGAAGAAAAGGTTCTGCCATTTGGTTGTGAGGCTGGCTCTTAGGGGATTTGTGTGCAGGTTGTGCTATGTTGGGATCTCATGTTATTTCCCCAGTTGTTTAAAGCTAGATTCTTTACTTGTATATCTGAAAAAGTGCTGGTGTCTAAATATCTCCACTTGGCAACTGGGGGGAAAAAGAGGCTCAGAAGGTTTGAAGAGTTTACTCAAAATCTTAGGTTAGTCACTTAAGCAGACCTAAAAATGGAGTTCCCTGGATGGAAGTCACCCCTTTTTTACCCATTAGGTTGATTTACTTAAGAAACCATACCTATCTGAATTTGTGGTTATGGCCCATTATACATATGCTTTAAAACATATCATGCTGCAAAAATCAAGTATGAGGTATAATCCAGTCCACTTTCCCTGAATCACAGCTTCCTACACACTCCTAGCTCTGCATCCCCCTCCCTTGGTTGTAATTGATCCAGTAAGCCTGTGTTGAGCTCATTCCTCTCAAATCCATCCCCAGCTCATCACATGAGAACCAACTTAGGGCAATTTCGCATTTTCCAAGGCACCTCATTTACAACTTACCTGCAATTTTAAAGTAAGAGAGAGGAACACCTAGAACTCACAAGAGCCCAAAGACCTCAAAAAACAGCTTGGCCTCCTGTGGTCACCCCTTGAATGCTTTGTAAGCTCTATGGTAACCAATTTGGTTTATCCTTCTGTGTCTACTGCTGTCTAGGAAGGTGGACAGAAACAGAAGAACCTTCTCTAACACTTTAGATCTGTGAGGTATGAATTTTTCTCTCTACTAAACTGTGAAAAAAAAAAATTACAGGAAGCCGCACATTCCTTTTCAGGTAGCTGAAACCTTCCCAGATGTTATCTCTAAGGAAATGACCTGTCACTGGGCTAAAGGCCATTTACCTTCCTTGACAAGCCTCACTCCCTTTTGATAGCTCACGACTACTTAGAAAAACACTGAAAATAGCAAATACCTTTCTACTACTTCATTTTAAGCTGGGGTGAATTGTTTCATCTCTGCAAGGAGGCTCCTTGGGTCTGGTTCTTCAGCTTTTAATCTTGTGATCAGGAAAAGGCCAGTGTGTCACCTTTTCTTTGTAATATCACTTGAAAACCCATTTTCACTTTGGGCTGTACGTCTGCCATCCTGAACTTGTGCTGAGAAGAAGGCCCGTTTTCCTCGAAGTTCATGGAGCTGGAATGCACTGTTCAGTTCCTGTCATCTTTACCTCTAGAGCCACCACGGTTCCCTCTGTCTTAGTTCATCATGAGAACTGGATTTATGGACTCTCCATCACCTCCACACACACAGAGCACAGTAGGATCTTCCAAACCACATCTTTATGCTGTCTTGAAATTAAAGTCTGCTCCATTTCTCCTATTGACTATACATTTATGTTGCCCATGTCTGAGTTACAGCCCCAATATATCAGGGTAGTGATGTAATGGAAGTGGAACTGGTATGTTAAATCAGGGCCTTTAATCCATTCTAAGGATTGGGTTAAAGAGGGGTACAGGGGTGAGGATGGCTTCCTGGAGATGTCACTGAACTGAGTCTTAAAAGATGAATAGGAATTAGCCAGACAAAGAAAGGAGTAAGGTCTATAGCTCAATGATTTGCATCCTCCACAATGCATTTTCCTGTAGTTTTCTATAGAGGTTTGAGGGGTAGAGGGGTCTAAACCCAGTGATTTTTTTTTTTCCTCCTTTAAAGTCACCCTGATGCCAGAACATTGCATTCAACAGTGTCCTTCCAACTGTAGCCCAGGCCTTGCCACAGGCAAAGAGTTGGTTTAATGCATTATCCCATTTATAACATAGAAGATATTTAGTGATGCTGTAAGAACAGGTACTGGAGTGGCCTGACACAAAGGCCATGGCATGAAATTGGAGCTGTCAGAATTAGTCTGCTGGTGAGATCTCAGCCCTGGGGCTCCTCCTGGATCAAGGGTATGTAAGCCATCCATGCTAGATGTGGCCTCCTCCCCTCCACAGTGCTTTACTCCCTCTGCAGGGGAGGAAACCAGCAGTAATCACTGTCAAAAAAAAAAAAAAAAAAAAAAAAAAAGCCTGTCTCATTTCCCAAACTTTAATTTGAAAGACTTGGGGTATTTCTTTCTTTCTTTATTTCTTGAGACAGAGTTTTGCTCTTGTTGCCCAGGCTGGAGTGCAATGGCGTGATCTCGACTCACTGCAACCTCCGCCTTCTGGGTTCAAGCGATTCTCCTGCCTCAGCCTACCTAGTAGCTGGGATTGCAGGCATGTGCCACCATGCCTGGCTAATTTTGTATTTTTAGTAGAGATGGGGTTTCTCTATGTTGGTCAGGCTGGTCTTGAACTCCCGACCTCAGGTGATACGCCCACCTCGGCATCCCCAAGTGCTGGGATTATAGGTGTGAGCCACCACGCCCAGCTGGGGTATTTCTTTTTTTACATTTTATTGGGAATGTTTTTGAGGGAGGGGAAATTTTATTCTACACACTTTAAATTTTTTTTTTTTTTTTTTGAGACGGAGTCTCGCTCTGTTGCTCAGGTTGGAGTGCAATGGCGCCATCTTGGCTCACTGCAACCTCTGCCTCCCAGGTTCAAGTGATTCTCTCTGCCTCAGCCTCCCGAGTAGCTGGGATTACAGGCACCCGCCATCACACCTAGCTAATCTTTGTATTTTTAGTAGAGACAGGGCATATTGGCCAGGCTGGTCTCAAACTCCTGACCTCGGGTTATCCACCCGCCTCGGCCTCCCAAAGTGCTGGGATTACAGGCATAAACCACCACGTGCCCAGCCTTTAGATCATTTTAATAAAATTAAAGTATTCAAACAGGATTAAAAAATCAACAATGTCATTTCAGAGATTCTTTTCACTGACATTACAATAAGAGAATGATACAGATGTAGCAGGAAGTTCCCACTACTCCTCTCCTCTCCCAGCTCTCCTTTTGCACCCCGCCCCCGACCCCATGGTTGGAGAGGAGAGAACTGGACCAGAAAATTATTATATGGGGCTTTCTTCTGAAAAGCAATAAAATGAAACCAAAGACAAACATTCATTTCTTTTTCCAATTACACTGTCATGTGGATACTCCTGACCAAATGCTTAGACTAAAATTGGAAATGTTGTAAGTCATCTTATTGAAGAATTTACAAAAGAACACATATTTTTAAATTTGGGCTCAGCCCAGATGGGACATTTCAACCACTTCTGTTAGATGGTATGGTCTGCCCAGTAAGTACATTTTGGGGTAAGGATTGAGAAGGTAGAGGTGGTGGTAATAGAAAACATTATCTTTTTTAGGGTGCTTAGATGGTACCATGGCTTTAATAGCAAGGCATGAAATAAGAGCAAATACAAGGCTAGAAAGGCAAAAAGAATCTAGCTCTGGAAAATAGAGAAGAAAGGATAGAATTTCATTCCCAGTAATGGGGCTCACAAACACTGCAGTATAAGCCATTACTGTGGAGATTACTGTGGTTTTTCTTCCCCAGTAGCAAAAACCATACACACAAAAACAAAATCATACACACGCCTCCTCATATATCATGCAGACCTAAGCACTCAGAAATGTCCTTGGACTATTTGAGAGGACCTCATCTCCAAAAGAGTAAAAAGAAAGCAGGTATATATCTTTTATCAATGAGATTAAAAGATGGGCCAGCTGGTCATTCTCTTAATAAGAATGGAGTTTTTATGATATGAATCTGTTTGTAGTGAACTATTCTTTATGTTATAGTAGACATTTGTGGCTATTCTAAACTGCTCATCTCAGTAAAATATGAAACTGTATATGCTTTTCCTGGCACCTTTGAGGGCCTTGATTTTTCAGAAGGTAACACACCCCCTCCTTCTGCCAAGCCCAGGAGTTTGAGACCAGCCTGGGCAACAATTGAGACCTTGTCTGTATAGAAAATAAAAATAAAATAAAACAAAATTAATAGGGCATGGGGGTAAATGCCTGTAGTCACAGCTACTCAGGAGGCTGGGGTGGGAGGATGGCTTGAGCATGGGAGGTCGAGGCTGCTGTAAGCCAAGATTGCACCACTTCACTCCAGCCTGGGCTATACAGCGAGACCCTGTCTCAAACAACAATAAAAGAAAAAGGAGTCTTAAAAACCAAATTACACTCTTTTAATAACTAGATGTTACTGAACAGTTATATAAGAAAAATGAAATGTCTTCAAGGGACCCTGCTACTATGGATGGTTTCAACAAGCATAATTGTTAACAATTACTAGGAAAACCAAAACCATAGTTGATATATTTCATACCATAATAGGTTAAGCCCCATAAGCAAATCCAGTTCTTTAAATGAATGATCATATTGCAGTGTGGTATATACGGTGACCACAGTGAAAGGATGAACCCCGTTTAAAGGCTCAGGGAAAGTTTCAGAGAAATAACAGTTGTCTTATAAACTAAAAGAGTAAAAGGGGTTTCTCTCCAAGGGAGTGGTGTGTTCAAAGGCACAGAGGTATAAATAGCATCACATATTTTGGAAGCTAAGCAAAGCAGAGCGAAATATGAAAGGAAGAGTGACAGGGAATGAGGCTGAAGAAATAAGGACTAGATCGTGTAGCGATGTTTGCCACCCAGAGAATATCCAGTTTATCTGGTGGGTAGGGGTGAGTGAGGCTTAAGTTTTGGGAGACCTAGTCATGCTTATATTTTAGATAGATTCTGTTTCATCTCCACCAATATTGCCCAAGTTCAAATCTTCACTAGATAAGCACCCTCCTTGAGAGCACAGTGAAACTATGTTTTATTTTCCTTGGCACAATTATTAATAGTGTTTCTTTTCCTCCTCAAAAGCATCTCAATTTGGGCAATAATTTATAGTTACTCTACTTTTGAGTGCCCTCGTCTCTAGATTTTAATGTTTCTAAATCCATTCTCTAATCCCCACATTGCTGTCAGCGGGGAGTTTTGAGATAGACTTGGGGAGAAACTTGGCAAGATCTGCTCTGTGTGTGTGTGTGTGTGTGTGTGTGTGTGTGTGTGTGTGTGTGTGTGTTAATGTGTGATGAAGGAATTGAAGATAATTCCCAGAATTCTGGCTCAGAAACTGATGATTAATTAGGAGAGAGAGATTTGCTGACTGAAGGTCACTTGAGAGTTTGTGATAATAGTTGCTCTGGGAGCAACTTTGGATTTCTTTCCAGGGAATAAACATAGCTCTTTGACTTACAAGAAAAAGGGTAGGAAAAAAAAAATGACTGAAGAATTAATAAAGAAGGAAAAAAGAATATTTATAACCAGAACAAAAAATGACTGTTGAATTGAAATCTCACATCAGCTTTTGCCACAGCATGTGACCGTAATCTCATTTAACTAGTAAGATGTCATGATATTTGGTGTAATTATGCCTACCTGCTTCATTCAAGGCAAAATCTTCTGCCTTCCTTTGTTTTCTTTGCCTTCTGAAGTAAGAATATGCTGGTCCTGGAACTCATTGAAGTGAACTGATATCATAAATAATTAGTCAGGAAAATAATGCAGACCTCAGTGTTGACATAACATAAGAAATAAAAAATCTCAGCTGGGCTTGGTGTCTCACGCTTGTAATCCCAGCACTTTGGGAGGCCGAGGTGGGTGGATCACCTGAGGTCGGGAGTTCAAGACCAGCCTGACCAACATGGAAAAACCCAGTCTCTACTAAATATGCAAAATTAGCCGGGTGTGGTGGTGTGTGCCTGTAATCCCAGCTACTAGGGAGGCTGAGGCAGGAGAATCGCTTGAACCCAGGAGGTGGAGATTGTAGTGAGCCAAGATCAAGCCATTGCACTCCAGCCTGGGCAACAAGAGTGAAACTGTCTCGAAAAGAAAAGAAAAGAAAGAAAATTCTCAGAAATGACATAGCATGGTAGAGTGGAGAGGACACAGGAATTCAGAAGTCTTGGGTTCCAAGCCCTTCTCAGTAACAGCCTGTGTGTGTAAACTTGAGCAAATCATTCTCTTTCTCTAGGCCTCAGTTTTATCATCTACCAGTTTTATATATTAGTAACTTTGCTTTCAGATTTTGGTGAGGATGATAAAATGACTTGATAGCTGAGAAGTCTGGTGCAAACTGTGAAGTACTGTTTAAATGCTACATTTGGAAATCATCTTTTTATACCTGGTCTTACTTTTTTAATTACATAGATGACAGAAATTCTCTGAAGTACATGGAATTTGCTTTAGCTCTGTCCCAGTGATGTAGAGTTCATCTCTTTTTGTTGCTAACACAGTCCTAGACTCAGAGGAAAGATTAATTCAATTATAGCAAACATATTAATAGTTGGCTTTAAAACCAAGAGCCTCATGAAGATACAGATAACTCCCTGCATCAATTCCTTTGAGTCTATCTCTGTTTCTCATAACACTCTGGCATGTGATTTATACTTTAAAGGTACATCATATTAGTCTAAACAGTAGACTGTATGTGGGCTGGTGCCAAGATTAGGAAATCAGTGACCAGTCAAGCAGGGCAGGTCAGTCAAGCTTATGCCACCTTAAACAACTTTTCTCCCTGTCCATTTTGTCAGGCTTTTCTTGCTAGCAATGGATGAAAATGCGTGAATCGTCCATGTCATCATTTGTGTTCAATGGTCAATCATGGATTAGAATCTGATTTGTTGCTGTGAGACTTAGAAATCTGTCTTTTGTCTTAGAAGAATCCAATTGATGGTATATACCTATTTCTTCCAAGATTTTTGGCATTAATTAACTCTATACCAGGCATAGAGAGAATCACTGAGGAAAGATGCCTCCCAGGTAACAAAGGGGGCTTTTTCTGTTAATGCAAGGGGGAGTAAATTGCTGCCATTTAGGAAATACATTAATTCTTTCAGGCTACCAGTGCCATGCAGTGTAACAAAAAGGGCAATTTATCAAATAGTATCTTAATGGCCTAGAAGGGTTAATGCACCTTTAGCTGAAGATTGTACTCTATTCCCCAGTGAAATCATGATGATTTCTTCACAGAGTCATTTAGGTTAGAATATAATGCCATTAACCCACCGCCGGCCCCCACCTCCCAAAATAAGTGAGCAGAGGAAGAGATAGAAAAGGGGGAGAGGAACAAATTTTTTAAAAATCACATTGTCATTTTAAGACCTGCTCTTTTTGGAAAGAAGCATTTCTCCTTGCTGTTCCTCTCCACCTCAAACCCCCTCAGTCCACAAGTAAACACAAGTAAATAAAAATTGCTATCATCTTAATGATTGAGTGCATTTGAAGACCATGGACACTCACAATGTGAAATGATTAGAGTGGCCCAGAGGAGTCTTTAATTAAAGATGCCATTGACAAGATAACAATGGTTTGTGAATGTTATTAATAGATATGAATGGAAGGTGTACCTTAATTCAATAAGGGGAAAGTCACTGGTCCATGAGTTTGATTGCATATTGTAAAGGAGCACCACATACTGTAATTATTTTTATTTGTATGTGCCATCTCTTTTATTGCCCATGCTGGAAGTAGAAATAACCTGTCCTATTAAGATATTTAATATATATCATCCTTTCCACTTCATTTTGTTATAGCCTAATAAAAATACCCAAAGACACCAGCCCACACAGAGACAGCTCCCACGTTTTCTAAGACAATCCACATAGCCCTTTGAAAACCTGGACAATCAACCTTCTATTCCCCACAGTTATAATCTTTCTTTAAATTAAACCATAACAACCTCCAGGACTCCATAAAGTTATATACAAATATGGAGCTTCGCTCTGCAAATTACGGTGGGTGTTCTGGAAACTGAAACAATGAAGATAGCCCTAAAGTGAACAGATACCTTGGTTGGATTGCGTGGTGTCTGAGAGACAATAGTGGATCAGGAGACAGCCCCAGGGGGATCTCAAGGCATGAAAAGACTGGCAGAAGGCAGAAAGCTGGCTCCCTAGAGATGTCACGTCCTAGTTCCTAGAACCTGTGAATTGACAACCGTACAAAGGGGAATTTGCAGATTAATTAAGATCAAAGGAGAAGGAGAGATTATCCTGGACTCTCCAAGTTTATCTAATGTACGGGTCCTTAGGAGAAGAAGGTAGGAATATCAGAGGGAGAGACAGATTTGAAGGTATCATGCTGCTGGCTTGAAGAAGGGGCCTTGAGCCAAGGAATGCAGGCAGCCTCTAGAAACTGGATTCTCCTAGAACCTTCAGAAGGAGCACAAGCCTCCTGACAGCCTTCATATTAGCTCAGTGAGGCTTCTGACCTAGAGAACTGTGGGATAATTTGTGATTTAAGCCAGTAAGTCTGTGCTGTGACAGTAATGGGAAGCTAATACAAGCCTCTATTTTGACCCCTCTGTGTACCTCAGGGCCCTGCTTTCCTTGGGCTTTGTTTAGTGTCTATGAGTGCAGTCTTAATTCCCATGCCGACATTTTAATTTAAACTCCAGGTTTGGAGAATATATCCCAGGGAACATATTCCTTCTTCCTTCTACTGCCTACCTATCCCAACCATGAGTAACAGAGTAGTAGACTGTGGTTCCAGCTCTGCAAAGTTGAGATGTGACTTTGGTTGGGTTACCGACCCCATGCCATGCATCTGAACAAAGAAGATGTTGGCCTCAAAACTCCTGAGCCCCTCCCCAGCCTAAAATAAAAGGATTCTGTGAAATAGGTTTCAGATTACCTCCAGAGAAGGCTGTTTTCTCTATCCAGAATATAAGTGCATAAGCGTGGTGGATATAAAAAAATGCCCCAGCAGCATGATACATAGTCCCACTCTTCTCCCATCCTCCTCACTCTCATTCATTTTTAAGGCACTTTCAATGAGCCATCATCTCACTATCTCACTTCTTCTAAAAAGGCAAGCTAAATGCAAGCCTGACACTGCATGAAAGATGAGGCTTAAATTGTGTCTAGGAACTGGTGATTTACACATGATTTGTGATTCCTTTAGTATATTAATTGGTAAACACCCTATGAATGTGTGTGTAAACTAAAGCCGTTTAACATATGCAAACAGGGTAATCTCTCTGTGTGGTGTTGCTCAAATTTCAGCAAATTCAGATACTCATTCCAGTGTGTATATAATTCCCCTCCCGCCCCAACCCCGTATGCCATCTCTTTCTGTGATCCTATTTCAGATAATAGCGTGTGGGTGACCCAGATCTTTAAGCCCTTTAATAGTACATCCATATGCTTCTATCCTCAGTGAATGGAGCTTGTTGCTTGTAATAATCCACTGTTCTAACTGCTCCTTTTCCTGCCCCTATGAATGGACTATAATGGCATGATGAGTTATAACATTATTTCCAGTTACTGCTAATCAGCCCCCCAACCTGAAATCCTTGCCTATTAATACACATGTTACTCAGAGAAACAGGATGTAGGAACAGTCCCCGTGTAGTTGGATTTTCCATCATAGTAGCATCAGCCAGGGCCTTAATATTGAGCATTTAAACTTGACCATCAACTATATTCCACTTCAGAATGGACTGTCCTATATTTGATGGAGCACCAAGGCCCCAGTGCATGAGATGTTGCTTTGGATTTTTTTTTAAGAACTACACAACTTTTCTCAAATGTTAGTGCCAGCACCACCTTGCATGTAGAAAATGCAGGTTCCTGGGCCCTATCCCAGAAATACCAAGTCAAAATCTTCATTGGTGGCATCCAGGAGTATAATTTTAAACAAGCTTCCTAAGAAATTTTGAAAAACATCACAGTTTTAGAACCACTTGAAGATGAAAACAGGAGTCTGCTATAATAAAGAGAAGATGTTGCTCAATGTCACTTTTGTCCTCCATTCTGCTCACTTCCTGTTCTCCCTCTCCAGGAGTCTGTTTTCTTAAATCACACATAGCGATTACCAGAAGTAGAAGACATAGCCACAGTGTTGGGGTTGGCTGATGGGAAAAGCTGGCTTTAAAGGGTCCATCTGTCTAGGAGATTCGATGATGTCATGTCCCTGGGACTGATCTGAAATCTCTGGTCAGAGCAATTGAGTAGGAGAGAGATCTGACTCCAAGAAAAAAAAAAAAGAGAGAGAGACAAATAATAAACCTTAAAACCTTAATTTTTATCCACAGCAATTTTAGTACCCCAGGTCAAAATCTGAGGATCTTAATGAAAAATGAATAATAATAGTTAAAACTATATGTCTTGTGCATGGAAAACTTGAGTACAGCTTCCATCTATCAGCCTTGATGTCTTTTCCATTCAAATATGACTTAATTATGTATCGACCCAGGGTCTGACATAGTAAAACTATCATTACTCTCCTGCCTGGATTCCTGAGTGATACCCTGGGTAAAGGTGATCAAACCTACATTAATCTAGAATATAGACCACAAGGAGGAAAGGAGGGAATGGTAATTACCAAGCACAGCATGGAAGACAACAGCTACAGTAAAAACCTCATATTGGAACTTGGAACTGGTCACTTTCCTTAAAGAAAGCGAAGTGTTACAAGCCTAGCAGCAGGTCAAGGAGTATTGAGCACAGAGGTAAAATGTCCAGGATACACCTCCCATCCTGCCATGGTTATTAGCAGTTGGTGCCTCGTAGCTGACCTTCAACATGACCTCTGGTTGGCACTTGTGTGCAGATGGGTGCTGTAGGATGTTAGGTACTACGTGGTAAGGTCTGGACCATCACCCTGTCACCAACTGCAGCACCTTCATCATCCTCCACTGTGTGTTTCATACATTAATCAGTGGCCCCACTGATTTTTTTAAATTATTATTTTAATAGTTTTTGGGAAACAGTGTTTGGTTACATGAATATGAATAAGTTATTTAGTGGTGATTTCTGAGATTTTGGTGCACACATCACCCAAGCGGTGTATACTGTACCCAGTCACTGACAGCACTAGACAGGTCATCAAGACAGAAAGTCAGCAAAGAAACAATGGACTTATATTGTAGCCTAGAATGAAATGGACTTAACAGATATTTACAGAGCAGTCTACCTGCTGATTTCTTTGTAAGAATTCTGGAAAAATTCTCCCTGGGCCTTCTATTTTCATGCATTCATTTTTTATTTTTATTTATTTATTTTTTTGAGACAGAGTCTCGCTCTGTTGCCCAGGCTGGAGTGCACTGGGGTGATCTCGGCTCACTGCAACATCCACCTCCTGGGTTCAAGCAATTCTCTCGCCTCAGCCTCCTGAGTAGCTGGGACTACAGGCATGCACCACCACGCCTGACTAATTTTTCTATTTTTTTCTCTCCAGTAGAGATGGGGTCTCACCATGTTGGCCAGGCTGGTCTTGAACTCCTGACCTCGAGTGATCCCCCCCACCTCAGCCTCCCAAAGTGCTGGGATTACAGACATGAGCCACCATGCCCAGCTGCACTCACTTTAAAAAAAAAAAAATTTTTTTTAAATCTTGACAAAATTTCAAACTCAAGGAAAAATTGCAATAATATCAAGAATTCCTGTGTGTCCTACACTCAGATTCACAAATGTTAATATTTTACTAAATATTCTGTATTTGTCTCTCTCCTCTCTCCTTCATATACGTATAAAAGTCAATACATATATATACATATATGTGCATATGTGTATTTTTTAACCGCTGTGAACAAGATGACCCTTTATCCCTAGATACTTCCATGTATATATCCCCCAAACAAGAAATTATCTTGTATAAACATAGCACAATTAACAAAATCAGGAAATTAACATTGACAAAATACTCTTAGTACGTTACACACCTTATTTATATTTCACTTGTTATCTGAATAATGTCCTTGAGAGTAAATTAAAGTCCAAGTCACTTCATTGCATGCTGTTGTCCTGTGCCTTTGGTCTGCTTTCATCTGGAACCATTCCTGAGTCTTTGTATTTCATGACATTGACAGCTTTGAAGAGTGCAGGTGAGTTATTTTACAGAATGTGCCTTCCTCTGAGCTTGTCTAATGGTTCCTTATGAGGAGATTCAGGCTGTGTACTTTTAGCAGGAATGTCACAGAAGTGACGCTAGGTTCTCTTCTCTGTGTCCTGTCGGGAGGTATATTCTGTGGATCCATCCCATTCCTGGGAACGTTAACTTGGTCATTCATGCTAGGTGGTGTCTGCTGTGAAGTACTATTTTACCCTTCGTAAATAGTTAAGTACCTTGTGGGAAGATACTTTGGGAATGTGTAAATAGTTATTTATTACTGTTTAAACTTTCACCCAATAGGTTAACATCCATTTATGATTCTCAACCAAGTATTAATGTAGCTGATTGCTAATTGATGGTTTACTATATTTATTAGTTGGTTTTCTCTTGTGTGGAGGAGTTTTCCCTTCTCATTGATTCATTCTTACATGGATTTTTATTTTGTGGATTCTTATAGTATGACTCAATGGGTTATAATTCTTTACTGCCATGATTTACTCTGATGCTCAAAAGATTCCAGATTTGATCAGTGAGAATCTCTTCAAGCTGGCTTCTGTGTCCTTTACAACAAGTATTTTTGAGTGCTTACAGCGGGCATGTATGAAGCACTGGGGATGCAATGATGACCTAAGCAGGAAAAAAAAATAATCCCTGAGCTAAGAAGCATGGTGGCTTATACCTATAATCCCAGCACTTTGAGAGGCCGAGGTGGGTGGATCACCTGAGGTCAGGAGTTCGAGACCAGCCTGACCAACATGGTGAAGCCCTGTCTCTACTAAAAATACAAAAATTAGCCGGGCATGGTAGTATGTGCCTATAATCCCAGCTACTTGGGAGGCTGAGGCTGTAGAATCGCTTGAACCTAGGAGACGGAGGTTGCAGTGAGCCCAAGATGGTGCCACTGCACTTCAGCCTGGGCGACAAGAGCAAAACTCTGTCTCAAAAAAAAAAAAATTCCCTAGCCTCAAGGAGCTTACATTCTAGTTTGTGGGACAGACAAAATAATAATAAATAGGCAAATGGTATGGTACACTAGAGGGCATTAAGTGTTAAGGAGAAAAAGTCAAACAAAGATCTGCTTTTAGTATTGGGAATGTTGCAATTACCAAGGCCTGGTCAGAGAAAACCTCATCAGTAGATGTCAGTTAAGCAAGAACCTGACAGGCACAAGGTGGGGTAAATCATGTGGATGTCTAGGGGAAAACTCTTCCAGGAAGCAGGCAGCACTCCAGAGTACGAATTGTAGCAATTCCATGAGATGAGAACACACTGGCATTTTTAGTAGGATGACTGAGGTGGCTGCATGGGGGACAGGCTGTGAAAGGCAAGGATAAAAGCAAGGAGACCAGTATCATTTCCAAGGAGCCTTAAATGCCCACCATGCACATGCCTAAGGCATTGAGAATTTAAGTCAAAGCGTACACTGATGCAATGACAATGTATGACAATTGCATGAATTAGTCATCTCAGAAAGCAGAGTTCCTATAGAAATAAGACCGGGCTCTTAAATTATTAAACTTCTTCTATCTATACACAGCATTTAAACTACAAATATATCAGCATGCATGTATATGTGCACATATATGTATAGATAGAGAACAATGAAAAACATTAAGTAGCAAAAGTTCTATGCAAAAAGGTTTTTCAGTCTACAGACCACACTAGGGTGTATGATACATCGAGGTGGTTCATATTTTTATCCTGAAATCACTGCTTTTATTAGTTCACAGTTGTTATTAGCTCACAGCAATTTTAGAAAAATGTGTTACCTTTTTTTTCCCAGCAGGGACATGTATACTGCCTTGTTGTGGATTATGCAATGTGGGAAAGCTTAAATGCCATCTATGATTTCCTTAAGAAGGCTCATTTTTTTTTTTGTCCACATCCAATTAAAGGCTTCTCTCCCCAGCCCTCTGTCCTCAAATGTCCTGAATCTGTTTCCATGATTACCCCTGGACTATATTGTAACCCCCTTCCCCAGTCTTTCCCTGGGATGTCATAAGATCCAGCAATTTGACCAGAAATCTCCGGTAACAGAGAAGAAAAGTACAATCTGGTCACTGAGAGCAAGAGCCTGTGAGTGAGAAATTTTGGGTTATTTTCCTGCCATCACCTTGATTGACTCCTCTGTGACCTTATGCTGTTAACACCTGCCTCTATAGGTGTGCGAAGAGCTTTAATTAATATTTGTAAATCTCCCTGATTGTTACAGGTAGAAGGTAGCAGAAAAGGGCATATTGTTATTAATTGTGGGGAGAAAAAAATGGAGAGATTTTTGTGAAGTTCCGGTGAACTTCTGGTGAAGTTTTGTTCCTTCACCAGAGAGAGACCTACACCCATGGACACTATTTTCACAGTAGGAGGATTAAATATAAATCTTGATTTACTTACTCTGCACGTAAGGAAATGCCTAATGCCTATTTAATGCAAAACTCCTATTCCATGCCCTGGCTCATATTCAATATGCACTGCCTCTGACTCCTAAAGCTGTTTAAGTTACCACTGTGAAAGGAGTCTTGCTATTCACAACGAGTGTGAGAGTTCATCTAATTAGCTGATTTCAGTTCATTTGGCATTAAATAATTCCCCAAATTCCCATATGTTTGAACAATATGTTCAACAAGGAGGATGATTCTCTGAAAGCAATTAAATAGTTCTTTTAGGAGAGCTTGTCATCGGTCACTCATAAGCATCCCTGCTATTCCTGTCCATGATGAATGCAGGCGGTAATTACATGAAAAGCACTTCACCCTCTCTGATGGCCCTGGCAGGCACCCACATACAGGCTGCACATTTGAATTTTATGGTTTTTTTCCCCAAACCTTGAGTATGTTATTCTAGGCTTTCCACAGAGCATTTGATGTTGCTAATACACTGCTTTCCAGTCCCGCTCTCCTTGCCTCCCCTACTTAAAGGTAAATGAAGACATGATCATCTTAACCTGTGTTTTGCTCGTATAGGAAGAATTGTCCATTTTGGACTGTGGTTACTTTTGTGGAAGACTGAACTTTTTAAAGACATCTCCAGGGCTTCTTGGAGAGGGGAGGAGACAACATGATAATGTTACATCTACTGTTTTAGACGCAGTAGACATAAGATGCTCCTCAATTATATGGCTTGGCTTTATTGCAGCAGCAAGTTATAGATAATGAGCTCAAGTATAACCATTACTAACTTGAGAGAATAGGAGTTGTCAACATAAGCAATTCAGAAATGAATAGCACATTAGATGAACTCAGAGAAAAACTCTTTGTTTATAGAAGATCTTGGGAAAGATGGTATCTTTTAGCACTAAATTTTATCTTTATTTTGCCCAACGGGTTGCTTTTTTGGTCAAGGATGAAGTATTTAACTGTCCTTCCTAGGTAGTATAAGTAAAAGCTTTAGTAATAATACCAATTCCAGCTCTCCCGTAGCATTGCTCTATATTCAATATTATTATTTTTCTTACAAGTGAAAATCCAGCAAACAAAGGATCAAATAGCTTGTTGAAGAACACATATGCCATTGGGGGAAAAATAAGCAGACATCTGGGTTCTTCTCGCTGATTACTGTTCTGTAAACTACTCCTCCTTACCGTTTGGGGGCACAGATTAAAAACAAAAGCCAAAGACGTGAAAGAGGGAGGCATTCAATGAGGTATTATTATTCCATTTTAGTTAACTTTCACTTTCTTTTATCTGTTCCATGACACTGCATTCTCACTGTAAATAATTCACAATTCAAAAAAGCTGAACACCAGGTTTGGATTGAATGATTTTAAATTTAGATCTAAAATAGAAAAGAGTTGAAAGATACACATTTATGTATGATATTATGCACACTTGTAGCTGTCTACTGTGCTATTGCTATATAAGCTATGTATTTGTTCATTGGCAAAAAATAAATGTTTTCAAAGCCAGAATAGACACACTCAGTCTGTATCTTCAAAATACTGTTTTGCTTCATAATAATTTGCTTTATCATTTACCAGCATTAAGAATATTTTAGATTGTGTTTTCATGAGAAAGGAATTTGATGGTAATGAGATGACCAGACCAGTCATTTCTATAAAGTTTTTGTTTGCTCATTGATAATGGCATCAACAAGAATAAGGATTCAGTAGCTGGTGCATGACCCACCAGCCAGGTCTTTGCATTCTCCAATTCTGCCCTGTATTTCCAAAGAAGCATTTGTCATTTTGTTGGTGGGTTTGTCAAAACCTAGATTTGAAATCTAGGCTTAAACTCCTTCCGTGTGTCTGAGAACTTCATGACAAATGCTTGTTCTCCAGACCAGTCCTTTGTAAAAGAAAATCCTGGAAAGGAATATTTATAAGCCTGAAGAAAACCCCAGTCTGTTAACCAAATTCTCATTCAAATATGGCCCCTCCTCTACATACTTCTCTCTTCTATCCTTTTTTCAACTGTGAAGCCTCCAGTCAGATGGCTCTGAGGTGCTCCTGAGTCCTGAAGTCACCTGTGGTCCTCCAGACATGATCGTCACCACTCCCTTTGCATTGACCATCCCGCACTGTGCAGATGTCAGTTCTGAGCATTGGAATATCCATTTAAAGAAGAGGACACAGCAGGGCAAATGGGAGGTGAGACCCTTTACTTCCTTTTTTAAACAGTGGGATTTGGGTTCCACCTATGGGATATATTTAACCTTAACATCTAACACCACAAATCAGCATTTCGTTGTTGGCAAAGGGTTGGTGGCAAGTGTTTTATAATATCCTAAACATATTGGCTAGTTGTTTTTCTTCCCCCCCCATTATAATAGAAAAGAGAAGCAAGAGATAATCCAGATTTGTTTGGTTTTAGAATACAGTTGTAATTACCCATATATTCATCTACACCTACATACCTGCTCATTGATCCCCTTCACTTCCCCCTTGGCCTTGTCTCTGTCTGAATGGACATTATTCTGTGGCCTCTGTGGAGTTAGGGAGGAGGTTCAGGGCAGGCAGTCTGTGTTCAGAAAGAAAATAACTATGTCTGTTTTTTTCCATCCTGGGGATTCTAAGGTATCTATGTTTAATCAGGAACACATTTAGGGCTTAATATTTTTTTTTAGTTAACGAATGCATTGAGAATTATTATCAGTGTCTATTTCCTGTGTGTATGAGTGCAAACAAAAGGGATACAGTAGGAGACAAGGAAAGAGAATGAGGATACATAATAAGACATTAACAACAGGGAAGACAGTCACAGCAATGACAGATTGCAATTGAATTACTATTTTAAGTGAAAGCTCTGATTTTTCTGCCTGATAGAGCTTCCTTTATGTCCATCTGCAGTCAGCTTGCATGAAACTGGGAGAATTATCTTTGTTGGAACACAAATGACCTGTTCCAGCCAGCCCTAGGGTCTTCCTCCCAGAAGGCACTTCAGGCCAAAGAAGTAAAAGGAAAATCATGTTTCTTTAGAAGAAGAAAATTCCCAGTTGCTACAATGGATTACCTTTACCCTGCCAACTAGTGTCTTGAAACTATTTTCTTTGTTCCAGAATGCATTCTGCTATTTAGTGCGTTTTAGTGCAACCATGAGCAGATTTCCTGGGGCATGAAGTTCCATGGGTTTCCTAAAGGGCCATGTTTTAGTCCTCTTCCCATTATGTTTGGCTTTGCTTTGATTTTTGCCACTTTAATTTTTCTTCCCAGCACTTCCTCACAATCTCTTATACACAGATGGTGTTATATTTATGCTCTATCAAACCAGTCACATATACTAAAGTTCTTATCAAGGAGGGTGACATATTCTAGTACATCTTATCCAATTCATTTATTTAGTGGTCCCTTGTAAATGATTTCAGTGGAATGAAAGAGGATAAAATGTTTGAGAGAAAATAAACATTACCTTAAGGATATTTAAAGAGTTGTCAGAAATAGTTGTAAAAAAAAAAAAGTTTGCTTATTGATAAGATTTAAGATTTCTAAAACTCAACATTGAACAAATTAGCCAGAAACAGAACTTTCCAAGTGATTTTTGTTATTATAACCAATGAAGTAGAAATTCCAACACACTGAACATAACCATTTCTTGAGTTTTTTTTTCTTTTGAAATGGAGTCTTGCTTTATTGCCCAGGCTGGAGTGCAGTGGATGGATCTCCGCCTACTGCAATCTCCACCTCCCAGGTTCAAGTGATTCTCCTGCCTCAGACCCGACCTGACCCCTTCCCCGCCCCCCAACCCCACCCCACCCCAGGAGGTCTTGAACTCCTGACCTCAGGTGATCTGCCTGCCTCAGCCTCCCAAAGTGCTGGGATTACAGGCATGAGCCACCATGCCTAGCCCATTTCTTGAGTTCTTGATGTCAGCAGTTATTTTGATAGAAGAGGAACAGTTAACATCGGGATAATTGGGCAATAGGACTATTCTGAAAACAAATTTATATTTGTGTGTTTATTTATTTGTGTCCTGGCAATATAAAGGTTAGATCACATCTTATTTCCAAGTGAGAGAATAAACATACCTTTCCCAACAGGAAGTGATGTCAGTGGAAGATGAATCTACATCCTGTTACTGCCTTTTGGACCCCTTTGCGTGTCATGTGCTCCTGGACAGCTTTGGGACCTATGCGCTCACTGGAGAGCCAATCACAGACTGTGCCGTGAAGCAACTGAAGGTGGCGGTTTTTGGCTGCATGTCCTGTAACTCCCTGGATTACAACTTGAGAGTTTACTGTGTGGACAATACCCCTTGTGCATTTCAGGTTAGCCTTTGTTTTAATAATTTTCTTTTGGTGTCATGAAAGTGTGTGTTTTCCAAAAGATCAGTATCAATTGAAAATTTTATTACTGAGGGTCTAGAAAATGAACCCACGCCACTGTAACTGCCCAGTGGGTTCACCTTGCCTGCTGCCTAGACAGAGCCAATTTATCAAGACAGAGGAATTGCAATAAAGAGTTATTCACGCAGAGCCGGCTGTGTGGGATACCGGAGTTTTATTATTACTCAAATCAGTCTCCCCAAGAATTTAAGGATCACTGTTTTGAAGGATAATTTGGTGGGTAGGGGCTAGTGAGGTGGGAGTGCTGACTGGTTGCTTCAGAGATGAAGTCATAGGGAGTCTAAGCTGTCTTATTGCACTGAGTCAGTTCCTGGGTCGGGGCCACAAGATAGATGAGCCAGTTTATTCAACAGGGTGGTGCCTACTGATCCATGTGCAGGGTCTGCAAAATATCTCAAGCACTGATTTTAGGATTTACAATAGCAATGTTATCCCCAGGAGCAATTTGGAGAGTGTCAGAATCTTGTAGCCTCCAGCTGCATGACTCCGAAACCATAATTTCTAATCTTGTGGCCGATTTGTTAGTCCTACAAAGGCAATCTAGTCTCCAGGCAGGAAGGGGATTTGTTTTGGGAAAGGGCTGTTATTGTCTTTGTTTCAAAGTTAAACTATAATATAAGCTAAGTTCCTCCCAAAGTTAGTTTGGCCTATACACAGGAATGAACAAGGACAGCTTGGAGGTTAGGAGCAAGATGAAGTTGGTTAGGTCAGATCTCTTTCACTGTAATAATTTTCTGTTATAATTTTCCAATGGCAGTTTCACCACTGGTTTGACTGGGATACCTACCTTGAAGCAAGAGCCGTGTTACTGTGTGGTCAGCAATGTAAGAGAGGTTGGGGTACTTGGCATTCAAGAAGAGAGAAGGGCTAAACTAACGCATGTGCAGAACATTGTGTGCTAAATTATGCAACTGACCCGAAACATAATCAGAATTCAACAAACAAACACAGACACAAACGGAGAAGAGTTTTTGGGAACTCTTTTACAAATTTCCATGGATGGATGCGATTTAGGAACAAAACAGAAAGGAACACCACATCAAGAGAAAAAAAGCAGCATGAGTCACAGGAACTAAAAGAGTTATTTGATGTGCAGAGGGCAGTGAGAAAATTGCTTGAATCAACTGAAGGTTGTAGTTAGGGAACCACAATTATAAATCATACCTATCACAAGGTAGTCATTTTCTATCCTGGACATATAGTCTATTAATTATCAGGGCTACTAGGGCAGAGATGGTTCAAGGTTCCTTTCCATTTTTGGTACTTTTAATCATGTAAGATTCATTTTAATTTAGCTACTCAGGAAGACTGCAAGTTTATTAATAGCAGCAAGGATGATGCAGAACTGCCTGTGTAAGCTCTGCCCATATATAAATAGCATAGCTCTCCTGACACACCTCATTCCAGATCCCTGCTATTCCAGTTTTGGGTCATTAAGTCCATTATGCAGAGTATTTCCTCAGTAACTAGATTTTAAGACACTGAGCTGGAAAACTCATGTTTACCAGTAGAAAAAAATATCACGACCTCACTCCTGAACATAAGCCAGTAAAGGTGACACAGAGCCAGCCTGTGTTCCTGAACCGCCCCTGAGTATCTCTTAAGTAGCACAGGTCATTGTGAAGGGCACACTTCATCTTTGGCTGCTCACAAAAGGGGTGGCTTTCAAAGGTGTGCCATTCTGTGGAATAAGAAACTTCAGTGTAAGTAGTTAAACCTCCTCCCACCATTGTCATTTAATACTCTTCCTCTGCACTCCCCACCCCACAATAAGAGGATTGCTCCAAGAGAAAATATATAACAGATATTCAGGAAGCAAAAAGAAAGAATAAATATCTTAAATAGAGGGTTCATCTTGGGGTCACTACTACTACTAACCAGTTATAAAATGTACCATGACTCAAGTTGGATGTTTAGTAACTCAGCCAGATTTTAAAAGCTGAGTAAACTGGAGTAACCATGGAGCATCATGGAAGATTTCCAGTCTCCTGGCTGATATAGATAACCCATTGCTGACTACTGTGACTGTGTGGAGCTGCTCACACAATTGTCTTGGAAGTCAGCCCTCATAACCAGTCTGGAGTTTTCTTTGAATAATAGTCTCCCAGCTGATGTATATAGCAGTGAGATAGACATGTACTTAAAGAGCTTGTTCTCAGTGACTTTCAGATCATCTATTTTCACCTCTACCATATTCTACCATGGCTCCACTGTTCACAGATGAATACAAATTACTGTGGACGTCATGAAAACACCATAACCATAGCTTTTCAAACCATTACCCATTTCTGGTTGGTAATAGAATCTTTTTAGACAGTGCTAGGGAGAATGTTATTCTCCCTCTAATTGAATCCAAATGTATTTCATCATTGAGAGATATTTCTTTTTTTTTGTTTTTTGAGATGGAGTCTCGCTCTGTCCCCCAGGCTGGAGTGCAGTGGCGTGATCTCAGCCCACTGCAACCTCCACCTCCCGGGTTCACGCCATTTTCCTGCCTCAGCCTCCTGAGTAGCTGAGACTACAGTCGCCTGCCACCATGCCTGGCTAATTTTTTTGTATTTTTAGTAGAGATGGGGTTTCATCATATTAGCCAGAATGGTCTCGATCCGCCCACCTCAGCCTCCCAAAGTGCTGTGATTACAGGCGTGAGCCACCATGCCCAGCAGAGAGGTATTTCTTAAATTAGTAAAACTCTTTAATTTTGCTTTAGAATAATGTTTTTTGGTAGAAATACCTTTGACCCCATTTGTCCTAATCTTTTTACCTCCAGTGATTCTTTCTCTCTCCTACAATGGCAAATAAAGCTGCGTTTGGTTGTACTTGTTATTGACAGGATGTATATGACAGCTGTCATGAGCAGAAAGGCCATGTATCCCCCTTGGGGTTTTGAAAGATCATCAACCTTGCTTGAATAACTTTTCTGGCCCACATATGGATTAAAATGAAACTTGTGGCTTTTCTGAACTGAGACTCCCTAGTACAGGAAACAGCCATGTACTCCTCCGTCTTAGTTTCTGGGTTTTGTTTCTGAAACTGTCTTGCTTTCTGGATTTTTACTTTGCTAAGTGAATGTGTTCAAGGCCTTCTGCAGAGATTTATTTTGATCACCTGCATATCCCAAATCATTTCATAGTGTGATAGCTTCATATGTGATATTGCATTGGAGGAGGAAATTAGTTACTAACCCATTAAAACAGTTCTATTTTAGGAAAGCCTTAACAACAGTTCCCTTTTTGAACCCCTAAAAGACCTCACAAATTAGTATTTAGCTCTCCCAACTTCTGTAGCGTAAGCTGAAAATAGAGTATACAGTAATAATATTTTCTGCAACCCTAAAAGAACCCTGACTTCTTAATCAAAATCAGTAAGCAGTTTTTCATGGAGCATTTCTGCAGAAATTGCCCACCCTGGAATGTGCTTCAACTATCCTTATGATGATACGTTTGTTGTGATTAGGAAATCAATGTGAACATGGTTGTTACAGCTGCTGTATTTATTGCAGTGCATCTTTCATATCTCAAAGAATGATAACAGATATGTGCCCAACTCTAACTGTGCTGTTAACCAAAAGGACGCTGGGGTTAAGTGCGGGGTTGCATCTTTCACTTCATTCATGTCTCACTGGGAGATTGTATCCCATAAAATGCTGAAATGCCTACCTTCTCCCCGGAAGACCTTGCAAGAAGGAACGTGTAGAGACTCAACTCCACCTGTCCTCTCAGAACTGGGTGGGGACCAGGCAATATAATGGGCCCACCATAGAATATTCCTTGAGAGAATTTCAGTATCTAAATAGGGACATTCTCTATTTTTAGTCCTGTCTTCCTTTCCCTGTACCCCCTACAGGGCTACTCTATTTGATTCTCATTTGCTCTGGGGGTAGCTTATCTGAGTAATACTAGCAATTTCCTTGACAAAAACAAAATACTTTGTTTACCTGGCTAAGACATAATTTAGTTTCAGATTTCTGAAGATCTGTTCTGATAAACACATCTAAAATCGTCTCTATGAAAAATTAAATCTGCTATGTTTTTCAAAAATAAAAATGTCATCTCCCTGTAGGTAGGTGAGAAAAGAATAAGAAGACAAGCAGTAAATGACTCCTTGTCCTTCTTGCTTTTGTGTTTTTGTAATAATTAGGGCTGCCATTTTATGCTTGTATGTTTGACATCACCTCCTTTGATAAATTCAAACCAAAGATTGAGAAATGGTGATATATCTTTGAAGTAGTAACATTTTAAGACCTGGATTTTGGTTATTGTCTTTTATTACACACGAACACACACATGCATGCACAGCCCAAACAAACCTTGACATAGGAAAGCAAGGAATTAAGCTGTTACCCTATCTATCTTATCTAAGAAAGAAAATAGAAAAAAACAACTAGGGTTTTTTTTGCCATTGCTCCCAGCACTCCTATACAGTACTCTTGGTACTCATTACTTACTTGGCATTAAGGTGGATTTAGAATCTAATTTCAAAGGATTTCCTCTAGATGTAGTTCTTGTGTTTATCAATAATGCAATGTTGGGAAATATTGTTCACGTAAAGCATTTAAAGGAAAGCACCATAGCGACATAATTTGTGTGTATGTGTGTGTGTGTGTGTGTAAGTTCAAACAGTTTTGTCTCATAAATATGTAAATTTAGCCTGCTTGTTTTAGTATCCCTGAAGCACACCTGAATATTGCTGCCTGTCTGATTAAATCAACATAAAGAGCTCAGTGAGGCACAAAGCACAAGTTTTTCCTGGCCACAGCTTCTAGAACTGGATGACTTGCAACCCCACTGTAAAATGATGAAACAGAATGCTGAGAAAAACCACCATCCAGAGCCTTCAGGTGCATTTCATATACAAAAGCTGGCCAGACCCTGTTTCCTAGTTCCATTAACTCGGATTATTAGTTTAACAATGGAATGAGGTATTTAACAGGAGGTCCTTGTCACATAGAAGGCAGACTGGAAAAATCAAATTACTATCAAGCCTCACTTTGGGGATAATTGATCCATATGAGTGATTTAGAACTAGCTAAGCAGAGTTGTCCAAACCTGGCTGGTCATCAGAAGCATCCAAGAAACACTTACAAATACTCAGGCCTAGCCCCCCAGAGTAATACAGTAGGCTCAGGGAACTATGTGTTAAGTGCAATCCACTGTATTTGGAGAGTATTTTAAAGCTCATACTCAGGAGTCTATTTATTTAACTTCGAAGCCAATTGTGCCTTTACAAATTTATAAATACAATTATTAGTTCATTACCAGGCTTTTTCATTTTAATAATTGTTTTGTTATAGAATAACTGTAATTGCTTAATATTTTGTACAAGATTACAAGACACTGTTAATTGTATATTGTTGGCTCAATATGCGCAGATTTAAGGAGTAAGCGAAAAGAGCAAAAAATAAATCATGTTGTATTTAAATTTGAGGCCCTAGAGCAGAACTTTTAAAAAGGTACTCTTTTCTTCCATGATAATTATAAGCAGATATCTATTTTTTAAATTCTTAATATTATCCATTCTGAGTTTCAAGGACTGTGTAGACAGTATATATAACTCTAGGGCAAATATAGATTGACTTATGTCATCTTATACATATATCCTGCACCAGTGAAAAATCATTTATGAGACAGAGTTAATCACAGTCTGATCTTCACATGAGTCTTTAAAAAAAAAAAAAAAAGAAAAAAAGAAAGTCAAGCATAGTAGTAAGAAAAGGCAGGGAAATCTAAGAGAAAAAACACTGGACCATGATCAAGTTGCCCTGGTCAAAGTCTCAGGTCTCCCATTAGCCACGTGGCTTTAGGCAAATAACTTTCTTCAGGGAACTTCCATGTTTTCATGTGTAAATAAGGCACTTGGTGCTCTAAATCTTAAGTTCCCTTCAATACAACGATTGTGTGTAGTTTCTAACAAAATAGTCTAGTACTACACTAAATAACACATGACCTTGAACAAGTCACTTCATTTCCTGGCGTCGACTACTTCATGTCCATTAAGGAAAGTTAAATTTAAAGAAAAGGGTATATTTGAGAAAGCCTAGTTCGAATACACTTAGAAGAGTTGCTGTTATACTATGGCTTTAATATGGTCTTAATAAGCACATTTCTTGTTTGTTTCTGCTTGTTTCTAATCTTGCACCAGAATTGCAAAAAGAGGTTAATATATTATCATATTAATTATTTTGCTTGGCTATAAATAAACCCAGGTAAGGAACTGAAGTCTAAAGAAAATAATTTGCCCAAGACCACACAGAAATGTGATTAGAATTTTATGCTGCTATCTTCAATTTACAAGATTGGTACTCTTTTGAGTGCATGAAGACACCAAAAGAGTTTTAATGCACCTTAAAACCAGAGCAACATTACTCAAAAATAAAATACAAAGTCCTTAGCATAGCAAGCAAGAATTTGTTATTTGGTTTCTGCCCCACATTTTCATCATCTCCAATCACACACTTTCCACCTCAGCCTTCCATCCCAGCTCCGTCTAGCCACCATGCTTGTGAATGCCCTGCTCAGCATCTGGAGTGTTCTCTCCTTCCTTTTCAAATGGCCAGCTCCTCCATTTATTTCAACGTTTGGCTCAAATACTACCTCCCCTAGTAATGTCTAGACTCCTTTCCTGGTCTGTCCTCCCATCTGGGTCAGGGGCACCTTCTGTCTTTCTTAACCTCCTAGGCATTCATGTATGGTAATAGATACTATATTAGAACAATGCCTAGTGTCCAGACCCTTTCACAACATTGTAAGTTTCCTGGTGGCGAGGTTGTTTCATTTCTGCACACCCAGTGCCCAGCTCCAACATAGCTCTGATGGAAATTTAGTAAATCTCAAAAGAAGGAACCAGAGACTGCCTAATGTCTCAGCCAAGTACGCATTTAGAATTAATTTCCTATCCTCCCCATAGTGCCTCTTTTCTTCCATTCCTTGTAGCCTCCACCAGACATTGGCTACCATGTTATCACGTTCAACTCTGAAATCCACAAGGTTATGAATTACCTAGCACTGTACTGTCCAGTATGGTCATTGCTAATCACATGTGGATATTTAACTTTAATTAAAAATTCAGCTCCTTCATCACTCTAGCCACATTTCAAGTGCTAACAGCCACTTTAGCTAGTGGGTACCATAATGGACCACACAGAGATAGAATATTTCTATCATCACAGCTAGTTTACAACACTGACCCTTGGGCCCCAAGAAACACCCTTCCCACAAGCAACACCAAAGAGCTGGAGAAAATGCCACTGATTTAGTCCTGGAAAAAGATACTAGCAACCTATTAACAGTTTATGTGTACGTGAAGGATAAAACTTGGGTGACTTTTTAGTCAAAAATGTTTTTGTTACTGTCATTCTACTTATGGACAAGAGATGGATAAGATAACCAGTAGAGGTGTTTTTACTCTTTAATAATTGAAATGTAAGTTTGATTGTGTTTATAAACCTATTTGTTTTCTAACAGTCTTTTTTTTAAGAATCTGAGATTATAGGACATAAAGGAGTTCAGGTTTTAATTTCTCCTAGCTCTGCAAGGAAATAATATATCAATTAATTAATGGTGATTTCAAAAATGGACTTAGGGAGATCTCTTATATTCAGTAACACCAAAAGCCTCAACCCCGCACAATCATTTAGCACTTCCCTGAATATGTATTTGTTTTGTTATTCCATTTCTTATATCGTCTCTCCAATATGATTCTAATGCCACAAATTTGGAACCAATGAAATGGTTTACTCAACAGAATGTATGTGGATTGAGTTTGTATTAGATTGTATTACGTAAAGATTTTTCAGTGAAAGCTACAGGAGTGTTTCCTCAGAAATTTGATTTCTGTTTTCCTGAGGTACAGCTACCTTGATACACAACTTATTTTTTCTTGACCTTTTGGTATAATAACTTTTACAAACATTACTACAAATAAACATGATACATGCACACTGGGACATTTATTTTAAGCCAAAAGAATAAATATCATATAGTGCCTGCATTAGTGAAGAAAAATTGAACCAGAATGGAGGGGGGCTGTTTTCAGTTATGATGATGTGTCAGATTGAGCATGAATGCATCCCTTGATTGTGGTCAGAGAGTGAAATTCCTACAGTTGTGGAAACCCAGAAGTATTACGATTTGCTTGGGGTCAGGGGAGGTCTTTGAAGTTTAAACAAAGGCACAGTGTGGTTTAAAGCCTAAACAACACAAATAATAAAAAACAAATTGTCTCTTTCTAACCCAACACTTGTCACTCAGCAGTTGTTAATCCTTAGTCTTGAACTTTATGGACTATGGAGTTGTAAAGAAGTATGTTTCTCCTATGCTCTCTGTCCATTTGTGGAAGACACATGGTAGTGAGCATGTGTATCCCTAGATAGGAAATATGTAAGTAGCAGGATATTTCATTATTGATCTTATTTTCTTTTTCTTCTCCTATAGGAAGTGGTTTCAGATGAAAGGCATCAAGGTGGACAGCTCCTGGAAGAACCAAAATTGCTGCATTTCAAAGGGAATACCTTTAGTCTTCAGATTTCTGTCCTTGATATTCCCCCATTCCTCTGGAGAATTAAACCATTCACTGCCTGCCAGGTACTGGCCAAATGGGTTTCTAACAGAAACGGCTTTGCTTTAACCGGCAAGCATGTCACAGATCCTGGCAAGGGTCTGCTTGATTTTCCTCCTCCTTTAAAGGATGGATTTCACCTCAAAACTGTCACAGAAATGTAACAGTTTGGACTACACACACGGAATGAAACATATTGTCATAAATTAACAGCATTCTAACGGGTGGGAAGAAAGGTGCTTGCACGTTAGGTGAGATGGCATTTCTCCTCTCCTGTTGGAATCATTGCTCAATATAGGTTGAAGATGCCAGTTTAACAATATAGAGCCAGGTTTGTGAGTTGGTTTGTTTTTATTAAAATCAGTTCATTATGAGACAGCATCTTAATCATATTCAGCAATGAATAAACTGAATGTCAGTGAGGAACTTCTTAAGGGTGATGATTTTGAGTTGTAGAGAGCTATGGCTAGCCAGGTGGAAACAAGAGATTTTTTTCTTTCATATATGAAGTGTACTTGCTTCCAAATGAATCAGGCAAGATGGGAAGAAGAAATTACCAATTGAAAAGCAAAGAAAGAACATGGCTTTTACTTTTTCTTTTTTTTTTTTTTTTTAAGATGGAGTCTGTCTCTCTCTGTTGCCCAGGCTGGAGTGCAGTGGCGCAATCTTGGCTCTCTGCAACCTCCGCCTCCCGAGTTCAAGCGATTCTCCTGCCTCAGCCTCCTGAGCAGCTGGATTACAGGTGCCCGTCACCATGCCCAGCTAATTTTTCTATTTTTTAGTAGAGACGGGGTTTGCCATGTTGGCCAGACTGGTCTTGAACTCCTGACCTCAGGTGATCCGCCCACCTCAGCCTCCCAAAGTGCTGGGATTACAGATGTGAGCCACCGTGCCTAGCCAGAACACGCCTTTCTTAAGAGTCCTTTTATAAATATCTAAAGATACTTATTATTGTCCACATGTCTCCTATTAGAGATTTAAAAAAAAAAAATTCAGGGAGACTCAGAATCTCTTTGGATCCTATTTAGTTATTTCAAGTACATGCTTAGCCTTAAAAGATCTCTTAGAAACTTGTGATCCTGCCACTGAAGTCTACGAAAATTCCCAGTGATACATATTACAGTAAGCGGCTAGCTAGCCTACCATAGTTTCTAAAGCCAGTCATCTGTACTTCAAGTGCTTAAGGACAGGATATTTCCTTCACTCTGGAAAAGCTTCTGGCGGACTCACATTGACCTGGAATCACAGAATGCTTTCAGGCTTCTTTGTTTTACCCATCAGCATAATGTGTAGCGTCCTCTGCGTTTTGTAACCTTCCATCCTTGCAGCATTTTTTTTTTTTTTAACTATAGACAGGTATACCAGCTTGTCAGAATGGGAACAAGCCTAGTCACAAAGAGAAAACCTTGATTGCATCATGATGGTTAAAAAAATGTTGTACCACCAACCATCCAACTTCTAAAATTCAGGATTTTTAAACTGGACAGGGCTGCATTTTTCTATTGACTTTTCAGACTTATTACCTGAGGAATTGCCCGTCTGTACAGTTTAGTGCATTCAAAGCACACAACCATCTCTCATTCCCCTGAACACTTTTTTTTTCAGGGGGCCAGGGGCACATTCACCACATTTTTTCCATAGAGAGAAGTTTTCTATGAATAAATATATTGTGTTGTTTATGATATTCAAGATGTAGGTCTCTTTGCTTTCTGGTAAGCAGTATTCAAAGTTTCTAGTCCAAATTGAACTTCAGAGTATTGTTAAAACAAGTCCTGATAGTCATGCAAATTCCTCTGTATTAATCTTTATAGGTTATAAGGGCCTCATTTCACTGGATCTGATGCAAGTGACTTGGTCCAAAGTGAACTATTAAGTTTAATGCTTGGAGATAAAAAATCAGATGAAGGAACCATTACCTTGCAGCATGACTTAAACAATAATTCCGACACTAGGGATACCAAAGAAAGCCCCAGGAAGAAGAGGCTTAGGGGGCTAAGTGTTTACTGACCTCAGAGGGTACAAGAGGACCAGCCAAAGCCAGAGGATGTTGACTTTCAAGAAAACCCAGCAAGCTTTACTGCCGGGATGGGCTGGATTACATGGAAGTTGTGAACATGTATAAATATTTGCCTTTTGTAATTGAGCATAATTTGAAAGAGTCTTGGAAGGCTGAGAAACAATTTAATTTTCTCTGCATCAGGAGGCTTGCCACTGAGTTTTCATTTCCACTTCATTTTTCTTACCCCAAATGGCTTTCCGCTCTATTCCTCCTTTCTCTTCATCACCCCTACCACCAATTTCCTTGCCCTTCTCATCATTGAAATCCCTCAGCTTGTGTGAATGCATATTGTGCTTGGCTTAATGACCATGCTGTGTTTGCTCTGGGCATTAGATGTAAGCACTTAGGGGAGGGTTTGTGTTCAGCCTACTTGAACCTCATGTAGAACATCATGTGCACTGACAAACTTGGCATGGAGAATGGATAATGGCTTTTCATTAGGGCTTAGTGGTTAGGAACTAACAGGGCCTATTTCTCGTTATCCCAGAGAGCTATTGTGGAAAGAGAAAATCACACTATTCCTGACATTGTTTATAGGACTTTCCTTCAATTGGTGAATCTCCCTTTCTCTAACTTCAAATCAGGAATCTGGGAGCTGACTTATTACAATTAGTACCAAACCCCTCCTCTACTAGGAAACTTCCATTTTCTTCTGGGAAGGTAGAACTTCCCAGAAAGGTACAAGCTAGGGAGGTACCCAGTGCATACAATGTTTTCCCTATCAGACACCAGCAAACTGCATGAGAAATGTTTTTAGAATGGTGTGAGTTCAAGGTTGGGCCCTGAGATATGCGATGAGAGCCTGTATATTGAAGGATCAACTAGATCTTAAATCTTGTTGGTTTAGGTTCTGGAGGATTACAATTTATGGATGTAATTGCTTATGAAGCCAGGTATATTGGGTGAGAAGTAGGAAAGGCTATGTCAGCTCTTCTGAGATCTCATTATGGTAGCAGCCACTGACCTTGGTTCAAAGAAAACCTGAGGCCCACGATGCTAGTCTCCCCAAGTAAACAATTCATTATTTCCCATTTTCTTGTCAGTCCCTAAGACTCTACCACATTAGGAATATGTGATTTTCGCCTCTGTAGAATTAGCAACCCTTCTCTGGGAGGTAAATAATTCTATTCTTTCAATAGGTTACTGGGACTGAGATCACCTAAATCAGTTTCTTTTATTCCTTGCTGGGACTTGAGAGCTCCTAAATCACTTTCCTTTATTCCTTGCTAGCTGTGGGGTAGGGGAGCTGTAATAAACATAATACAATAAATTATTTATTTTTAAAAGCCAACAAAACACAAAGTCAAGTTGTCACCTCCCTAGGGTAAAAGCAGCTGTCTTTCCAGCATGCTATGTATCTTGGAGAACCCAGTGTCTGTCTCCTGCTAAGATATGATTTACATTCTCTCCATCTGCTAAGAACCTAATTATAATAGGAGTCAAAATGAAAACATTTCCGGAATTCTTTAAACACCCATAACTTTGCTACAATTTCTCCTCCCATATTACTTTCCACATAATTCCTCTCAGCTCAGAGAGCTCGTTGGTGTTTTTTGTTTTTGTTTTTTGAATAAATGAAAGTGAAGATGATTGCCCTGAAAACACACTAATCACGGTGCTTCTAATTCTATTATTTTTAAGTGTTTTGTTGAATGCTATTGGCAGCTGCTACTCAAGTCAACAATAAAAAATATTCCCTTGATACTGTCTTAAAATCAGATTTTTTAAAATGTTTGGATTGTGTTCAATGGAATGGAAAAGAGAAAAGAGGGTTTTTGTTTTATTGTTTTTTGGTGCTAATTCTCATGTCTTTCTGCAAGGAAGAATTATCTCTGCAGTAGGCATTACTCTTTTATATTTCTTCCAGTGTTTTTAGGAGAAAATACAGAGAATTTAGCAAATGATACCAGAGAAGATACTCATTTTAAATGAATGGTCAGTGCCTTTTTTTTTTTTTTTTTTGGAAGGCAAGCATTACCAAAGATTCAAATCAAATTGCAGAAAATGTACATTTGCTTAAGAGCTGGATCTTGAGTACGGTTCTTTGTCTAGCCCTGAAGTCCAAGTGCTTGCATTACACTATAATAACTCAAATTTCAATTTTAGGAAACAAAAGCCTCCTACTTAGCTTAGCTGGGCAAAACCACCTTAGGCAAAAGTACCTGTGAACTCCAGAGTGCTATGTTATGGTTACTTTCATTGAAGTGCATAGTGCAAAGCAACCCTACAAAAATTCACTGGTTTGGAGAAGAGAGTTTATTTGAGGGCTAATAGAAATAAGAATGGAGAGAACAAGTACAGGGCAAGAGATGGTGGAAGCCCTTGAAGGCCAGGCAGGAGACAGAGTTTCACACAGCAGGTTGATCAAACGACCACTGTGGTCTCCCAAGCAAAGGACTCATGTAATAAATGCAGAGTTCCTAGGTGGCCTGGTCACATCATTGCCTGCCCCCAATCATTAGAGGTAAAAAAGAGACCATAATGCTATTTCCTGAATAATCCCAATCAGCTGCTTTCTGCTTTCTGTTTTCCTGAGCTATTTGCCTCTCCCATTAAGCCCCAACCCCCTCATTTGCTCTATGTAGTAGAGCTTGAAGGCAGGAAGACTGGGAGTAGGTGACCAGAGTTAGCCATAATGGAAGCATAATGGAAACCAGAATATTAGAGGAGAAGAACAATGGCAGAGAGAGATGATGGCAATCAGTTTCCAAAAGTTAAATTTGCCAGAGAAGTAAAGACCAAACAAGATTATTTGTAGTGCTTAGGGGTATAATGCCAGGAATTGAGGACAATCAGATAAATAACAGAGATGATGTTTTTGGAGTCCTTCAGAGAGAGATGGCAGTTGGGGCACGTGTGAGCAGATGGGATCTTGAACAGTACAGTAGGCAGAAAGAGAAGTGTAGGAGGCTGAGATGTGGAGGAAGGGCTGCCCATGGTTTACAAAGTGGAACAAAGCTCAGGAGAATTAGGAAAAGAATCACATTAGATAACAAGGAGAAATGGCAGAACTTCTAAGTGCATATGATGATACAAGTGAAAAGTCATTTGGAGTATTTTAGAGAAAATGACTTACTGTAGGCATTGCAGGAGGCCCCACAAATCAGAAATGCCCTCTGCTGCAGGATCTACCACAGGAAGAAAAGAGATCATAAGTAAAATATTTTTGTATTAGAAGAAAGTGGGAAAGCAATATCATTAAACGGACATGTGTTGTCAGCTGATGGTACAAGCAAGTTGTCCTCCAGTGAAAAGCACACTTAGTGATCATTAGCTTGGTGCCTCTTCCAGCATTTTCCCCAGACAATAGCCTCCCTCTGGAACTCAGTAGTAGCCCCTTTCAGGGTTGCCCAACTCACATCTGTTTCTAAAATAATGTCTTCAAGGATTGTTTTAGTCAAGAAAATAGAAGGCACTCAAGACATTTCAACCAAGGGGAAATTTAATCAAGGGATTTATGTGATTACAAAACCTCTGTAGAGAGCCAAGGTCAGAGAAAGCTACTAGTGGTATTAGAAAACCAGTCAGGTCAGGAATTTCAGGGAAGTGCACTAGCACTGAAGCAGTGGATTCTCCGGTGAATGTCCAGAAGCCCCTGCACACCTTTCTTGGGCTGTCAGTTGAAGCCTTTGGGTCTGCCTGCTGATCTTAGGGGGGCAGTGATGGCTTCTGCGTTTCCTCTCCCTTCCAAATCTAACATGAGTGCCTCTTGTGGTCAGAATGGGAATGTGAACTCCTGCCAGCAGGGGAGTCTATAAAATGTAGTTTTTAGGCTTCCAGCCCCTTCCGCATGGGGAAGAACAGAGAATGGCAAAGATAGAGTTCCATACTAACAGCCCACTTCTTGCACAGGAATGAAGTCCGTGAAATGCCAGATGGTTTCCTGCCTATAGACCTTCTCTACATCCTTCTTGAAATGCCACTTTTCTTTTGGTTCAGGATTAATAACAAACAAAACGACCCACAGCTTATTGCTAAGATGCATGGTAGAATATTTGATTTTATTATTTCATACTCCCTTAAAGCTGGCTTTCCTCTCTTCAAGTTCACAACAATCTAAAGTCCATCCATCCCTCCTTCCTGAGTCCACCAGAAAGTATCCAAAATAAAAATCTGTGAGGCTTTCTATAGAGAAAATTAGGAAGCAAGGTATCCAAACAAGTGTGCACATAAGGGCTCGGGAATAACTAGGTAACTCATAGCTTCTCAAAGGGAACCGGTCATTTCAATCGTGCTCTTTTAGTCTCATGACCCATGCTGGCTTCATCACCAGTCATAGTTCAGGGTTCCAAACTTCCAGACTTGATATATGTCTTGCCACCTTTCAGTTCTAGTATTGCAGAAAATTTTATTTTTAGCAATAGGTAAAGGAGCAAACTAATAAGGTGAGAAATAGAGAAAAAAGTGAGCGTGAGGATTACCAGAGGCATATGTGGTCATTGCCAAGGGCCAAGCCACATTTGAGTAGAAAGGAGAGAGGCTTTTTAGTACACAAAAAAATTTCGGTGACTAACTTCTACTTCATATTAGTCACAGTCTGGTAGCAAGCACTGGCTAATACTAGGAAAAATGAGTAATCTATAGATTTTATCATTTCCCTCCTCATTTACTAAAAGGTATTTTTGCCTCTCAGTTGTCCATATGTCCCCTGAGAGTAGGGGACTGAATCTGTTCTTGTTTCTTATTGTTTACCTAGTACAGTGTGTGGTAATTAGCAGGCACTTTATACATTATAGTTGAATGGACAAATTGAGCAAATGAAGAACTGACAAACTAGATCACTCTGGGGTGGCCCTGTATGTGTCTGTCTGTCTCTCTTCCCTCCTTCCTCCCTCTTTCTCTCCCTGGCTGTGTGTATATGTGTGTGATTTTGCACTGGGTATTAATTTTTATGTTGGATACATTAGCAATATTGTATTCTCACAATTCTGCATGAGTTTGTGGTGTGGAGTTAAGTTCTGGCCAATCAGTTCCTTAGCATAATTTTTACATAAGTGAAAAGATAACATCCTACCCCAGACCGAAGTAGAAGCATGGCCCACAGGAGTCTTCCAAAGGAAAATATTTTCTAACTGGGGAATGAAAATGATAATTTTTGATGGTATTCTTTCTAATTGTGTGTCACCAAGTGAAATCTGAGCTCTTGCAGTGCGGTTTTGGAATTCAAATGTTATCAGTTGGAATTGACATTAATTACATTTGTGCTGCTTGGCATTTGCTGGAACATTATTTTTACAACAATTCCACTAAAGCTGCCTAGGCAATTATCTCTGCTGTGATTGTCCTCATCGTTGTTGTTGTCGTCATCATCATCATCATCATCACTATTAAGTCTCTCCTGTTCTAGTTCATCTCAGCCAGGCTCTGCACACCATCCCTTCTCTCCGTCTCCCCTGCAGGAAGTCCCGTTCTCCCGCGTGTGGTGCAGTAACCGGCAGCCCCTGCACTGTGCCTTCTCCCTGGAGCGTTATACGCCCACTACCACCCAGCTGTCCTGCAAAATCTGCATTCGGCAGCTCAAAGGCCATGAACAGATCCTCCAAGTGCAGACATCAATCCTAGAGGTGAGTCCTTGATCTACAGGTCATTTGACCCCCTTTCTGAAGGACGATAAGAATAATAAAGCTATACCTACCAGCCGTGCTATTCAGGTTCTGAAAGAGCTTCAAAATGCACAAACTCTTCATCTTCATTACTGATGAGGGAAAATAAGCTTTGTCGCATGCCGAGGATTGAACTAAACTTCCCCCTGGGCAAGGAAACTCAACCCATCAGAGAGCTTAGACTGTGAAGGCACCTCTGGGGAAGGAACTGGTACCAGGCTTTTGATACACAAAATCACAAGAAGTCTTATTCCACAGCAGGCTTGGATTACCAGCTGAGATTCATTATAGACTGAAGCCAGATGGTACAGTTGAGACACATGCCACAAAGAGGCACAAAGCCACCCTCAGACTGTTTTTCTGCTGGTTCTGACTAGTTTCCAGAAGTCAGTTGCCCTATATGTGCTATTTTATCTCCAGGGATGGGACTCCCTGTCTTACTGTTTCTCATACTCCCCAGGCTCAGAATTCTGTACATCCACATTTTCATTACTCCCTTCCAATACAATAATATAAGGAGGACAGGACAGTACAATAATATAAGAAGGATCTCATTCTATAAGGTAAGGAAATAGAAGTGCAAAGAGAGAAAGGACTTTGTCCAGGTCAAATCAGTATTGGAAGGTAGAGTTACAAGTAGCAGTCAAGGGAGGATTCACTGGAGAACTTTTGCAAAAAGACATCTGATTTCCATCATGGCTCCAATTTGTCCTAAACCACCAAGTGACTTTATGGCTTTGAACATAAGCTTATAAAGTAGACAATAGCCATCCTTCCTGAATGGGATAGAGGGAGAGATTAGAAGAGGGATTGTGATGCTTTTGTTTGTCAGTTTCCAGGTCATTACAGGCTAGTGTAGGGAAACATACATTTTTTGTTTTTCACTTATAAAATAAATATATATATACATATATGCATTTATTAATATATAAATATATATTTATAAATTTAGGCTTGGCAGAAGATTGAACACATTTATATACCTACAATTCAATTTCAAGGTTTTTTCCTGGATAATTTATAGCTGTATAGCATTATTCCTTCTCTCTATTCTCATTTGAATTCATTGTTTATGCAAAATGAGCATTGCTAATTCCCCAAATAGTTTTTCTGAAGAGCGGATGGCTTTCCAAAGGATTGTGCCTTAAAATTCATAGCTGTCTTAACTGACATGTTTATGCAGTATTTGCGTTCATTATTGCCAATTAGCATTATGTGCTCAAGTAGTTTTGACGGAGAAGGTAGATCTGGAAACCTGGGGTAGGATATTTTTAGGGGCTCTTTCTTGAACAGTGTTGGTATATTTCACACGATACATTCCAAAGTAAAATAAAAATTGTAGGAAGGCTTTAAAAATAAAAACAAAAAATCCAAGAAGAGCTGGTATTCAGAAGGAAGCATGAAAAGGCATAACATAAAAGATCCCTCTCATCCAAATTGCCCTAGATGTCCGTTAACAGGCCAATGAGTTCGGGTTTAAAGGTTATTGTTTGTAAAGGCATCCAGATATTAGTGATCAACTTGTGCTATTACAGGACATTTATGTAAGAGGAATGTGATAGGTATTTTTGCTCCTTGCTTAATAAATTCTTAAAGCACTTGAAAGGAAAATTAGCTAATAAACACAACCTTATTGTTTACTCCCCAGTTTCTTTTCTAATGCTTCACAAGTTTACAGTCACTTAGAAATGCCTTGCAGAAGATAACATCATAATATCTCTTGATAATGAGAGGCAAGTATGAGAATAATATTTCAATATTTATTGTTAGGCTATAGTCATCCAATTTGAGGGCTGCTGCATTTTAGAGGCTTTATTAACCCTTTGATCCTTTCAAGGATCACTTTATTAATTGCTTCAAGCATAGCTACAGAATTTGGCCCAGGTTGTCATCTTCATTTTGTATAAACTGTATTTTTTAGACAAGTCTAATTTGCTCTCATTTTCTGTGTCAGAAGATGACTAATAACTTTTGTAAGCCACTATATTTCAGATATCATTTCATTTGCTTTCGTATTTGTCATAAAGCCATCAAAACTCTGTGGGTTAAGTATTAGTGCTATCACAATTTTACATGCTATAAAAGTCTCAAAGGCATGAACTTTCTTGTCCAAGATCAAAGATCATGGAACTCATAAGGGAGTAGAGCCACAGTACCCAACTCAGAGACCTGACTTGAAGATCAAAGTCTGACTACTCCACTACACTACTTCTGGACCCCAGTCAAGGCCATCTAATGGATTAGCCTTAACTGTGGGCCTTCTTCACAGTATGGCTTCTCTTCAGGGACTCAGGTACTAGTGACAAACATCACAGCACCAGAAATTTTGTCTTCCAGTACCTGAAAGTATATGAAAACTGGGAAGTTCTTTCTTCAAAAGAACAAAGGATGGGATGTAACCATTTGTGTGATGGACTAGAATTGTTCATTCTATAATAGAGATCCTACATGTAGCTCTGCCTACAAATGGATGTCTTGGTTGAATGATTGCTCAAACCCATTTAATCCTGGGATTGTCTGACTCACAGGAAAGACACACATCTGGTGATACATATAATGCATAAAAACTGTCCTCTTGGCTGGGTGCGGTGGCTGATGCCTGTAATCCCAGCACTTTGGGAGGGCGAGGTAGGCGGATCACAAGGTCAGGAGATCAAGACCATCCTGGCTAACACATGAAACCCCGTCTCTACTAAAAATACAAAAAATTAGCCGGGAGTGTTGGCGGGTGCCTGTAGTCCCAGCTACTCGGGAGGCTGAAACAGGAGAATTGCTTGAACCCAGAAGGCAGAGGTTGCAGTGAGATGAGATCACACCACTGCACTCCAGCCTGGGTGACAGAGACTCTGTCTCAAAAAGAAAAGAAAACTGTCCTCTTTTCCCTAAAATGACTTAATTTTTTGGTAAATGGTTCCAGCAAAAGTGAAGACGCAAAAAGTGCTGAGAAATTGGGATGACCTGGGGAGGTGCAGGATACATTCTAGACCCAGGTCTCTATTGGTGAGTTAGGAATAATAGATCAATTTTTAAAGCACATCATACTTCATGTCCCCTAGGCAGGAAAAGACATTTAGGTGGTTTAATACATTAGTAAGATATATTTATATAATTAACATTTTATATAGGATCAAGATTTAAGATGTATAAAATACTTTAAATATTGATTTTTAAATATTAATAAGATATCTATCTCAAATACTGCTTTAAATCTTTAAGTCAATGCAATAATCATCCTCATTGAAGGCATTTGATCCTTCATGTTCAGCCTCATCCCTGACATATCCCTTCATGCCTCTGATCTAAGTGATTTTTCAAACAAACCCAGTCCTTCATATCACCTTCACACTTAAAAGTTATTTTTCTGACCAAGATAATATATCTGTTTTACTCTTTAGTGTGGTCATTATTGTATCAGTCTTTGGAAGAAAGTTGTTCCCCTTAAATTTAACCCTATTGAATTACCTAATGATTACTGCCAACCAATATTCTATAAAGCAACAGTATCAACAGTCTAAAATTGCAGACTGGAATAAAACAATTTTGCAAATATTGAAGAGAAAGGAAGAATTCCCAAGTAATTTATTTCATCATTCCTTATTAATGTAACATTATTAAAGAATCTTTTCTTCAATATAAACAACTTGAAGGAATCTTGCATGTTACAATTTTCCCTTCAAGCAGTTCTCTTATCTTTCTTCCAAAAGTGTTGGAAGTTGGGGGATAATTTGTCTGTTACAACAGACAGAATAGTTGGAATTTCTCATTGATTTACAACTCCCTTAGCTTACCAGGTAGCAGCTGCTTATCTCAGATGTGCAGAGCATGAAGATCTACTGTTCCTCTGCATATTTAATTTAAACAATCAGAAAATGTGATGTATCTACAGGATTCTTATTACTTGGCCCAGATGTCTTTTAGAGTGCATCATAAATGTTACATAAAGTGTCATCCTTATGCCTGGAAAATATTTAAATTTGAAAACTTTAAGAGGGAAATAGGGACCCACTTATTAATGTGTAGTAAATTGAAAAATTACTTATTTTTAGACTCAATCTCATATAATACTTTATTCACCTTCAAATAAGATCAACTTGTTCAGTTTTCTCTGAAGATATCATGCATCAAGGTGGTTTTTCTTCTGCCCACAGTGAAGAGAGAGCTCGGTCAACAATTTACAGGTGCCATGAGGGCTTTCAGAGGCCAATTCTTTCCCTTGGGATCCTTTAGCATGGACACTTCCAATGTTTTCAGTTTCATTGATAAGCCACGTCTTTGGCATTGACAATGGCAGCTACCATGTTAACTTGTATAGAATCAAAAAAAAATTCTGCTTCTAGTTTCTATCATAGTCTTAAGTCAGAAAATATGCAAGGATACTATTCCTACTTGATTTGCATTTTTAGAGACTAGAAGAAATTTTACAAACCATGATAAAAATGATGTATCTTGTAACCTAGTTTAAGCAGGAAGAAGCTGAGTAGGTTCATTTTATAACCATTCAATATATCAGAACAGAATTGTCCACTGTGCCTGGAATAACCACCTATCCACCTAATTTCTACTCGGTCAATGCCTACCTATCTTTCAGGCCAACTCAAATGCCTCCTCCATGAAGTCTTTCCTACTGTACTCAGAGAACGTTTTCCTTAACCACCCAGCACTGTAGATTTCTTGGCACTTGTCTTGAAACAGGGTGCTATAGTGAAATAAGTACTGGTATAGTTGTTAGGATGTCAGAATTCTAGTTTCACCTCTGTCACAAACTACCTGGGTGAATTTTTCCGGGTTTCATAACTTCTGTGGAGTCTATACAAATGCAAAATAACTGATTAGGAAGTTGGGGCTGAGATAGATAAGGTAGCATCCAAGGTCACTGAACTAGAAAGTGTTGAGATTTACTCCAAAGTGAGGTCTTTCTGCTTCTAAAAACCATGCTCTTTTCTGTTATATAAATACTGGAATAGTTTTGATGAATATTGTTTTATAATATTCCAGGAACATAACTAAAACCAGTAAGTACAATCTGTTTAATATAATAACATGTACTTTGAGGTTCTAAGAAGAGCGTATGATATGCAGCATTTCTCACATGTGCGTGACCATGAAACTGCCATTTCTTGGAATCTCTTCTGAGATATCCTTTTGGAACTGGTGGATTAATGCATTGTGTTTCCAAAAACAGAGCCCTCAAAATGCAACTGTGTTAAATAGTTACAGAGAGACAAAAATCATTATCAATCATTAATGAAATTTCTGTATCAATCAGTTTTCTCAATTAACAGATTTAAGAACTCTATTTTCAACCTACCAAGCCTGATAGTTTATACTTATGTGAGCCCGGCTGCTAGCTGAAAAAGGCCGTCATGGTTGTGGTGCCCACATTAGGAAGACATTTAACAATTGGAAGAGGCATCAGGGCAGGATTTCAGGGAGGGAAGGAAGGGCATGTGTGTACTTGGAGGGCATAACAGGCAAGTTTCTAAGACAAAGGACAGCTTCTTGGAGTTTAAACGTTCTAACTAGTCCCTTAACTCAATCCCAGATCTGATGCTTTACTTACCCCTTGGATTAGTTTTCTTTTGCTACATAACAAACTACCACTAATTTAGAAGCATAAAATGACATTGATTTATTATGTCATAAGACTGAAACCAAAGTGTTGGCCAGGGCATGTTCTCATCTGGAGCTCAGAGTCCTTTTTTTTTTTTTTATACAGGTTGTTGGCACCATTTGGTTCCTTATTGCTTTAGGACTAAGGTCCCCATTTTCTTGCTGGCTGTTGGCCAGAGGTCACTCAGCTCCCAGAAGCCACCCTCAGGTCCCAGATACATGACCCCCTCTATAGGAAGCTCATAGACTGGCTGTTTGCTTTCCTCTAGACAAGGAGAAAAGGTACCTCCAGAAAAGACCTATCTCTTCTCATTTGAGGACCACCTGATTAGGTCAGGCCCACCCAGAAAAAATCTCTTAATTGAGTCAGTCAATTGATTAGGGACATTAATTACATCAGCAGAGTCCCTTTTGTCTTATAATCATGGAAGTGATTCAATTGGATATTTTTCAGTCCTTAAAATTCTGTTAGTCCACCTAAACTTCTTAGCAACCACTGCAGCCTGGCACATTTCTGTGTGATTTCATGTTGGATATAAGGATTAATATTGAAATGACAAATTCTTATTGGACAGCTTTAAACCAGAAGCAGGTAGGCAGGCAGGAGCCTTCCTGATTATACCACTATACAGGCTGGTCTATATGTTACTCTGACTCAAGGCTGGCTCTGTTATACCAAAGCAATTTAATTCTGAAACAATTTTATTTAATTTTGAAATAAAGATACTTATTATAAAATCACACAACTTTAGGACTTGGGAAGAAAATAAAATTAAAGGTAATCAACATACAATTATACCCTTGTAGATTTCCTACAAGGCATTTCCTAGGCAGCTCCTTTGATCAGCCCATTCACCATTAGTTATGACTATCAGAGGGTCATTCCTCACTCTGAACTGAAATCTGTCATTTGGTAGCTTCTTCCTGCTGATTCTAGAGCTATGCCTGAGAGCAAAAACAAACAGAAAAAGAGTCTAATTCTGCTCTCACCTGACAGTTTGTTATTTTGTTTTGTTTTTTGTTTGAGGCGAAGTTTGGCTCTTGTTGCCCAGGCTAGAGTGCAATGGCGGGATCTCAACTTACTGCAACTTCCACCTCCCAGGTTCAAGTGATTCTCCTGCCTCAGCCTCCCCAGTAGCTGTGATTACAGGCACCTGCCACTATGCCCAGCTAATTCTTTATATTTTTAGTAGAGATGGGGTTTCACCCTGTTGGCGAGGCTGGTCTTGAACTCCTGACCTCAGGTGATCCACCTGCCTCAGCCTTCCAAAGTGCTGGGATTACAAGCATGAGCCACTGTGCCCAGCCTCTGACAGCTCTTTTAATGCTGGAAGCTAGTCATTGTGACGCCCCTGAGTGGAAGAGGCTGTTGTAAATTTCCAGTACACAATTTATTAGGCTACTAGAGAAGTTCTTTACTATCTTAGAAGAAAGGGGAACTTATCAATGTATTTTATAGAGTCCATCACAACAGGCAAGCATTTTGTGCATGTGTGTTAACCCAGATTTTCTTAAAAAATGAAAGTGTTGGTCAGGACTGCTTTCAGATAGATCTGATCATGCGTTCCTTATTTTGTTTATAGAGTGAACGAGAAACCATCACTTTCTTCGCACAAGAGGACAGCACTTTCCCTGCACAGACTGGCCCCAAAGCCTTCAAAATTCCCTACTCCATCAGACAGCGGATTTGTGCTACATTTGATACCCCCAATGCCAAAGGCAAGGACTGGCAGATGTTAGCACAGAAAAACAGCATCAACAGGTAATTGGGGACAGCTTCTGGAAGACGATGTTACTAAGAGAACTTGGAAACATAAAGTGGGCTAAGTGAAACCATGTAGTTTCTGAGCCCTAATATTTTTATGAGTTCCTCTGGCCATATTTCCTGTGTGTTCCCACTAAGTAAGTGGGGAAAGAGCAAGAAAATAACAGTAGGCCAAGCGTGGTGGCTCACGCCTGAAATCCCAGCACTTTGGGAGGCCGAGGCAGGCAAATGGCTTGAGCCTAGAAGTTTGAGACCAGCCTGGGCAACATGGTGAGACCCCATCTCCACAAAAAATAATTAGCTGGGCATGGTGGTGCACGCCTGTAATCCCAGCTGCCTGGGAGGCTGATGTGAGAAGATCACTTGAGCCTGGCAGGTCAAGGCTGCAGTGAGCCAAGATTGCACCACTGCACTCCAGCATGGGCAACAGAGTAAGACCCTCCTCCAAAAAAAAAAAAAAAGACACTCTGTGTGACATTTCCTGCTACCCCATTCTGCCTTTTGCAACATTATAGAAAATCCCTACTTTGGTTCTGGTACCATCTCTAGGTTTGCTAATTGGGTCACCCAAATGGGCGATTAGACTATGTTATCTTGGAGACTGTGAGTGAACAGAGCACTTTCTTAAGCCAGTGATGCAGAAACAAGCAAATTTCTCACGTCTCCCCTCTACTATCGGGTAACCCTAAGCATTCTTTAACCCTTAATGAGGACATGCTCAACCTACAAAATTGATTGCCTGAATAGGAAAAAAAGAAGTTTGAAGATAACTTTTGGGTCTGAAACCAGAGGATGTGAAATAAGCAAAAGCTTGCCTAGGAACTGTGAATGAACATGCTGCTAAAACTGACACTGCTCATTACTGCACTAACATTTGTAGTTGAGAGTAGAATAGAGAGATCCATAATGGACTTTATTACTTTAGGTAAGACAGGCAGGGGTGATGCTCTTCAGGGCAACACTGATGGCCAGGCAGGTTTGGGCTCAGCTTGAGGGATACACAGCATCCCTGCCCTGAAAAATGACATCTCCTCTCCCTGTAAGCCCTCTGCATGCCCCCAGAATGAATAGAAAAGAGAATATATTTTGCCAGAACCATTTTATTTCTCTTTCCTTTGGTACTATTTTTTTTTTTCTTTCAGGCAAAACCTTATTTTCTTACTGTTTGGCTTGCTCTGTCATTTTCATTTTTTGTTCTTTATTTTCACAGACATCCTACCTGACTCTTTCTTCTCTGAAAGGGAGGGTAGATGTCTGCCAAGAAGGGATGGAGTGCTGCTCTCAGTTGCAAAAGGGATCCAGAAGCCAAGAACGAAGGGCTCAACTAGAAATCAGTCAGGCTCAGAGAGGAAAGTCAAGACGGAGGCATTGCTGCAAGAGAAAACTGAATTTACAGAGACAGGCAAGCCCGAAAAGAATAGACATATGTTTGAAAAGGCATATATTGAAAATGAAAGAAACAAAAATGTATGAGTGTACAGGGGAAAAAAATTAGATTGAATATTTCCCAGCAACTCTGACAAAAGATGAGATGTCTTGTCTATGATCAGTGAACACCATGACTGTGTCAATTTCCCTTTCTGATCAACATGGATCCAAAAATGAAAAATGAACCCAGAAAATATAACACGGTTAAAAAAGAACAGTGAACAGGGACTCAGAAGATCTGCATGAGAGCCTTGGTTCTGCTACCAATACCAGTCTGCCTAAATGAGTCACTTACTATCCCTGTGTTTCTTTTTCTAGAAATGCAATTGAATCTAAACTATATTAAGTCTAATTCATGCTGGCTATAAAAGTTTATGATTTTTTAAGTCACCATTTAGAAAAAAATAATTGTCACAAAATACCTGTGTGCCCATAGATGCTGTAATTAATTTGCTGAATAAGCATGTACATGTTCCTACCTTATTACATTTTATTCTCCATTTATAGTACACATAAGAGAACTACAGGGAGTACCTCCAAAGTCATCAGTTTCTGACCTTGCACGGTAGGGAAAATGCATTTCAAACTGGGAGACTTAAGTTTAACAACCTTTTGTATCTGAGCACTAATGAGCAGTCAGTGGCTACCCTGGAGCCAACTGCCCCCTTCTGTGTCTGGGGCCATAAAACCTGAGTGCTCATGTGGCTGATGGTTTACTTGTTTTTGTTTTTCTTTAAGATCCCATCTCCAGGAAAATTTTTTTGACATAATTCATATAACCTATTTCATAGAAAATTTCTAACAGAGAACCCAGAATATGTAGATTCTTAATAAATGCTAGTTTTCCCCCTTGACATTTTCACAATCCATGGCAAATCACAATAGCACAAATATATGGAATCTACTTCTATCCTTAAATCTTATATAGCCCGGCTCACATCTGTAATCCAAGCACTGTAGGAGGCCAAGGTGGAAGTGTCACTTGAGGCCACAAGTTCGAGGCCACAAGTTCAAGACCGGCCTGCACTTAGGGAGAACCCTGTATCTACAAAGAATTAACAAATTAGCCGGGTGCGGTGGCTCATGCCTGTAATCCCAGCACTTTGGGAGGCCAAGGTGGGCGGATCACGAGGTCAGGAGTTCGAGACCAGCCTGACCAACATGGTGAAACCCTGTCTCTACTAAAAATACAAAAATTAGCTGGGCATGGTGGCAGGCACCTGTAATCCCATCTACTCTGGAGGCTGAGGCAGGAGAATTGCTTGAACCCAGGAGGCAGAGGTTGCAGTGAGCCGAGATCGCATCACTGCGCTCCAGCCTGGGCAACAGAGCGAGACTCTGTCTCAACAAATTAGCCAGGCATGGTGGTGTATGCCTCTTGCCCCAGCTATTTGGAAGGCTGAGGCAGGAGGATTGCTTGAGCCCAGGAGTTTGAGGCTGCAGTGAGCTATGATTGTGCCACTGCACTCCAGCCTAGGTGACAGAGCAAGACCCTGATTCAAAACAATAATACTAAATAAATGAAAAACCTCATACAGTTAACATATCAATTTCACTGAGTGTCATTCCCTACCTTTCTCTTTAATCTCTAGCTTTACTCTCAAAAAATAGTGAAATCATGGAGTGAAAATGATTTAAACTAAGAGCCAGCAAACTTATTTTTTCTGTAAAGGACCAGACAGGAAAGAGTTTAGGCCATATGGGATCTGTCACAACTACTCGGCAACATTCAACTCTGATGCTGTAACAGGAAAGCAGCCAGAGAGAGTCTGTAAACAAATAGATATGACTGTGTGCCAGTATGCTATATTCACAAAAATAGACAACGACCCCTATTTGGATTATAGTCTGCAGTTTGCTGACCCCTGATTTAAGTGAATTTGCCTTGATTTAGTAAAACTTCCATAGGATGTTATTGGCTCTATCTTAAAGTGAAGGAAGAAGGGAGGAAAAGAAAGAGGGAAGAAGATGAGTACAAGATGCAGAGAACCAGCTTCACAGGCAGACCACTAAGTGTGGTTACCTGGTGACCACGGGCTCTAGGTATTTTCATTCTTGTGTTTGGGGATTTACTATGATCACACTAAACTAAGCTGTCTTTGTTCTGCAGGTTAGAAAACACATTCTAACCTTCAAATAATGGGTGTGAGGCTGCCATTTCCAAAATATCAGCCTTCATGTCCTGTTTTAAGTAGTACTGAAAAAGCTGACAATGTCGGTATGTCTGAATAAGGATGTTTTTATAATTTTAGAAAGTAAAATGAAATATTTTAACAGGGCCTTCTCATTCAGTTCTGTCTTCAGGCTGGTGTGGTTACAGCAGAGCTGGCCACCAAAATACTTGGAGAAGAAGAATAGAAGAAAACTACTCACAGTCACCTTGCACTCTCTTAGCTAATTATATTTTGCAGAAATTGTCAAGTTCCCTTTCTGTTTTTAGTACTGTCCCGAAGACAACAGGGATTTTTTGGATGTAATCTGTCACAACTTCCCATTGTAAAAGCCCCAAACCATTGTCTTTTCTCTCTTATGAGTCCAAATAATGTAGTCTAGAACTAATAGTAAATGTTTTAATACACAGAAATCTAAAATTGTCTCTATGCCAACATTATTGAGTAAGAAAGCTATGCATGGCTGAGGATTTCATCAACCCTGGGATCACAAAAAGGTGATCACAGAGTGCATAGTCATTCTATTCAGGCAGTTCACCTACCTTAATCTTGTGACTGCACTTTCGCCTGACTCTTCCCCTCCATTCAATTCCAAAAAGCGTTTAAAAGCTAGTAAAACTACTGTCCTCAAATCATTAAGGAAAACTTTCAAAACAAGTGGAAGAAAACATTTGCTTTTACTTTATTGCCAGTGAAAATGTTTTCTTACTCTCCTTTTGGTAAATGCAAATGTCACTGATGATAATATGCCTTTTTGCCAATCAAGTTTCTACTTAGATCTGAATAGGAAGGAAAAGACAGGGAATGTAAAGTTAAAAGCTTAGCAGTCGATGAGAATGCGAGAAATGTCAGGAGTGTGTGCTGTACGGCTGGCAACACAGGTGGCCTTGCCGCTTGCCTGGCATATGGATCACGCTAAATAAGCTACACAGCCTAGCAAAGAATGTCATAGATAACAGTTGTAGTTATAGATTCTGTGAGCAAACTTTGACTATTACTCAGAGTTCATACTTGCTGCATTTCAAAGCTGAGATTGCACATTTATTCTGAAAATTCAGCTGTAATAACTCCATTTCAATGCTCTTGGCCACCTGTGATTGGTAGCTGGGTAGAACTGCGAAATAACGAATTGGTCATGTAGCGGGTAGGTGGTGGGGAGCAATGCAGAGGACTTAACAAATTAAATGTTGGAAACTAACTGCTTTACATAGAAGTGTTCCCCCATATCTAAACTTCCATAGTGCTTTGTATTTTTTATGATACTTTTTATTTTTAAATTACAATTAAACATACTGAGAGAGGACTATCTACTTGGGGGTTATTCAATAAATATTTCTCTAATGAACGATATGAACTCTTTCACAGGAGAGTGGCTTTTTTGTTTGCTTGTTTGTTTTGCGATGGAGTCTTTCTCTGTTGCCCACACTGGAGTGCAGTGGCACAATCTCGGCTTACTGCAACCTCCACTTCCTGAGTTCAAGTGATTCTCCTGCCTCAGCCTCCAGAGTAGCTGGGATTACAAGCATGAAACACCATGCCTGGCTAACTTGTATTTTTGCAGAGATGGGGTTTCACCATGTGGGCCAGGCTGGTCTCAAACTCCTGGCCTCAAGTAATCCGCCTGCCTCGGCCTCCCAAAGTGCTGAGATTACAGGCGTGTGCCACCATGCCTAGCCAGGAGAGTGTTCTTGACCCTAAAAACCTGCCTCTTAATAAATAGAATTGATATGAACAAGCATCAGGGGATCTTGAAAATGAGTCTTAAAACAGGCTACATGGCTGATATTTTGGAAGATTCCTGTCTTTTCCCTCAGATCTTAACAGTACCTGAAATTCTATTAGATCATTCTTCTGTGATGCCTCCTAATTTTCATATTCCAGAAACCCTTGTGAAAACACAGCCAGCTTGACCAAGTTGCTATGGGAACAGATTCATGAGATGGGAAGAGATCCATGAGATATGGGCAGATGAGTAGAGGGGAGGCCGCCACAATGGAAGAAAGGATTCCAAAATGGAAAGCAGCAGATAAATGATGTCTTATTAACAGTTTTTCCCAGTGCCCTCCTCAATAGTATATTTGTTTGAACATGTATAAGCACTTGCCAGGGAAAACATATTTCTTATTGGTCTGCTAGTTAAAATGTTTCAAACACACTTCAGATTTGAGAGTTAATGGGTTATGGTGTAAAAACCGTATACGTGAAATTCCTCATATCTCATGCCTGACATGCTGTGCTATAATTTGTTTCCCATGAAATCTTTTAACAGGGCCTTTAATGAGAAACAGAATCTTCTCGCATTGAGGTGCTATCTTTTCATTTCCTCTGTCCATCCTATTAATTGGATGCAAAGGAACAGTGAGATGGCCAGAGGGCCGAGGAAAAGGATGGAGGAAGGCCCCAAGGCAGCTTAGCAATCTGTTTCTGAATAACTGTTGCGAAATCACTTGAGGTAGGAGAGTCCTAGAGCCATGTTCCTTTAAAGTGAAGGAAGAAGGGAGGGGAAAAAAAAGAGGGAAGATGATGAGTACAAGATGCAGACAGAGCACCAGCTTCACAGGCAGACCACTAAGTGTGGTTACTTGGTGACTGTGGGCTCTAGGTATTTTCATTCTTGTGTTTGGGGATTTACTATGATCACACTAAACTAAGCTTTCTTGGTTCTGCAAGTTAGAAAACACATTCTAACCTTCAAATAATGGGTGTGAGGCTGCCATTTCCAAAAAATCAGCCTTCGTGTCCTGTTTTAAGTAGTACTGAGAAAGCTGACAATGTCATTATATCTGAATAAGGATGTTTTTATAATTTGAGAAAGTAAAATCCTAGGAATGATTTATCTAATTTATGAGAGAATATTTTAAGTGATTAACTATTTCCTTTTATTTACGTGTCAAGTTTTATTACCTGGTTCTAGAAACCAGATGACTCTTCTAAGAAGAATGATTGGATAGGGAGATAGTATTATACATCGGTCCTTGTAGTCAAAAATACAATGAAGCCCATATCAGGTTTTTTTGGTTCTGGTCCAGTGTGGATTTATACAGGGTCCAAAATTTAAAAAGCCCTTGCAGTGAAGCCAGAGGGACCCAACACAGCAAAGTGGTAGAGGTTTGGGCTTCATTTTGTCAAAGCCAGTGATTCATGAAACTGCCCGCTAATATGAAGCTGAACATAGACAGCTCTGGGACACGTTTAGCCATGAACAAGCTGTATATGGTTTGTAAGTGGCAGGTGCCCATCCTAAAGGCAATATGGAAAATAAGCTTTTTATGTTCCTCCAAGAGAACTAAAGTTATGCTCCCACTGTGGGCTCCAGGGGATGCTGACAAGGGGTGTCGCATTTCTTCTAGGCAGTGGGTGTGTGTGTGCTAGGTTTTGAAGGAATAGATTTCCTTCCTATAAACTAACGTTTTCAGAAAAGACAGGCATGCCAAAACCCGTTTATAGCCTAAATAGTCCCCTTCACAAGTGCTGTTTCAAATAGTACTGAAAAAAGTTAACAATGTCAGTACATCTGAATAAGGATGTTTACATAATTTGAGACTGTAAAATCCTAGGAATGATTGTATCTAATTTATTAGTGTCCTTCAAGTGATTAACTATTTCTTTTCAATTATTTGTGAAGTTTTATCGTCTTTTCATTTCCCAAATTGAGAAACTGTCATAGGCTTATCCTGTCAGGAATGAAACTGGAGAATTGAAAACAGGGACTATAACCGACTTTGTTCTCATTTGGCAACAGACAGTCCTCAAGGATCCAGGGCTCTCATACATTTCCAAAAAAAGAATTCTTGCTTTTTTCCAAGAACCAGATAATGAAATAGGTAAAAGGATAATGATGAGGGAAATTTTATTGCCAAATTAATTGGCCTGAAATAATTAATGCACCACTTTTAGAACAAGGCAGACTGGAACTCAGCATGTTTTCAGGTGCCCATGTCCTTCCCTTTCGGGTTTTCCATGCCAGCTTCCTCTCACTGGAAGATACTGGGGGACAGCAGGAACTATATAGTGCTCATCTCTTGCTTAGTCTTTAAAAATGCAGCACTGGCTTACTTTATCCTGTAGGCTGCTTTGCTGTTTGTTGACTACCCAGTGAAATTCAAGTTTGGGGATGAAAGCTTGATGAATGGGTCAAATGCTTATGGTGTGTTCAATTACTGCTCTTGAGGATAAATGGCTTTTCTCTTCTATTTGCATTTAAAGAAGCATATGGAGGGTTGGTTTTGGTCACATAAGAGGCCTTCATTAAATTAGACAATTAAAATGATAGCAGAGATATTAATATTTTTCCATTATGACTATGTTTCAATTCCCTATCTGGTGCTATATAGTAGGATTATACACTGTAATGATGTTTTCCAGTTTATTATAGGCAGCTTAACTTTGTTTTTACTTTTTGTACTGACAAACTACTCAAAAATTTTTTTTTTTTTTTTTTTGAGACGGAGTCTCACCCTGTCACCCAGGCTGGAGTGCAATGGCACCATCTAGGCTCACTGCAACCTCCACCTCCTGGGTTCAAGCAATTCTCCTGCCTCAGCCTCCCAAGTAGCTGGGATTACAGGCGCCTGCCACCACAGCTGACTAATTCTTTGTATTTTTAGTAGAGACGGGATTTCACCATGTTGGCCAGGCTAGTCTTGAACTCCTGACCTCATGATCCACCCTCCTCGGCCTCCCAAAGTGCTGGGATTACAAGCGTGAGCCACCGCACCTGGCCCAGAAGATCTTTTAAAAATACTCTTTTTAGTAGCTAAATTAAAAACAGTGGCCAGGCATGGTAGCTCACATCTATAGTCCTGGCACTTTAAGAGGCCAAGATGGGACAATCACTTGATCTCAGGGAACTCAAGGTGAGCCCTGGCAACATTGTGAGACCCCATATCTACCAAAAATAATTTTTTAAAAAAATTAGCCGGGCATGGTGATGCTCACCTGTGGTCCTAGCTACTTGAGCGGCTGAGATGGGAGGATCACTTGAGCCTGAGAGGTCAAAGCTGCAGTGAGCTATGATCGCACCACTGCACTCCAGCCTGGGTGACAGAGTGAGACCCTATCTTGGAGAAAGAAAAAAAAAAAAGAGTCATATGTAAGTAATGTAAGTAGCAACATTTTTTAAACAGTTAAACTTGCTGCCCTCACGTCACAGGTACAAGTGTTCCCTTCTATTTGAAAGTGTTGGGCAAAAGCCGAAATTCTGAAATTATTGCATGAACCTGGGTTGAAGTGACTTCTTTGCTAAGAATATGGGGCCGCAACTCAAATGCAATCCCCTAGTATATTTTTATATGAAATTTATTCTCACAAGCAGTCACGGGAAGAGCTTACAGCTTGCAAATAGGTAGACTGTCCTCCTGGTACCATGGTTCTGAGTAACTGAAATAAAAGCTTTGTTATCTGGAATTTTGAATGAAAGTGAGGCCCTTACAGACTCAGAACGCTGAGCTGGGCGGACTCCAGCTGGAAGTGCAAGGTGCCCTTGGTAGCTCTTCAGTGTACCTCCCCAGGGCTAAGACAGAGCCTGAGCCCTGTGCCTTCCTTTCCATTGCTGTTATCTAATCTCTTTGTTAACTGATGGAGGATTTAGATGTGCTAGTCCCTAAAATATTTGCATTTGAATACTCAGGGATTTGGGAAGATCTGAAAGCTTTCACAGTCCTAAAGAAAGGGTGGTATCTCTAGCCACTTTTCCTTTTCATAAAATTAGCCCTGTGTTGCAATAATTTATAAAGACCTATAAGGCAGAATTCTATCATGGTTCCTCAATTCTCTACCCCACCTTTATACCTCCAAAAAAGAAAACAGAAGGCTCAATAACTATTTCCAAAAATCCTCAAATCTAAAGTTTTATTATTTTAACAAGGTTATTAGTTTAAAGATGTATTCTGAAAATTAAGATTCTATAAAAAAATTTGCTTTTTAACTCATATACACCATTGTAAGTTGGCCTATGTCTAGCATAGGCCAACTGAAATTGGTAAGGTCAAGATTCAGAAGTTTCCAGTTCTGCCCTGGCTTCTACATAATGCATGGGCTTTTAATTGAAGCCAAGGGATGGTGATAGAGAAGTCTCTGAAAGATAAAATTAATCATGGTAATAAAACAAATCCCCTGGAACTCAGGTGTATAGAAAGCATTTAAGCTCAAGAAAACAAAATTAAATTTAATAAACCATTAGTACTCAATGAACTTACATAGATGAATGTATTCGGCTGTCTTCTCCTAAGCTTTAATCTGCTTGTCCCTGTATTTTACAGTTTATCTGTGCTCACTCAGAGTTCCAAAGGAAAAGATAAAGTTATTGAGTCTATAGGGCTGGGGAAATGAATTGAAGACAAAATAATGCTAAAGTAAATTCCTAAAATTTAGAGATTAGATTGTTTAGGCCAGGCACGACAGCTGAGACTTGTAAACTCAGCACTTTGTGAGGCAAAGGCGGCTGATTACTGGAGGCCAGGAGTTCGAGACCAGCCTGTGCAACATGGCGAAATCCTGTATCTACTAAAAGTACAAAAATTAGCTGGGCATGGTGGCACACACCTGTAATCCCTGCTACTCGGGAGGCTGAAGCATAAGAATTGCTGAAACCTGGGAGGTGGAGGTTGCAGTCAGCCGAGATCATACTACTGCACTCCAGCCTGGGAGACAGAATGAGACTCTGTCTCAAAAATAAAATAATTAATAAAAAATAGAGAGTAGCTCGTTTACATCTGCATATTATATAACATCTTAATGACACTGCAAAAAATAAATCTTAGTTTTCAGAATTACCTCCATTGATCAGAATTTGAAAAGGCTATAACAAAAGGTTCCCTGGAGTCAATGCATAAAAAAGTTAACAATCTGAAGCATCTAAGATGAGGGTAGTAAGCATTCACTTCCTTAAAAATTTGTCAAAGAAAAAAATAGTTTCATTTTCAGGCATCTGTCTGAATATTCAGGATTACTATTTTTGCTAATGTTCTGGTTCCATTAAAAAAAAAAATCAAACACACTCAGGAAATTGCTTAAAATCAACTATTGCTGTGAATTCTGTTTTGTAGTACTGTATTAACAATGTTCCCTGAATGGTGTGTGCATTTACCTGCCGGTGCCCAAATGCACCAGCATTATGATGAAGAGAAATGGGTCACGTAGATTAGGATCCAAATAATTTCACAAGGAGATGAGATGGATACATGGCAAACCAATTTCATAAAATCATAATGCATTTGCACACATGTAAGCAGCAAAATAATTCAACTATCTTTGAGAAGTAACCTATTGCATTGAGATTTTAGGTATATATATATATTGAGATGAAGTCTTGCTCTGTCGCCCAGGTTGGAGTGCAGTGGCGTGATCTTGACTCACTGCAATCCCTGCCTCCTGTGTTCAAGCGATTCTTGTGCTTCAGCCTCCCAAGTAGCTGGGAGTACAGGCACATGCCACCATGCCTAGCTAATTTTTATATTTTTAGAAGAGATGGGGGTTTCACCATGTTGGCCAGGCTGGTCTCAGACTCCTGACCTCAGGTGATCTGCCCACCTCGGCCTCCCAAAGTGCTGGGATTACAGGCATAAGCCACCACGCCGAGCCTATATATTATTCTATTGTAAACAGATAAATGTAGTTTAATAGTGTGAGAAACACACTCACCCGTCCAAACCCAAAGAATAGACTCAGAGGCACAAAGAACAGAGAAAGTAAGACTTTTAATAGCAGTCTTGCAAGATCGGGTGTCTGGTAGGCAGGCATACCCAGGGCAGCTACAGCAGGTAATTTATCTCCTAGTACACAAGTCCCTCCTCCAGTTCCTCATTGGCCAAGTACTATGGGAACAATCTTCCTGGACGTCACCTAAGTTTTATTATCCCCCTTATAAGGTTATACCCTCTCATCTTCCCTGCTTAAGTTTTGATTTCGCAATAATGAAACTTTCTTCCCTGTTACTGGCTGACCCCTCCTCTACATTCTGTTCACTTACTGCGACCTTCTAGGTGCATGAGCTGTGTGGTTTGTTACATTTGTAGTACTTACATTTATAATGCCTTGAAAATGGCATTTAAAATGCCATTTAAATGTTTTCTCACAATAGGATGTCTGTTAACTGCAAAGCTGATTCTACTATTTTTAATAAGGCCAATATATTCTTCTATGTATATATTAAAATTAAATGGAATTTGAGATTTATGTTGTGCTGAATGTGCTTGTGCAAATTCAAAGAATAAATTTAAAATTTGCTTTGGGGAGCACATTTCACTTGCTACAATATGCTCAGAGACCTGTGCCAGGAGAGTTAGGTTTCTGCCTCTTTTGATCATTTAGCTTCGTTTAGCCGTGGGTGCCTATTCCACAAATCAGGACATTTGCAGAACTTTTCAGAACCATGTGACTGGCAGGAGTCATTCTCCAGCCCTTCTCTTTCTTGAGGCAGGTGTACTCACCAATATTTTTAATATTGTGTTGAGACAATGATTCATTAGAAGCCTCAAAACCTAGTTTGTATGCCTCTCTAAAGGTTCTGTTATTGCGTTTTTATGCCCTGGTGTTCCTGTCATGTCTTGAAATGTCAAAGATCCCCAAACATTTACCTAGGATAAAGTTCTCAGAGTGCCTGAGGCAGGACATAGAGCTAGAGATTCAGCAACTTTGGCCATCTAGTTGCTTATTTCAAATGCAGGAAGTTCAGCCTGATCTTCTTTCAAATCACTACTAGCTATGGAAACCTACTTTAGGTTACAAGACAGACAGCAGAGGAGCGAGGTCAGCATGGTGGCCTGCAGGCCACATTTGGCCCACCACCTGCTTGTATACAGCCCATGAGCTAAGGATGGTTTTCGCATTTTTAAATGGTCTGAAAAAAAATCAAAAGAGTAATATTGTGCCACATATGAAATCTGTGTGACAATCAATCAAGTATCAGTGTGCCACATAAAGTTTTATTGGGACACAGCCACGCTCATTCACTTAACATATTGTTTCTGTCTGTTTTTGCAATACCAAGGCAGAGTAGAGTAGCAGCAACACGGACCACATGTGGCCCCGAAAACCAAAAACATTGACTATCTGGTCATTTACAGAGAAAGTTTGTCAACCCCTGGTATAGAATAGAGTGTTAACTTTTAAGGTAGTAGGCTCACAAAGATTCTAGTCATTCCCATAGGGCAAAAGTTCATCGTTGTTTGATAGCAAATACAAAATGTAACTATAAATCCTTAATAAGGAGAAAGTACTGCTGCTTTTTTGTTGTAGCTGTTGTTTTTGAAACAACAATAGAGATCATAAAGAATCATTTACCCATGCTAGAAACAAAAGAATGTCCATGGTCATCATTCTCATGATGGACATAAAAGAAGATTGTCACACAGGTGACCCAGAGTCCACTCAGGCCTCGTCTCTCCATTTGCCTCTCTCCCAGCTGTTCCTTCAGTGTGCCTTCTACCTGGGTTTTGGTGACAGTGTTTATAGGAAGATATTGCAACTTTCCCTACAAACATCTCTACATGACAAGGAACAAGTGCCAATATTCAAAACAAAGTTGTTCGGTTTTTTTGTTTGTTTGTCTTTTTTTGAGACAGGGTCTCACTCTGCTGCCCAGCCTGGAATGCAGTGGTACAATCATAGCTCTCTGCAGCTTTGAACTCCTGGGCTTATGTGATCCTCCTACTGGAACCTCCTGAGTAGCTGGGACTACAGGTGTGCACCACTGCACCCTGGCTAATTTATTTTATTTTTGTGGAGACAGAAGTCTTGCTATGTTTTCCAGGCTGGTCTTGAACTCCTGGCCTCAAGTGATCCTCCCGCCTGGGCCACCACACTCAGCCAAAACAAATTTCTTAAATAAGAGGAACTAAGATCCCTTCAACTACTTAAGCAAGATTTGCTTTGCCATTTCTATTAGTATAGCAATGAATAACCATTAAAGAAAAAAGAAAAGGAGGAAGGAAAGAAAAACAAAAAGAAAAACTAGAGAGAATGTTTTTAAGCCGGCCTTTTCTATTTCACAATTAAAGATGTCTATTAGTGGAACATACTTGTAGTGCTGTTTGGCAACCAACTGACTGTAAACAGGATCTTAAGACCTTTGAATAAAACAGCACTTTATTCACTCAGAATTGCTGTGTGTGTGTGTGTGTGTGTGCGTGCATGCATCTGTGGCTCTTATAAATGGCAACGCGTCCTTAAAAGCTTGTCTGTAGTCTGAATGCTCCACTCTACATCAGTCGTCTTTGTGACCATAAGCTGGGTGTGGTAAGGGAAAGTAATACCATCCTCAAAATAGGAAATACTTGGCTGGCTCTGGAAAATCTTTTCAACTCATCAGAATTTTACCAGAGATGACATTTCTATCCTTACTGTAAAAGTCCCTATGAAGAACAGTGACCTGTAATCTTTTGTGTTGTCTTTGTCTTCGTCATAGAAAAGTTACTGTCCTAAAGCTTACCATGCTTTTACTGAAGACAGCATGCCATCTTAAAAAGCACTGTAGGAATCAATTACTTGGCTGAAGAATGTTGAATAAACACCTATCATAGTATTATCATAAGTGCTGTAGCAGTTTCAGAAAATCAGTAGATATGATCCTTACCCTTCAGGTGTTTGTGGTCAAATTGGGAAGGCAGAAAACACACACACGCACACACACACACACACACACGAAATAGATAAGCATCTTATTCACATGAAAGTTAAGTACAAACATAAAAAGAGTTCAGAGAAGACATAAATCATTCTGGGAAAAGAGGAGATGAGAATTGAACCATTGGACACAGCCAAACACCACTGGGATTTCGAACCATTGAGACACACACAAAAAACTGAACCATTTTTTCCCGAGACAAATCTACCCTTGTTCGTTCTTCCTCTTTCTTGCCCCTTGTAGTAGAGAGGTATCAATGAGCATAATTAAACTTGTCTATTTGTGGGTGTGTATGATCTTGATAAAGAGGAGAAAGGGACGAAGTGGACCTTTCTAGTGAACTGAATGGATTAAATTAAAGCAAGAAGCAAAGTGTTACCTAACTCAGGGTCAGTGGCTCAAAGAGCAAAATAAGACTGAGTGGGAGAAAAGACTATATATATATATATATATATATATATATATATATATATATATATATATATGAGATAGGGATATCCATATCTAGCTATGGATATTTATATCAATATCCATAGCTAGATCAAGGCCAGACCAAGGAAGTCATTGAAGACAACTAGAGTAGATATTTCATGACTGAGGAACTAGAATGCAGAGTATATTCGAGTTTTGAAAAACTAAAGATTTTGCTGTGATTTAGACCATAAAGTGACAGAGTATAAATTAGGTATAGGTAGTAAACATGGAGAGCAACGGAGAAGCTGATGAGTACGTTAAAAAGAAAAAAAATATAAAAGGAAGAATCAAAAACAAATGGTCTAGTGTGAGAGATTAGAAAGATGGTTATAAATACTGGGATACTTGTTCTAGTTAGAAGAAGGACCAGTTTGGAGGCACGGAGACACCAGTTTCTGATGCATTGCGTTTGTGGAGCTAGAGGCATCTGTAACTGGAACAATCCCAAGGCCATTTAGAGATCTGTAATTAGCTCACATTAACTTAAAGATTGGAGGTATAGATTTACAATACTATCTATGTTGTTTGATAACTACTCCATTTAGCATATAAGCCCACTGAGGAAGGAAAGAACAACAAGAAATCAAAGGTAAAACCTTGAAAGCTCTTATGTTTGCCAAAGTAGAGAGGGGTCAAATATTTTGAAAAAATAGGAATGAGTGAAAGTATGACATAAACTAATGAAATAGAGCATGTCAAGGGGATAGTCAAGAAGAAAACACACACACACACACACACACACACACACACACACAGAGTTCAAGGAAAGTGAGGACCCAAAAGACTTGGGGCCAAACATGGTGTCTCATACTTGTAATCCCAACATTTTGGGAGGCTGAGGCAAGAGGATCACTTAAGCCCAGGAGGTCAAGGCTGCAGTGAGCTGTGACTGTGCCATTGCACTCCAGCCTGGGTGACAGAGCAAGACCCTGTATCTAAAACAAACAAGAAAGACAAAACAAGACTTGGGAGATAAGGTTATTGGTAACATTCCACAGCACAGTTTCAACTGAGTGCTGGGATACAAATTAGACTGCCCCAGACCTGCCTTACTATAGCTTTTTATCCCTACTATAATAACATCTATTAAAATTCATTTTTAATTCTCTTATGGTGATCAGTGTTTATTCCTTTATTTTCATGTTTCGTTTTGTTCTTTGTGTTTAACTCTCTCCATCTAGGAATTTATCTTATTTCGCTACACAAAGTAGCCCATCTGCTGTCATTTTGAACCTGTGGGAAGCTCGTCATCAGCATGATGGTGATCTTGACTCCCTGGCCTGTGCCCTTGAAGAGATTGGGAGGACACACACGAAACTCTCAAACATTTCAGAATCCCAGCTTGATGAAGCCGACTTCAACTACAGCAGGCAAAATGGACTCTAGTCCACTTCCTCCCATGAGACAGAGTGATGGCCAGCTTGGGGACATTTGCTTTAAATGGGAAAGAGGCCGCTTTCTGCCCAGTGGCGTTGGGGGAATTCAGCCTTCATTTATAATCAGTGAGATTCCCCTGTTGAAGAAACTAAATTTTATATAGGTAAAACATGTTAATAGGGAAGAGTACAAGCTCTCTTACATATAAGAGGGCTCTACTATCTCCTTGGAATCCACATTTGGGTTAACTCCTCAGATTTGGAGTGGCAAGGATAAAAGTGAGGGCAGAAGTAGCTGTGGGAAAAGATGAGCTATGATAATGCTGGGAAGGCAGAGATTGATTAAGTGCATGCTTTGAAATAGGTTTTTAATGATGTGCCCCAAAGGGCCAGCTGATTCTGGTACTAGATTGTCAGAGTTTTCTACCAACTGGCATCTGTGATGTCAGAGATCATTGTAAAAATGGCTTTTAGACGTGAAACAGGGTTGCCAACCCATTTGTATGACTTCAACAACGTCAAGGAGGGCATTTAGAATTTAGAATCTGAGCACATCACACCAGCACCAGCTCCCTGTCTCTTCTAGCCACTTAATGGAGACACAATGGAGAGGTAAGACAGACCACAAACTAGTTCTTATAGTGTACTCCACCTTTTACTTTTTTCCTGAGACAAATCTACCCTTATTCTTTCTTCCTCTTCCTTACCCCTTGCAGTAGGGAGGTATCAAGGAGCATAATTAAACTTGTCAATACGGAAAGTTGTTTTTTCTAACACAACAAAGTGGGACCATCTCTATTCCCATCTAAGCCACTCAAATTGCTGAGTGCTATTAGAACACAGCTTATTACATGGATATGGGGACAGGAGAGATTAAAGCAGGTTCAAAAACACATGAACTGCAGATGCCATAGGCCTCAAATCAGCTGTAATTCTAGGAGACACGTGTTGATCTAGTTATCTAACATTGTTGTTATAAGAAAATGAGTTTACTGCATTTTTCAATCCAGATTCTTGAAATTGTCTAACATGTGGGTACTGTGTCATCACAAAATCTCTCAGTAAGGCTATATGTGATCCTCATTTTGCCTCTTGGGAAATTAGCAGATAGTCTTTGCTCTAAATGATATCTGAGTAAATAGACTTGAGGAATCCTCTACCACAGTGTCCCTGAAACCACATGCATCATTCAGGAAGCCTTCACCCTGTGACTATTCAGCCTCCCTGAATATGCTTTCTCTATAGAACCACTAACATATGGCTATTGCTCTATGATTTTTTTTTTTACATTAGGAGGCAGTGATATTGTGGAAGATTGAAATCCACAGATAATTCATGACCCTCATCTTATCACTTTACTCCATCTTTTTATCCTATTAAATTATTTTTGACAAGATGTCCTGGTAGACTAAAGGTGAACAGATTTGCTCTTGCTCATCTTCTGGTGGATATTTTAACTTGCTATTCACAATCAGGACAACCAAAGTCAAGGACCCAGATGAACCACAAGGCAGCTAGTCAGCTACTTAGAGGTTGGTTACATTCGAATAAAAAGTAGTCAGGGAATGGGGGAGGTGGGGAGTTGGGGAGTACTTGGCAGTTGGGATATGATCCATTTTTTTAAACAAGTTTTTTGTAGATCCCTTGTAAAATAATAATAATAATGTTGTGAATCTCCATGCCAAGTGAAAAAGGCCTAAAGATGAGTTGAATTTGTGATACCATGGGTAAGGCATGGAAGAACTCTTGAATGTGTTGGCCATTTTCTCTAACTAACATGTGGTATGTATGGTCCCCTATATTAGATAGAAGTCTTTGCTACATGTAATTCAAAAGCATCTCGCTTTTCTCAGGAACCAAAGGCTTATGATGTAGGACAAAGAAATCATCTTAGAACTGTCAAGCATATTTTCACAATACCATGTCAAGATCAGGAAAACACCCTTTTGCTAGTGTGCTTAACTTATTTATTTCTTCTAGGAAACAATAGATAAACAGCATGAAAATGTAAATCATCTGGCATCACTGATAGAATTTCTGAAAGAGAAAGAGAAGTAGATGGTCAACCAGTCACTAGTTGGTTGGCATGAGGTGGTGTGCAGAGGAAAGCTGCATTCACTATTGAGTAAAAACTTGTAGAAAGCACATTATAGAGCTTATGTTGGAATCCATCTTGGAGGATTTTTGTTTTAAACTGTCTTTAGCATTTTCCCTCTTCCCTTCTAATGGGCATTATAATTGTTTCATCTACTCTGTGAATCTACATAGGTCTTTTTTTTTAGATGTTTGATACATTTTAAGTATTTTTAAATAGATGAAAATTCTAAATGATTTTCCCTCAAATCTATCTAGATTATTTTAAGATGAGACAAGATTATTGTCAATCCCTGAATGTCTGGAGTTACCTCCCATGGATTTTTTTTTCCTTTGGCCTGGGTTTTATAAACAACTTGAACATCATATCATATAGGATAACAAAGGAGGAAGTTAACTTAATTCACCTCAGACTTCAGCCTAAGATTCAATCAAATTCATCCTTCAGCCTGTCTTGTTTCTTCTTTATGTTTCTTTTACTTATTGCTGCTAGGATCCTACATAGGATTTCTATAGAAATGTATGAAATTCTGTGGTCACTGCATGTCAGGATTGCACAGTATGTTACAATACAATTTCAAAGAGAACCCACATTTGTGAGATTTACAGACCAAGGTGTGGTGGAGGAGGTAGAATTGCAGATCAGATAAAAAGTGAGCTTACACTTGAACTTAGTTATTCACTGTGACCTAAATTTAGTCCTATTGTAATATGTGCCTGTCACAACACAAATACCCCTCTTGAAAGAGATTTACTCATCTATCCAAGCACTTAATTTGGAAATTTTATTGTCCTATTGCAAAATGAAACAAAATTAAAAGTGGCCTCGAGTACTTGGTAAGTTACTTAAAATTTTTACAAAAATATCCCACTCAATGCCAAATCTTTCAGTCCTCAAAGGCATTTAAGTCCAATAGTCATGCTTTAAATATGGCTTTAAATTATGCCACCAAAATGGTGCACTTCACAGATTCACCAGACTGTAGCATCATAAAGTTAATTTACAGTTTTTACAACATTGCTTCTACATTCTTACTGGTTTACATTAAAATCCTTTAAGCCAAAAGGAAGCTTGCTCTATGGATTTAAATGCAAACTTCATTTACCAGTGCAGGAAGTCTCATAAAACTCAGATGTACTCCCACAAAAATTTTATTGGCCTTTTTGTAAGAGATGAAAAAGAATTGACACAGTTCTCTTTAAAGAGAAGAACTTTTTTATTATTATTTTTATCTCCAACTGCAGGTGGTGTCTTTTGCCAAGGTCTCTGTATTTTTCTTTCAGTTGTCTTTGGGAGGGGATGTTAAGTCAAATCACTAAAACAGGGTTCTCTTTGGATTAAAAGTTCTGGATTTATTGCAACTATTTTCCTTGAGAAACATTCTCAGCATCAGGATTGATAAACAAATGTAGATGATTAAAATAGGATAATTGGTTTTAGATAATATCTTCTACTGCCAAACTTCTGGCAAATTTACCTGTGAATTTCAAAATGTTATAAAATCTCTTGATATGCTTTTGTTTTTCCTTTTAGCCATTTTCTCTTCAATTTCTTAGTCCCTCTGCCCTCTGTAAATGTGTTGAGTGATATAGCTATCAGATGTATTGAAGGCAAAGTTCTCGCAGAGGTCTCTGTTCCAGCTCTGTAAAGGTCACAGGAATCGTGAAGGAGCTGAGAAATCTTCCTCTCCGGCCCACTGTCTGTGGCCCATTGTCATTGTTTCCTCATGAAACATTGCAGAGTTTGAATCCTCAGTAACTCTCATTGACTGGATTAGAGGTGATGGCCACAGCAAATGGGAGAGCAAAATGTTGGCCTACAGAGAATGACACAATTTTATTCGCCTTTGGTGTTAGTTGCCATAGTGCTGTATTTGAAAATCGATGCTTTAGCCAAAAGCTGAATGACCACCGTTTCCGTAGTTTCCACTGTTTTGTCTGCATAGAATTTTCCTGAACTACAAGCAAAAATGTATTTTGTCCAATGTCACAAAAGTGAAAATGTTACTAATCTTAGATGTGTTGCATATTTTGTGTTTTTACGTTCCAAACTCTTTCAAAAGCTGCCGTTACAAAGCTGTTTGGCTGTATTGACAGCATGTGGTGTTTTTACAAAAGCAATTCTAGGAGAGCCAGTGTCTACCATGAACTCCTGACATCCCCACTCCAGGGTCATTCATGACATTGAAATGGCAACTTGTACACTGTAATTCTTCGAAAAGTAACAGGGGATGGAAATCAGACCTGGCCGTTAGTCACTAGTGTGTAGTACCGTGATCTGAAGTAGGAAATTTAACTGACATAGAATAATTGTGGTTTTTGAAGCAGCTACTCATTGCTTTTTCCTTTTGCTGTGAAGATCATGGATTGGGAATGTCCTCGTGAGGTGGACCTAAGGCAGTAACATTTAAACTTCATGTCCTAGCACCCGCCCTCCATCTGACCCAAAGATAAAAAAGGCATCAAGCTTCATGGTTATGCCTAAGCTTAAAAATTCCCTTCCCCACTACTAATATTGAGTTCAGCAGGGCCCCATCTTACTTATTTTTCAAAAAAGTTATAGCTTTGAATTATAGACTATATTACTAAATTTGGTAAGGTAGTTCTTTGCATGAATGGGAATGTGTGTCAAAATACTTTCACAAAAGGCATGATTACAATGGAAATGCCCCTTTGCCTCCAGTTTTGCTAACCCTAAAAAGTATTTCACTAATTTCAAGCACTGTTTACACTCAAATCCCAAAATTGGCCAAATTATATAATTCTCTTAAATTTTCATTTCTGTAGGTGGAGATTTAACTATGGTTCTGGTGAATCATAGAAGGGAGAGACAATATTTGAGGGGAGTTTATCAGCAGAATATCATGCCTTATGACCCCATTACTGAAACACAGACATTACAATCAGAAATAGACCTAATAATTCCAATATCCCTCCATTAACTAGTTCCAGTGATGCTGAGAGACACAGCACCCTGTGCCAGGTATCAGAAATATAAGCCTCAGCAGAGGGTAACTGAAAACTTTCAATCAGAAACACTCTCCAAGGCTTATGGCTAGATTATGTAGGTCACTACCATTCAAAACTTTTCTATACAAAGGTGGAAAAGCACTCAGAATCTGGGAATTTTCTGGTTGGAAGAACAATGTTCTCCTTTTCCAAATTGGAATAAAGACTCAGAATTACCCATTCTTCATAATCATGTCTGATTGGTACATACACTCCAGGAAGTCTCAACCTAGAAACATTTCCAACCTAAGCATTTAAAGGAAAACTGGCTCATTCTTCTGACCCAAACTCAAAAAATATGAGTACTTGCGTACCTCCATTTCTGCATGAAGATTTTAAAACAGATTTCATTTTTTTCTGTTTATTTTGGGAAGGTGCGTGGGGGTGTTCTTTCAAGTGATTCACATCTCAAACCCATACCACTCTCAACTTTTATTTGATGTGTTCAAAGCCAAAAAATAAAATAAAATAAAGCAGGGCTGAACACTTAATTTGACATGAAGCTGAAGGACTGAGCAAGCCAGAGGAGAGAGGTTGAATGAAGCATAGCCTTGGCTTCATACCACACTTTTTGTGCCTTGTATTATCAATGTAAATTCTGAATGTTGTACAGTAAACTTGGATGGACTTCTTAGAAAAGGCTGCACTGGCTTCTTTTTCAGCACATGTACATATCTATAAATATATATACATATATATTTGGTAATGCCAAACAGCTCTGTTATATTGTATTGAACAAAATGGACGGTTTGGATGTTTTATGTCGAGTTTGCAAAAAAAAAAAAAAAAAAAAAAACTGGATGGTTGCAGACTTTTCAAGATAAATGTACAGACGTAAATTACTGCATATCAGTTATTTATGAATAAAGAGTCTTTTATTGACATTTTAGGATACTACATGAGTGGCACTTTGAAATCTCGATGAGGATGAGATTTGTATACCTCCTGCCATGTCCTAGCAGGAGATGGAATGCTCTCCGAAAGGACAATTTCCAAATACCTGTTAACATATGGAACCAAATTTCTTGCTCAAGCCTTGAGAGTGAGGCAGTGTTGTGAGGCTACTGGAAGCAAGAAGATTGTCTTCTAACATTCCCACCCCAGCCAGTAACCATACACACACACACACACACACACACACACACTTCCTTAGGATATAGTTTCATACAATCCAAGGTCATCATAGCCATACCATAACTGGAATACTGGAATACCAATCACCTTATTCCTCAAAATGCTTGGGCTATTTTTCCAGACTGTACAGAACATTTTCTGCCCTTCTGTGGGAAAATGTTAATAGTTACATTGTTGTACATTCCAAAGACATGTGGCTGATTAAACCTGCTTTAAGAGGTTTTAAAATGCTGAGAGCTCCCCCAAATTTACTCATAACTACTTAGAGAACAGGCCAGAGCCAGTTGAACTAGAATGTTCCACCCAAAGATGGCTTCTGGTCTATTTAAACTAGTTAGTTATAATTTTTAAAAAGGTCAAAAGTTGATTTAAACCGGTTTTTTAAAAAATACCATTTCCATATAAAAACATTTATTTTTTCAAATTAAGTTTTAAAAGCTATGAAGTAAAATGAAATATTCTCTACACTACGCTTTTGAAAACCTTTATGTATATGATGGCCAGGCGCCATGGCACATGCCTGTAATCCCAGCAGTTTGGGAGACCAAGGCAGGCAGATTACTTGAGGTCAGGAGTTCAAGACCAGCCTGGCCAACATGGTGAAGCCTCGTCTCTACTAAAAAAAAAAAAATACAAAAATTAGCTGGCCGTGGTGGCACATGCCTGTAATCCCAGCTACTTGGGAGGCTGAAGCAGGAGAATCACCTGACCCAGGAGGCAGAGGTTGCAGTGAGGCAAGATCATGCCACTGCACTGCAGCCTGGGTGACAGAGTGAGACTCCATCTCAGAAAAGAAAACATTTATGTATATGATAGATCTGAAGGAGGGGAGTCTATGCAGCACTTCCTAAGCCCTGTTGACCATGTAATTCTTTTTCTTATGGGACTACAGCGACAGATAAGAATATCCACAAAGAGGCTGTGTGTGGTTCCAACAGTTCTTTCTGACCACTTTAAATTAGGCAGAGCTTTAATGCTAATTAAAATATACTTAATATACAGGCCTAATGAAAATTAGTTGAAATTGACTTAAACGAGGTAAATCAGTTATAGCTATGCAACACCAGACCCAAAATCTCAGAATTATTTGAATAGTTAGAGCAAATAAATCCAATTTGAGTTCCTCAAAATAGATTTTAACTAGAAGAATCATGTGGCCAGCATAAAGATCTGGATGTAACTAGTTCATCTGGATGAAACTAGTTCATCTGGATGAAAATGTAACAGATTGGCTTGAACCTGTAATAAACTATTAAAAAAAATTTGAATCTTCATTTAAAAGCTGCTTTATTGAGTTAGGAACTAATTCTGAATGGATTAAGTTAGTTTGGATGAATTAATGCTTTTTTTATATAGTGAACATTTGTTAGAATTTGATTTTATTCTGACAGGGGTTAACTCATTCACTCAAAAAATAGTTATGTAGCATTTTCTCCATGACAGCAGAGTCTGGGTTCAAGTCCTGACTCAATCATTTTGCACTTGATGTCAGGCAAGATACTTAACATTTCTGCTTCATTTATAATATAGGGATAAGAAGAGAATTGTATATTCTCCCCAAAGTCTAAAGATTACATGAAAGGGTTCATGTAAAGCCCTTAGCACACTCCATGGTCCTTAGTAAACAGTCAGTGAGGGCTTACTTTCATCTTATTTTAGAGAGGTGGTATGCATAGTAGTTAGCAGAATGAGTTCGGGAGCAGATAGGCTTGGATGGGAATCCTGAGTCTGTCCCACTTTGGATTTGTGACCTTGGCCAAGAGACTGTCTCTAAAAGATGACAATCATATCCAGTTCACTGGGCATAAAGTAAGTGTTCAAGAACTATTTTAACCATAAACACATCTACAACTGTTTCTGGCTAGTTGGGCTTCTGAATAGAGACATCCTGGAGCATTCGTTGTATACACATAGTGAGGTTACAGCAGGACCAATAATGTACTCAATGTTAGTATCTTTCTGATACCTAAAATTTATTTAAGAAAAAAAAAACATGTCTTACTGTCGCTGAATTAAGTGAAATGCAACTTATTTTCTAATATAAAGGTTAATGCTTCATAAAGTGAGTTAAAAATACTCTAGTAAGGTCCCATATTTTTATACCACATAAGATGATTTTAGGAAAGAACTTAGAGTTGATGATGAGGCAAATGCATGTTTAAGGCATATCTAAGACAAATCACATTTTGTCTAAATGTTAGTGTTCCTGCATAAAGTAAGTGCTCCACCAATGAGACGATCCATTCTCTGGTTTTCAGATGACACCAGGGCCTTAAAACCATGAGTTTTTGCACAAATTAAATGTTAAAGAGTTATGCAAGCACTATCATCTGCTATGTGCTAGACCTCTCTGCTACAATCAGACATTCACAATTAAGACATTAACCCAGCCTTCAAGAAGCTCACTATCTCCAACTCAAGAGATTATTACACCATCCAACAAAAAGTGTTAGGAAAAAGGGAAGCACCACTGTTAAGATAAAACAAAGGAGGAACACTGAAACCAGATTGTGTTGTGTGAGGGAAAGTTCCATGGAGAAGCTGCCATTGAGCTAAGACCTAAAGGTGGTCTATTAATAAAGCGACTTCTAGAATAACAGAGTACAACAAACCCTAGAATTTATGGCTTCAAATAACACCCATATATTATTCACATAAATGTATGGTTCAGCTGGGAGGTCCTCATGATCTAAACCTGGCACGGTTGACCTCAGCTGGATTCAGGCATGTAACTGCAATTAATTAAAAGATTGAGCTGGGCTAGCTCTTCCAGATTAGGCTCCTTCTACATTTGGGGCCTTGGTTAGGACAACAGGATGGACTACACTCTGCTCCTTGTGCCTCATGGTCCAATAGGCTAGGCTGGACATGTTCTCATGGTAAAGGCAGAAAAAGAGATGTGTGGAGTCTCTTGTGAAGCCTACACTTGGAATATCATCATTTTTTTCGCAATATTCTAATGGCTAACACCACCCACAAGACCTGCCCGTTCAAGGGATAAGGAAATAGAATCCACCTCTAGATGAGAATTGCTGGAAAATCACATTGTAAAGGGTGTGGATACATGAAGGGATAGAGAACTGGGACCATGGTTTCAATTTCTTCATCAGAGATGAGTAAGAATTTGTCAGGCAAAAAATAAAAGAGGAAGAACATTCAAACAGAAAGATTAGCATTGGCAATTAATAAAGATTTTATTTAAGAGAGGCAGCCAGACTATTTTCATGCCTCTAGTCCTTACAACCCTGAGTCTTCTACAGTAGCACTCCCCAAACTTCTCTTCTGTGTTGTTAGGTTCTGATCAGACATGATTAGCCATGTTTAGAAAAGGATGAGTTAATTTCATTTACAGAGGTTTCTTTATTGTGCGATCTCTCAAAGGCTTTAACACAATAATGGTAGTTATTTTCAGTGCAGTCAATATTCTAGACACTTTATATGAATTCACTCATTTTACTCCCCTAGTAATCACATGAAGGCAGTACAATTATTGCTCATATTTTGTAAAGGGAGAAACTGAGGAAAAGAGAAGTTTATGTGCATTTTTAATCACTCCACTGCAGCTACTGTTTGTAGCATTTTCCAAGTATTTATCATCGCCTAACTCTTACTTAATGAGCTGTAGTAACATCTCAGAGTTCACATTTTGGTGTATATTTTCTCTAAAGATATATGAGATAAAGTGTGTGCTCCATGCTAAATTAATTTAGTCCAGATTTTCTTACATTTGTTATCTATCCACCCATTTCTCTGCAATTTACAAAATTTCATATTTTTAAACATATAAGCCCCTAGCAACCTTTTTAACATTATAATTCTTGCCTGTGAATGCTTGATTTAACCATGTTTCTTTGTAACTCATTAGAAATACATCCTTAAAACTGTAAGAATTAGTTATATTTTTGCTAAACCTTATAAAGACTACTTCTTTAAAAAGTTGGAGGCATGTTTATAAGCGATTAAGTAACTGGTATCAGGTCATTGCAATTTTGCTCTAAGCTCAGAGCAAAATTCAATGTGTCATTTCTTCAAAAGGAATGTTAGGTGTCCAGCCATCTGAAAGATGCTGTGCAGCTAAGTGGGAAAAGCCTGAAATAGGAAGAGAAGACATGTGTTCTAATCTCAGCTCTCATGCCTACCAGTGGAGTCACAGACAATTCATTTCATTTTTTGAATCTCGGTTTTCACCTCTGTAAAATCAGCATTATGAATATCCTGCCACACTTCCCATATTTGGCTACAGCAGGGGTCAAATGAAATACTGTATGTAAGGGGTAAAAAAGCTTTGTAGTCTAATAAGTGCTATGCAGGTACGTGTTTTAACAGAATGGGAATTGTACATTGACTGTCAAAGAGTAAACAAAAGACTAGAAATTAATTATTTTAGAGCAATTTGTTAGAAATACACATAAAAAATGTTAAATGACCATGACTTGTTCCTTCATCTCCAATCCCTAGGCTGAATAATTTAGCTAGAATAGCCAGAGAAACAAGTAATCTCTTCTCCTAGTATCATATCTTTAAAAATCCAAAGACTGAAAAAGATCATCAATATGTGTGTGTGGTTAGCCATGTCCTAAGTGAAAAATTATACAAAATCCTAAAGTCAACTACATATTTGTTTTTATCATTGAAAGAGATAAAAGTTAACACTTCTTATTCTAGGCTTTTATGGGCCCAAACTATCATGTGTTTTTACTGTCCTTTAAAATCTAGGCAAACAGGAAAACACAATTCACATTTAATTGTGCCTTCTATTGTCTCGCTGCTTTCAGTGAGCTTATTTTTTAAAATAACCTTTACTGCTTGTAACTATAGAGGAAGCACTGTAGTACACAATGGAAATTCAGTAGTAAACAAAAATAAATATCCCATTCTCACAGAGATGTCACTCTTGTGGGGAAAGACAGGGTAAAGGCTAAATACAAAGTGAAATACAGAGTAAGTTAGATGCAGAAAAGAGGAATAGGGTATCTGGGGTTGTGATTTGGTTCGTGTTTTGTTGTTGTTTTTAGAAACAGGGTCTCACTCTGTTGCCCAGGCTGGAGTGCAATGGCACCATCATAGCTCACTGTAGCATCCAACTCTCCAACTCCTGAGCTCAAGCGATCCTCCTGCCTCAGCCTCCTGAGTAGCTAGCACTACAGACAAATGCCACCACACCCAACTAAATTTTTAAAAATTTTTTGTAGAGAGAGAGTCTTGCTATGTTGCTAGGCTGGTCTCAAACTTCTGGCCTCAAGCCATCTTCCCACCTTGGCCTCCCAAACAGTTGGGAATACAGGCATGAGATACTGCACCTGGCCATTGGTTTGTATTTTTAAATAGGGTTGTCAGTCAAGGCCTCATTGAGAAGGTGACTTTTGACTAGATACCTGAAGGAGATGAGAGAGTGAACCAGGAAGACCCTTGGAAGGAGAGGATTCAAAGTCAAGGAACCAGCAGCTGTAGAGGCTTTGAGGTGGAAGCATGGTGCACCTATTCAAGGAGCAGCAAGGAGGTCAGTGTGAGCGAGAGAATAGTAGGAGGTGAGTTCAGAGAAGTGAAGGGGTAGATCATAGATGGCTTACCAGGCTCTAGCTTATACTCCATATGAAATGGGGAGCTATCGGAGAAATTTGAGCTGTGTCAGCAGGATCACACTGGCAACTAGAGAATATGTCGGGGAAGAAGGAGGCAAGCAGGGAGATTACTGCTGTAGTAATTCACAGGAGACGACTGTGAGTTAGTGCAGGGCAATTGCAGTAAAGGTGATCACAGGTGTTTGAATCATAGATATATTCTCAAGGCAGAGCTGGCAGAATTTGCTGATGTAACAGATACATGTTGTGAAAGGAAGAAATCCATGATGACTCCAAGATTTTGGTCTAAGCAACCAAAAACATGGAGATGCCACTACCTGGGATAGAGTTTTATGGAGATAGGTTTTGAGGAAAGTGGAGACCAGGAGCTCTATTTTGTGTGTTTGAGGTTCACAGCACCTATGAGACATCCAAGTGAACATTTGGATTATACATCTGGGCTTATCAGTTTGAGGCTCAAGGGAGAGGAATATACTTGGTAGTTGCCAAAATACAGACAACTCTCATGTCTCCTTAAAATATATACAAGCAAGCTGTACCCTGACCACCTTGGACACGTGTTGTCAGGACATCCTGAGGCTGTATCATAGGTGCCTTCTTAACCTCGGCAAAGTAAACTCTCTAAATTGATAGAGACTTGTCTCACTTACTTGTGAGTTCACAAGTGCTTTGAAAAGAAACCAACTCTGATGTCTAAAAGAATTTTGTAGTGACAATACATTGATACAAGTCTTTATATTATTAAGAGAAAAATGTTTTCAAAGAGTTCAAAACATCACACACACGGAAATATAAAAAAGATATGACAAGAGTTTTATTTACTTCATTCACTAATGAAGAAGTTGGTAAGACGTTACAAATCAGTTCAAAGAAGAATTTGAAGAATGATACACATGTGCATATACATGTATTTAAAATCATGAGACTCCACCAAGCCTTGAGGCACTCAAAAATTAAGACCTTCAGGAGATGAGAAGAAATCTGTAGAGACTGGGAAAGAGTAGCGTGTGAGGTAAAAGGGAAATCAGGAGGGTGATGTCTGAACAAGGGAAGAATGTGCAAACAACAAATGGGCATGGGCTGGGCATGGTGGCTCATGACTATAATCCCAGAACTTTAGGAGGCTGAGATGAGCGGATCACCTGAGGTCAGGAGTTCAAGACCAGCTTGGCCAACATGGCAAAACCCCGTCTTTATTAAAATACAAAAATTGGCTGGGCACGGTGGCTCATGCCTGTAATCCCAGCACTTTGGGAGGCTGAGGCGTGTGGATCATGAGGTCAGGAGATTGAGACTATTCTGGCTAACACTGTGAAACCCCGTCTCTACTAAAAATACAAAAAATTAGCCGGGCGTGGTGGCGGGTGCGTGTAGTCCAGCTACTTGGGAGGCTGAGGCAGTAGAATGGCAGGAACCCGGGAGGCGGAGCTTGTGGTGAGCTGAGATCATGCCACTGTACTCCAGCCTGGGCGACAGAGCAAGACTCTTATCTCAAAAAAAAAAAAAAAAAAAAAAAAAATTAGCTGGGTGTGGTGCACACCTGTAATCTCAGCTACTCAAAAGGCTTGAGGCAGGAAGATCGCTTGAACCCAGGAGGTAGAGGAGGTTGCAGTGAGCCAAGACTGCACCACTCCAGCCTGGGTGACAGAGAGAGACTCTGTCTTAAAAAAAAAAAAAAAAAAAAAAAAGAAGTGTGCGTAATCAACTGTCTCAGATGCTGCTGGCTGCTGATAGGTCAAGTATGATGAGGATTAATAAGTGACCCTTGGATTAAGCAATGTGGACATTCTTTATGATCATGGCAAGACCAGTTTAGATGGAGTATGGTATCGGAAAGCCTATTTTAAAGTAGATTCAAGCAAAAAAAAAAAAAAAAAAAAAAATGAGAAGAGAAAAAAGGAGCCAGCACATATAATCCACCCTTTTGAGGAGCTTTTCTGTAATGAGAAGAGAGATCTTTTCTTTGTTTCTTTTGTAAAGGAAGTCAAAGTGAGATGCTTGAAACTGTGATTGTGGAAGGGCGTACACATTGTAAACAAGGCCTGTAAGGGAGGGTTTTCAATCTCAGCCTCATTGACATCTGGGGCTGGAAAATTCTTTGTTGTAAGGAACTGTTCTGTGCTTTATAGGATATTTAGCAGCTTCCCTATCCTGTACCCAACTAAATGCCAGTAGCACCTACCAGCTATGACAATCAAAAACATCTCCAAACATTCCCATATGTTCTCCTGGAAGCAAAATTGCCTGTAGTTGAGAACCACTGGTCTATAAAAATGATGGTAAGTAGCTGAGATATTGTAAAAGATAAAGTCATTGGAGAATCAAAATTCAAGTGATTGAAAGAATGGGGAGGTAGAAAAAATCATCTATATGTTTATTAAAATCTTCAAAAATTAGAACAGAAGCATGCTGAAGAGAATGACACCGAGCCAGAGCTAATTCTTCTGTGAACAAGGGGAACTGACAGGCATCAGATGATCGCAACCAGGAGAGATAGTGGGTGGCATTACCTCAAAATAGGAGCATCAAAAATGGAAAATATTAGGGAAAGAAGAGGGAAAGTGATCTGGAAATGGCAACGAGAAGGAGAAAGAACTCCTACCCCACCTCCAAGGGTAGAGAAAACACAGGAGCGAAAATAGCAACCACCTAAAAGGGCCACAGTAGTTTTAAGGAAGAGATGGGTTTCAGTAAGAGCAAAAAAGAAGGAAACAGAAATTTATGAGGATATAAAGCATTTTGCTGATGACTGAAGGTATTGGAAAAGGACTTCAAAATTTGGGAAGACTGGGAGATGGGTCAGATGTACAGACCCTTGCGAGGAGTATAGTACAAGAGATAAGGATGCCCTGGAAAAAAAGGGAATCCTTTAGAGATTTACCTTGGCAGAGATAAAGAACACTATAATAGTAGGCACTAAAATGGAATAAATTAATGAATGTATTGAATAAAAGTTCGCTTGGTTTATGCACTTATTTATACATTTCAACATTTACTTGGTTTATGTCTATAAATTTTCTTTAAAGCATGGTGATGTAGGTAGTAATGTGCTTATTTAACAAAATAAAATAGAGAAATGAAGGGCTTAGGCAAAGATTACAAAACTGGTTAGTGGCAGGGTTTAAATTAGGTCTACTTATGGGGTGCTACTTTTCTTAAAAATACATTGCCTTGATGTTTCTTCAGCCATAAGGTGTGTAGTTCAGAAAGTCTTCCTAATTCAAAAGCAGAATTTAGGGCTACTAAAGGATAGACAACCAAGGTATACAATGAAAGAGTTCTACATGCCATAGCTTTTTGGCGCTATGCAAGTCTAAGCTGTGCAACTCTCCTGGGAACCATCAGAAGACACTACAGTTGGTCCAGACACGTTAGCGTCTTCTCCAGACTTCCTTCCTGATGCAATCAGAATAAATGAATACATTAAAAAGAGTGTAAACCAAAAATAAAATGACCCGACCATTTCATTGGACCCCTCCTCTCAGCCAAAGGCATTCCAGAGTTAACCTGAAAATCTAATTCAGGCAGTGGTGGAAGATGGGGTCAGACATGCCTCATTATACCCTCCAGCATTAACATCAACAAAAAAACCTTATAGTCAGGACCTCCTGGAGCTGTGTCACTAGCACGTTCTTAAAGTTGGCAAAATAAATTGAGACCTGTCTCAGATACTTATGGGTTCACAACACTTTGCAAAGAAACCTACTCTTATGTCTAAAATAATTTTGTAGTGAATACATTGATATAAATCTTTATATTAAAAGAAATGTTTTTGAATGGTTAAAAACATGGCACACATGCAAATATAAAAAAAGACAAAAATTTTCTTTACCTCATTCACTATTTATGAAGAAGTTGATGTTAAAAATCAGTTCAAAGAAGAATTTGAACAGATAAACGTGCATACACACTATATACATACATGTATATGTAAATAAGAATTCTGAAGTGAATTTGGTAATAGAGGCAAAACTGTTTAAGATCTTATATCATATAGAGTAGTAATAGATACAAAATTATCTATAGGGAATATCAATCTACATGTGAATACCTCATAGGGCAATAAAACTCGGGTTATTTTTCCTACCAGAGTGGAAATTAATTGTATCTGAACAAAATTCCTTTGCATTTCTATGGACAAGAGACATTTGCATGACTTCAGTTTTCCATCATTTAACTTCTACCCCTGCAGAACTAATAATGTAACCAAGTCAATAGAGGTCAAAGAAGTATACCCCCATGGAACTAGATAATCCTAAAAGGTCAGCTAGGCACACCCAATACTCCACCTTTTTTGTGTATGTTCAAGTCTTCAGCAACTTTTTCTTGACAATGCTGTGTGTCTTAGAAATTTGCTGGGAGCCTTTTATTTGTGTATCATCTCTCAAAAACTTTCCTAGTAACTTCTATGGGTTTTTTTTCCCCCTTCTTTTACCCCAAGAATTGGCAGGCCTTTTTCTTTTTTTATGTGTAAACCAAAAGTATCTGAGACAGGTCCCAATCAGTTTAGAAAGTGTATTTTGCTAAGGTTAAGGACTTGCCCATGACATAGCCTCAGGAGGTCGTGACGACATGTACCCAAAATGGCTGGTGTACAGCTTGACTTTATTAATTTTAGGGAGACATAATACATCAACAGATACATGTAATATGTACCTTGGTTCAGTTAAGAAAGTCAGGACAACTCAGAGCAGGACTACTAGGTTACAAGTAGATTTAAAGGTCTTCTGATTGGCAATTGGGTGAAAGAGTTCTCATCAATAGAAAAGAATGTCTGGGTTAAGATAACCGGTTGTGGAGACCAAAGTTTTATCATGCAGATGATACCTCTAGGTAGCAGGCTTTAGAGAGAGTAGATTGTAAATGTTTCTTATCAGACTTAGAGAGTCTGTTTTATCAGTAGTTTCAAAAGAGAGGGGAGTATAATGAGGCATGTCCAGCTCCCCCTTCCGATCATAGCCTGAACTAATTTTTCAGGTTAACTTTGGAATGCCTTTGCTGAGAGGATGGGTCCATTCAGATGGTTGAAGGGCTTATAATTTTATTTTTGGTTTATACTTGCTACCAACATCAGTAATTTGACATCTGTAACTACTAAGGGAAGATAGAAGTCATATGGCCTCTCTTACTCTCCATCCTTGTCTCTAAATCTAAGCAATTGCCAATCCTGAACTTGTTTGAGAATTGTTTTTCATAGTCATTGTAATGTGGTTAGCCTGTAGGAGGTATAACAGAAGTCTGTTTCAATGTGTGAGGCTTCATTAATCACTGACATGTACCAATTGCCCTATTTTTCTCTTTCCTATATATTTTTTTCTTTTCAATATAATTAGACTCAGGGGGACTTGATATTTGTCTTCAAATATTTGAAAGTCTGTCACATGAAAGACAAATTAGACCTGTTCTGTCTAGTCCCAAGTAGTAGAACTAAGACCAATTCTGCAGAAACTACAAGAGCCTTATATTTCTTGTACAGAGAGCATAATTTTTACAGAGCTGTCCAAAACTAGGATGAGCTTTTAAGGAATCTTAAAAGCTTCTCATAGTTATGATCCATGGCATTCATTGAAATGCAAATAGTTCCAAGCTCTCTTTGTTGACATTCTTTCCAGTTTTTGATAAATCCTTTCTTCCCAAACCCTCATCAGTTTTCCTCTTTTCCTTCAAGATGAGATCTTGGTCCCTCCCACTTAATAGATTTTCATTCCGTAGCCCAAGATTGAGCAAACTGTTTTGGAAGGCCAGATAGTAAACATATTAGGTGCCTTACAGACCACAAGGTCTCTGCTGAAACTTTAAACTCTACTATTATAACAAAAAAGTAGTCATAGAGCATATGTAAATAAGTGTGGCTGTGTTGCAGGAAAACTTTATGGACGTTGAAATTTGATTTTCTTATAATGTTATGAATTTATAATATCACTCTTCTTTTGGGTTTTTTCAATCATTTAAAAATGTAAGGAGGGAGGGCAAGATGTCTGACTAGACACAGCCTGGGGGAACAGCTCCCAGGGAGGGACCAAGATGACTTGCATGTTCCTAACAGATCTTTGGAAGTAAAGCACTAAGAGGGGATGGAAGGAAGACACAGAAGCTGGGCTGAAGGGAGAGAAAGCTGGGTACACTGCACAAGGCTACCATGAACCAGGACTCATTCTTGGGTCCCTGCGGCTCAGGGGGAACAGGTGAGTTGAACTGGCAAGTAGCAAACCACTCTTGCCACAGACCTCTGAAATCCCAGCAGGAGGAGACCCCTTGACCACCAGGGACACTTCAGTTGGCAGGGAGAGCCTTAAAGAAGTGGTAGGGGCAGCAAGCCAACTAAGGTGGAGCCCAGATGGTTTACTGCAAGATTGTCTGTAGTGGAGCATGGCCTGGAATGGCTATCCCCCTAGGCTTGACTTGCTTCCATAGGAGACTTTAACCCTAGGGAAACTGTCAGACCTGAACTCTGCAGGGCAGTCTTGCCCATCAGAAGGGACTGCTCCAATCTGAGCACCCCTTGGTCTGCTGGCATATCCCAGGGCTCCAGCCTGTCCACACCTGCTAGCATGGCAGAATTGGGGGCCCTGCACCAGAGCTTCTGCACTGGTGAACCATGTCTGACTGGCAGAGAGTTCCAGTAGGGTGTCCCCTATGGCCACCAACCAGACCACATGCTCCCTTCCCAAACTGCAGCTACCCTAGGGCCCATGGCTACTCCCCACATCACTTTGCTGGCATGTGTCTGCACTGGCAGGTTTTGCTTTCCTTGCCTCACCAGTGGGTGGGAGTGCAGTCCACACCTCTTCTCCCCACCAACTGCCATTGCAGATGGAGCCTAGGTAGGCACAGAGCCAGCCAGACCTACTCCTGCCAGTGTCCCACCCTTGTGCTAACACTGTGCAGAGAACAGCAGATCCTCCCATTTTCTGAGTGGCCACACCTGCTTGCAGGGCATAGAGAATGCTCCCAAATCTGCAACCACAGAACCCTGCCCCCAAACCAACTCCACCTTCAGCCTGACCATGCACATAGTCACCAGCAGGGCCCCCCACACCCTCTAGCTGTGTTCCCTCTGCCACCATGGTGAATGCCTGCAAGGAGGCAGGCACCCTGGCACCTGTTAGCACTCTGCTGTAGCTGCCGCAACTTGGCCTCCCAACACAGTGGATTTCTAACCTCAAGGAGCCAGACAACAAAGTCAGGGCCCAAAACAAGTTCCCCAGAGTTAGAGCACACAGTCCAGGAGTTTGGAGCTGAGTGTTTCCCCCTCAAATCTTCCAAAAACAAAGCCAAGTCAGCTGAATGTAACTTATACTACAATCAAACCCACAAGGTCATCAAATAAGATAAAAGAAAAAACAACAACAACAACAACAAAAACAAAGAAAAAACAAAAATCCAAAGGTCAGAAACCTCAAAGATTGAAGGTAGAAAAGCACACAAAGATGAGAAAGAATCAATGCAAGAACTCTGACAACTCGAAAAGCCAGAGTGCCTTCTTTGCTCCAAACAACCACAGCACCTCTCTAGCAAGGGTTCTGAACCAGGCTGTGATAGCTGAAGTAACAGAAATAGCAATCAGAATATGGATAGGAACGAAGATCATCAGAACCTAATCCAAGGAAGATAGAAATCAAGACAAAACATTGCAGGAGCAGACAGACAAAACAGCCAGTATGGAAAAGAATGTAACCAACCTGATAGAGCTAAAAAAACACACTATAATGATTTCATATTGCAATCCCAAGTATTAATAATAGAATAGGCCAAGCAGAGGAAAGAATCTCAGAGCATGAAGAATGGCTTTCTGAAATAAAACAGTCAGACAAGAATAGAGCAAAAAGAATGAAAAGGAATGAACAAAACTGACGAGAAATATGGTATCATGTAAAGAGATGAAATCTATGACTCATTGGTGTCCCTAAAAGAGATAAGGAGAAGTAAGCAACTTGGAAAACATATTTCACGATAACATCCTTGAGAACTTCCCCAGTCTAGCTAGAGAGGCCAACATTCAAATTCAGGAAATGCAGAGAACCCCAGTAAGATACTTCACAATTCCTCCTCCTCAAGAAACGAAATCATCAGGTTCTCTCAGGTTGGGAAAAAAAAAAAGTTAAAGGCAGCTAAAGAGAAAGGTCAGGTCACCTACAAAGGGAAGCCCATCAGACTAACAGCAGATCCCTCAGGAGAAACCCTATGAGAAAGAAGAGATTGGGGGACAACATTCAACATTATTAAAGAAAAGAAACTGCAACCCAGAATTTTATATCCAGCCAAAGTAAGCTTTGTAAGCGAAGACAGAAATAAGATACTTTTCAGAGAGACAAAAGCTGAGGAAATTTGTTGCTACCAGACATGCCTTACAAAAGCTCCTAAAGGAACCACTAAATATGGAAAGGAAAGACCACTACCAGCCACTACAAAAACAGACCTAAGTACATAGACCAGTGACACTGTAAAGCAACCACATAAACAAATCTACAAAATGACCAGCAAACATCATGATGACAGGATCAAATCTACACATGTCAATACTAACCTTGAGTATAAATGAGCTAAATGCCCCAATTAAAAGACACAGAGTGGTTAGCTGGATGAAGAACCAAGACCTGTCTAGGAGCAGCAGCTTATGCCTGTAATCTCAACACTTTGGGAGGCTGAGGCAAGTGGACTGCTTGAGACCAGGAGTTCAAGACTAGCCTGGGAAACATAGTGAAAGCCTATCCCTACTAAAAATACAAAAAAGCCAGCCAGATGTGGTGGCTCACGCCTGTAGTCCCAGGTACTTGGGATGCTTAGTTGGAAGAATCACCTGAGTTCAGGAGGTCGAGTTTGCAGTGAGCTGAGATCATGCCACTGCACTCCAGCCTGGGCAACTAGAGTGAGACCTTATCTCAAAGGAAAAAAAAAAGAAGAAGAAGAAAGAAGAAAAGAAAAAAATAACCCATTAATATGTTATCTTCAAGGGACCCATCTCACACATAATGACACTCAAAGGCTCAAAATAAAGGGATGGAAAAAAATCTACCAAGCAAATGGAAAACAGAAAAAAAGCAGGGGTTGCAATCCTAGTTTCAGACAAAACAGACTTTAAACCAACAAAGATCAAAAAAGACAAAGGCATTTACATCATGTTAAAGGGTTCAATTCAACAAAAAGATATAACTATCCTAAATATACATGTACCAAACACAGGAGCACCCAGGTTCGTAAAGCAAGTTCCTAGAGCCCTTCCAAGAGACTTAGACTCCCGCACAATAGTAGTGGGAGACTTCAGCACCTCACTGACAGTGTTAGATCATCAAGACAGAAAATTAAAGATATTCAGCACTGGATCAAATGGAGCTGACTGACATCTACGGAACTCTCCACAAATAACAGCGTATACATTCTTGTCATCACCACATGGCACATACTCTAAAATCCATCACATAATAGGAAGTAAAACGTTCCTTGTCAAATGCAAAAGAACTGAAATCATAACAATCTCTCAGACCATAGTGCAATCAAATTAGAAATCACGACTAAGAAATTCACTCAAAACCATACAATTACATGGAGATTAAATAACCTGCTCCCAAATGACTTTTGGGTAAATAATGAAATTGAGGCAGAAATCAAGAAGTTCTTAGAAACTAATGAGAACAAAGATACAACATACTAGAATATCTGGGACACAGCTATGGCAGTGTTAAGAGTGAAATTTATAGCACCAAACATCCACATCAAAAAGTTAGAAAGATCTCAAGTTAGCAACCTAACATCACAACTAAATAACTAGGGAACCAGGAGCAAACAATCCAAAAGCTAGCAGAAGACAATAAATAACCAAAAACAGAGCTGAACTGAAGGAGACTGAGACACACACCAAAATTCAAAATATCAACAAACCCAGGAGTTGCTTTTTGAAAAAATTAATCAAATAGACTACTAGACTAATAAAGAGGAAAAGAGAGAAGATTCAACTAAACACAATCAGAAATGACAAGCGAGATATTACGACTGACCCCACAGAAATACAAATAATCATCAGAGACTATTATGAACAATTCTGTGCACATAAACTAGAAAATGTAGAAGAAACTGATAAATTCCTAGATACATACACCCTTCCAAAACTCAAACAGAAAGAAACTGAATCCCTGAACAGACCAGTAACAAGCTCTGAAATTGAGTCAGTAATAAATAGCTTACCAACCAAAAAAGCCCAGGACCAGATGGATTCACAGCTGAGTTCTACCATATGTACAAAGAGTTGGTACCATTCCCACTGAAACTATTCCAAAAATTGAGGAGGAGAGACTCCTCCCTAACTCATTCTATGAGGCCAGCATCATCCTGATACCAAAACCTGGCAGAGACAGTAGAAAACTTCAGGCCAACATCCTTGACGAACATTGATGCAAAAATCCTCAACAAAATGCTAGCAAACCAAATTCAGCAGCACATCAAAAATCTTATCTACCATGATCAAGTAGGCTTTATCCCCAGGATGCAAGGCTGGTTCAACACACCCTAATCAAAAAATGTGATTCATCACATAAACAGAACTAAAGACAAATACCACATAATTATCTCAATAGATGCAGAAAGGGCTTTCAATAAAATTCAACATCCCTTCACATTAAAAACTCTCAATAAAATAGGTATTGAAAGAACATACCTCAAAATAAAAGAGCCATCTATGGCAAACCCACAACCAACATCATACTGAATGAGCAAAAGTCAGAAGCATTCACCTTGAAAATTGGCAAAAGACAAGATTGCCCTCTCTCACCACTCCTATTCATCATAGCATTGGAAGCCCTGGCTAGGGCTATCAGGCAAGAGAAATAAGTAAAAGGCATCCAAATAAGAAGAGAGGAAGTCAGTCTATCCTTGTTTGCTGATGACATAATCTTTTATCTAGAAAACTTCATAGTCTCAGCCCAAAAGCTCCTTAAGCTGATAAACAACTTCAGCAAAGTCTCAGGATGTAACATCAATGTACAAAAATCACTAACATTCCTATACAACAGTCAAGCCAAGAGCCAAATCAGCAATGCAATCCCATTCACAATTGCCACACACACACACACACACACACACACACACCCCTAGGAATACAGCTAACCAAGAACGTGAAAGATCTCTATAAAGGGAACTACAAAACACTGCTCAAAGAACTCAGAGATGACACAAATGGATAAACATTTCATGCTCATGGATGGGCAGAATAAATATCATTAAAATGGCCATACTGCCCAAAGCAATTTATAAATTCAATGTTATTCCTATTAAAATACAATTGAGAGGCCCGGCAAGGTGGCTCATGCCTGTAATCCCAGCACCTTAGGAGGCCAAGGAGGGTGGATCACCTGAGGTCAGGAGTTTGAGACTGGCCTGGCCTACATGATGAAACCCTGTCTCTACTAAAAAATACTAAAACTAGCCAGACATGGTAACAGGCATCTGTAATCCCAGCTACTCAGGAGTCTAAGGCAGGAGAATCACTTGAACCTGGGAGGCAGAGGCTGCAGTGAGCAGAAATTGCACCACTGCGCTCCAGCCTGGGTGACAGAGTGACATTCCATCTCAAAAAACAAAAACTAATACAATTGAGAGTCTTCACAGAACTATAAAAAAACTATTTTTAAATTCATATACAACCAAAAAAGAGCCCAAATAGCCAAGGCAATCCTAAGCGAAAAGTAAAAAGCTGGAGGCATTATGCCATCTGACTTCAAAGTATAATACAGTGCTACAGTAACCAAAACAGCATGGTGCTAGTACAAAAACAGAAAAATAGACCAATGGAACAGAGTAGAGAACTCAGAAATAAGGCCACACAACTACAACTATCTGATTTTTGACAAACCTGACAGAAACAAGCAATGGATGTCACGGTTAATATTGAGTGTCAAATTGATTGGATTGAAGGATATAAAATATTGTTCCTGGGTGTGTCTGTGAGGGTGTTGCCAAAGGAGATTAACGTTTGAGTCAGTGGACTGGGAGAGGTGGACCCACCCTCAATCTGGGTGGGCATCATCTATGTAGCTGCCAGTGTGGCTAGGATAAAAGCAAGCAGAGAAACGTGGAAAGACTAGATTAACAGTCTTCCGGCCTTCATCTTTCTCCCATGCTGGATGCTTCCTGTCATTGAACCTCAGACTCCAAATTCTTCAGCTTTTGGATTCTTGAACTTACACCAGTGGTTTTCCAGGGGCTCTTGGGTCTTTGGCCACAGACTGAAGGCTGCACTGTTGGCTTTCTTAATTTTGAAGTTTTGGGACTCGGACTGGCTTCCTTGCTCCTCAGTTTGCAGATAGCCTATTGTGGGACTTCACCTTGTGATCCTGTGAGTCAATACTCCTTAATAAGCTTCTTTTCATATATACATCTATCTTATTAGTCCTGTCCCTCTAGAGAACCCTGACTAATACAAATGGGGGAAGGATTCCCTATTCAATAACTGGTGCTGAAATAACTAGCTAGCCATGTGCAGAAGACTGAAACTGAATCCCTTCCTTCCACCGTATAAAAAAATTAACTCAAGATGTTTTAAAGGCTTAAATGGAAAACCCAAAACTATAGAAATCCTGGAAGATAACCTAGGCAATACCATTGTGGACATAGGAACGAGCAAAGATTTCATGATGAAGACAAAAAAAGCAAATGCATCAAAAGCAAATATTGACAATTGGGATCTAATTAAACTAAAAAGCTTCTGCATAGCAAAAGAAACTATCAACAGAGTGAACAGAAAACCTACAGTATGGGAGAAAATTTCTGCAAACCACACATCCAACAAAGGTCTAATATCCAGCATCTATAAGGAACTTAAATTTACAAGAAAAAAGAATCCCATTAAAGAGTGGGCAAGGACATGAACAGACACTTTTCAAAAGAAGAAGCACATGTGGCCAGCAAGCATATTTTGAGAAAAGCTTGAATAATGATGATGGGGGGCAGGGCCAAGATGGCTGACTAGAAGCTGTGGCAACAGGAGACTCCCATTGAACAGAACCAAAACAGCATGCGAATCCCCCACCAGCAACCGAGGTATCCAGGTTCTATCATCAGGACTAACTAGGTGGCTGGCGTGACCCATGGAGAGGAAGGAGGAGCAGTGTGGTGCAGCGGCCTGCCTGAGAGCCTCACAGGGCAGGGGAACCCCTACCCCCCAGCCAAGGGAGGTGGTGAGTGAGCATGCTACCCAGCCTGGGAAACTGCTTTTTCCAAGGAACTGTGCAACCCATGGATCAGAAGATCCCACTCATGAGCTCATGCTACTGGGGCCTAGGGTCCCAAACATGGAGCCACACAGATTCTCAACAGTCACTCAGCTAGAATCTGCCTAAGCCTGTGAAGTTCCGGCGGGGGCAGGGGAGGCGCAGTGGGAGGCGGCATCACCACAGCTTCAGTTGTCTGCTGTCTAAGCTGTCTGAGCTCCTTGCGGGAGGGGCGGCATCCAGCACTGAGACTGCTAGCTGCCTAACACACTAAACTCCAAGGGTGGGGGAAGGGCAGCAGCTATCTCTACAGCTCCAGGCAAAGGTCTAATGTCCAGCATCTGTTAAAAAAAAAACACTTAAATTTACAAGAAAAAACAACCCCATTATAAAGTGGGCAAGGGCATGAACAGACACTTTTACCCTGCCAGAGCCAGAGAGGCTGCACTGCTTGGTCCCAAGAGGTATTCCCCCACAGCCTAACACACAGGTTGCGGCAGCCTTCAGCCAGAGTGCCTCTTCAGGCCTGACCCTGACCCATCCCTCCTCACTGGGCAGGGCCTCCCTGCAGGAACTCCAACAACTCCAGCCAAGGGCTCGGGGACAGAACTCTGATCTCCCTGGGCCTGAGCCCCTAAGAGGAAGGGTGGCCATAGTCTTCACGGACTAGTAGACTTAGTCTTTCCTCCTGCTAATTCTGAGGAATATGAGCAGCCCAGACAAGTTGGTTTCCCCCCAGCGAGGCACAGCCCCTCCACCAAGGGACAGCCAAAGTTCTTCGTTAAATGGGTCCTACATCCCATGCCACCTAACTGGGTAAGACCCTCCAACAGGGGTTGTCAGACACCCTATACAGGAGCATTCCTACTGGCATCAGGTCTGCGCCCCTCAAGGTCAGAGATCCCAGAGGAAAGAGCAGGCACCCATCTTTGCTGTTCTCCAATCTCCTGGAGTGACATCTCCAGGCACAAGAGTGAACCAGAAGAATAGTGCCGGAAGTGAACCCCCAGCAAACTGCAGCAGCACTACAGAAAAGGGACCTAACCATTGAAAGAAAAACAAACAGAAAGCAATAACAACAGCATCAACAAAAAAGTCCCCATAAAAACCTTATCCAAGGGTCAGCAGTCTCAAAGATTGAAACTAGACAAACTCACAAAGACGAGAAAGAATCAACGAAAAAAGGCTGAAAACCCAAAAGGCCAGAGTGCCTCTTCTCCAAATGATTGCAGCACCTCTCCAGCAAGGGCGCAGAACTGGATGGAGGATGAGATGGATGAACTGACAGAAGTAGGCTTCAGAAAGTGGGTAATAACAAACTCTGCTGAGGTAAAGGAGCATGTTCTAACTCAATGCAAAGAAACTAAGAACCTTGATAAAAGGTTACAGGGGCTGCTAACTAGAATAACCAATTTAGAAAGGAACATAAATGACCTGATGGAGCTGAAAAACACAGAGTGAGAACTTCGTGAAGCATACTCAAGTATCAATAGCTGAATTGGTCAAACAGAAGAAAGAATATCAGAGATTGAAGACCATCTTCCTGAAATAAGGCAGGCAGACAAGATTAGAGAAAAAAGAATGAAAAGGAATGAATGAAACCTCTGAGAAATATGGGCCTATGTAAGAAGACCAAACCTATGATTGATTGGAGTACCTAAAAGAGACAGGGAGAATGGAACCAAGTTGGAAAATGCACTTCAGAATATTATCCAGGAGAACTTCTCCAACCTAGCAAGACAGGCCAACATTCAAATTCAGGAAATACAAAAGACCACCACTAAGATACTCCATGAGAAGATCAACCCCAAGACACATAATCATCAGATTCTCCAAGGTCAAAATGAAGGAAAAATGTCAAGGGCAGCCAAAGAGAAAGGCAGGTCACCTACAAAGGGAAGCCCATCAGACTAACAGCAGACCCCTCAGCAGAAACCCTACAAGCCAGAAGAGATTGGTGGCCAATATTCAACATTATTAAAGAATTTTTGGCCAGGCGCGGTGGCTCACACCTATAATCCCAGCACTTTGGGAGGCCTAGGTGGGCAGATCACGAGGTCAGGAGATCGAGACCATCCTGGCTAACATGGTGAAACCCCGTCTCTACTAAAAATACAAAAAAATTAGCTGGGCGTGGTATTGGGCACCTGTAGTCCCAGCTACTCGGGAGGCTGAAGCAGGAGAATGGCATGAACTTGGGAGGCAGAGGTTGCAGTGAGCCGTGATAGCGCCACTGCACTCCAGCCTGGGCAACAGAGCGAGACTCCATCTCAAAAAAAAAAAGAATTTTCAACCCAGAATTTCATATCCAGCCAAATTAAGTTTCATAAACAAAAGAGAAATAAAATCTTTTTTTCAGACAAGCAAACACTGATGGATTTTGTCACCACCAGGCCTGCCTTGCAAGAGCTCCTAAAGGAAGCCCTAAATATGGAAAGGAAAAACTGGTACCAGCTATTGCAAAAACCCACTGAAATATAAAGACCAATGACACCATGAAGAAACTGTATCAACTAGTGTGCAAAATAACCAGCTAGCATCAAAATGACAGGATCAAATTCACACAGAACGATAGTAACCTTAAATGTAAATGGGCTAAATGCCCCAATTAAAAGACACAGACCGGCAAATTGGATACAGTCAAGACCCATCAGTGTGCTATATTCCAGAAACCCTTCTCATGTGCAAAGAGACACATAGACTCAAAATAAAGGGATGAAGGAAAATTTACCAGCCAAAGGGAAAGCAAAAACAAAAACAAAAACAAACAAAAAAAAAAAACAGGGGTTGCTATCCTAGTCTCTGACAAAACGACAAAACAGACTTTAAACCAACAAAGATAAAAAAAGACAAAGAAGAGCATTACACAATGGTTAAGGGATCAATTCAACAAGAGGAGCTAACTATCCCAAATCTATATGCACCCAATACAGGAGCCCCTAGATTCATAAAACAAGTTCTTAGAGACCTGCAAAGAGACTTAGACTCCTACACAATAATAGTGAGAGACTTTAACACCCCACTGTCAATATTAGACAGATCAACAAGACAGAAAATGAACAAGGATATTCAGGACTTGAACTCAGGTCTGGATCAAGTGTACCTAATAGATACCCACAGAACTCTCAAATAAACAGAATATACATTCTTCTGAGTGCCACGTGGTACTTATTCTAAAATCGACCACATAATTGGAAGTAAAACACTCCTCAGTCTCTCAGACCACAGTGCAATCAAATTAGAACTCAGGATTAAGACATTCGAAACCACACAACTATATAAACATAAACTGAACAATCTGCTCCTGAAAGACTCCTGGGTAAATAAGGAAATTAAGGCAGAAATCAAGAAGTTATTTTAAACCAATGAGAACAAAGAGACAATGTACCAGAATGTATGAGACACAGCTAAAGCAGTGTTTAAACAGAAATTTATAGCACTAAATGCTCACATCAGAAAGCTAGAAAGATCTCAAATCGACACTCTCACAGTTAAAAGAACTAGAGAAACAGGAGCAAATAAATCCAAAAGCTAGCAGAAGACAACAAATAACTAAGATCAGAGAGGAACTGATGGAGACAGAGACAAAAAAAAAAAAAAACCCTTCATAAAGTCAATGAATTCAGGAGCCGTTTTTTCAAAAAAAAAAATTAACAAAATAGATAGACCGCTAGCTAGACTAATAAAGAAAAGAAAGAAGTCAAACAGACACAATAAAAAATAATAAAGGGGATAGCACCACTGACCTCACAGAAATACTAACTACCATCAGAGAATACTATCAACACCTCTAAGCAAATAAACTAAAAACTTTAGAAGAAATGGATAATTTCATGGACACATACACCATCCCAAGGCTAACCCAGGAAGAAGTCAAATCCCTGAATAGACCAATAACAAGTTCTGAAATTGAGGCAGTAATAGCCTACCAACCAAAAAAAGCCCTCGACAGACAGATTCACAGACAAATTTTACCAGAGGTACTAAAGGGGCTGGTACCATTCTTTCTGAAACTACTCCAAACAATTGAAAAGGAGGGACTCCTCCCTAACTCATTTTTTGAAGCTGGCATCATCCTGATACCAAAACCTGGAAAAGATACAACAAAAAAAAGAGAACTTCAGGCCAATATCCCTGATGCGTATTGAATCAAAAATCTTCAATAAAGTCTGGCAAACCAAATCCAGCAGCATATCAAAAAGCTTATTCACCATGATCAAGTCAGATTCTTTCCTGGGATGCAAGGCTGTTTCAAAATATGCAAATCAATAAACATAATCCATCACATAAACAGAATCAATGACAAAAACTACGTGATTATCTCAATAGATGCAGGAAAAGCCTTCAATAAAATTCAACATCCGTTCCTGTTCAAAACTCTCAATAAAGTAGGTATTGATGGAACATATTTCAAAATAATAAGAGCTATTTATGAGAAACCGATAGCCAATATCATACTGAATGGGCAAAAGCTGGAAGCATTACTTTTGAAAACCAGCACAAGACAAGAATGCTCTCTTTCACCACTCCTCTTCAACATAGTATTGGAAGTTCTGGCCAGGGCAATCAGGCAAGAGAAAGACATAAAGGGAATTTGAATAGGAAAAGAGGATGTCAAATTGTCTCTGCATACGACAAGATTCTGTATTTAGAAAATGCCATTGTTTCAGCCCCCAAGCCCCTTAAGCTGATAAGCAACTTCAGCAAGGTCTCAGGATACAACAAATATGTGCAAAAATCACGAACATTTCTATACGCCAACAATAGACAAGCAGAGAGCCAAATCATAAGTGAACTCCCATTAACAACTGCTACAAAGATAATAAAATACTCAGGAATACAACTTACAAGAGATGTGAAGGACCTCTTCAAGGAGAACTACAAACCACTGCTCAAGGAAACAAGAGAGGACCCAAACAAATGGAAAAATATTTCATTCTCATGGATAGGAAGAATCGATATCATGAAAATGGCCATACTGCCCCCAAAGTAATTTATAGATTTAATGCTATTCCCATCAAGCTACCATTGACTTTCTTCACAGAATTAGAAAAAACTACTTTAAATTTCATATGGAACCAAAAGAGAGCCCATATAGCCAAGATAATCCTAAGCAAAAAGAACAAAGCTGGAGGCATCACGCTACCTGACTTCAAACTATCCTACAAGGCTACAGTAACCAAAACAGCATGGTACTGGTACCAAAACAGATGTATAGACCAATGGAACAGAACAGAGGCCTCAGAAACAACATCACACATCTACAACCACCTCAAACCTGACAAAAACAAGCAATGGGGAAAGGATTCCTTGTTTAATAAATGGTGTTGGGAAAACTGGCTAACCATATGCAGAAAACTGAAACTGGACCACTACCTTATACCTTATACAAAAATTAACTCAAGATTGATTAAAGACTTAAATGTAAAACCCAAAATCATAAAAACCTTAGAATAAAACCTAGGCAATACTATTCAAGACATAGGCATGAGCAAAAATTTCATGACGAAAATGCCAAAAGCAATTGCGCCAAAAGCCAAAATTTACAAACGGAATCTAATTAAACTAAAGAGCTTCCTGCTCAGCAAAAGAAACTAGCATCAGAGTGAACAGGCAACCTACAAAATGGGAGAATATTTTTGCAATCTACCCATCTGACAAAGGTCTAATATTCAGAATCTACAAGGAATTTAAACAAATTTACAAGAAAAAGCAAACAAACCCATCAAAAAGTAGGCAAAGGATATGAACAGACACTTCTCAAAAGAAGACATTTGTGTGGCCAACAAACATATGAAAAAAAATCTCAACACTACTGATCATTAGAGAAATTCAAATCAAAACCACAATGAGATACCATCTCGCACCAGTCAGAATGTTGATTTTTAAAAAGTCAGGAAACAATGATGCTGGTGAGGCTGTGGAGAAATAGGGACACTTTTACACTGTTGGTAGGAATGTAAATTAGTTTAACCATTGTGGAAGACAGTGTGGTGATTCCTCAAGGGTCTAGGACCAGTAATACCATTTGACCTAGCAATCCCATTACTGGATATATACCCAAAGGGATATAAATAATTCTATTATAAAGATACATGCACATGTATGTTTATTGCAGCACTATTTACAATAGCAAAGACGTGGAACCAACCCAAATGCCCATCAATAATGGATTGGATAAAGAAAATGTGGTACATATACACCATGGATTAATATGTAGCCATTAAAAGGAATGAGATCATGTCCTTTGCAGGGACATGGATGAAGCTGGAAGCCATCATCCTCAGCAAACTAACACAGGAACAGAAAACCAAACACCAAATGTTCTCACTCATAAGTAGGAGTTGAACAATGAGAACACATGGGCACAGGGAGGGGAACCACACACACTAGGGCCTGATGGGGGGTAGGGGAGGGAAAGCATTAGGACAAATAGCTAATGCATGGGGGGCTGAAAACCTAATGCATGGGGGCTGAAAACCTAGACGACTGGTTGATAGGTGCAGCAAACCACTATGGTATGCATATACCTATGTAACAAATGTTCACATTCTGCACATGTTTCCCTGAACTTAAAGTAAAATAAAAATTAAAAAATAAAAAAAGCTCAACATCACTGATCATTAGAGAAATGTAAATCAAAACCACAGTGAGATATCATCTCACATCAGTCAGAATGGCTATTACTAAAATGTCAACAAATAACAGATGCTGATGAGGTTGTGAAGAAAAAGGAATGCTGATACACTGTTGTGGTGTTGTGGGAGTGTAAGTTAGTTTCCATTGTGGAAGACAGTGTGGCAGTTCCTCAAAGATCTAAAGACAGAAATACCATTCAACCCAGCAATCCCATTACTGAGCATATACCCAAAGGAATATAAATCATTCTATTATAAAGACACATAGATGCGTATGTTCACTACAGCACTATTCACGATAGCAAAGACATGGAATCAACCTAAATGCCCATCAATAGTAGATTGGATAAAGAAAATGTAATATATATCCTCCATGGAATACTATGCAGCCATTAAAAAGAACTAGATCACATCATTTGTAGAAACATAGATAGAGCTGGAGACTATTATTCTTAGGAAATTAACACAGAAACAGGAAACTAAATACTATGTTTTCTCACTTATAAGTGGGAGCTACATGATGAGAACACATGGACACATAGGAACAACAGACACTGGGGTATTATTTGAGGGTGGAGGGTGACAGGAGGGAGAGGATCAGGAAAAATAGCTATCACGTACTAAACTTAGCACCCGGGTGATGAAACAACCTGTACAATAAACCCCCATGACACGTTTACCTATATAATAAGCCTACACATGGACTCCTGAGCTTAAAAGTTAAATAAAAAACAACAGCAAGAAACACTGGAAGGACCTCAGCAGAGCCAGATATGTGGCTCTTTGCTTCCTTTATTCCCCTCCTCAGTCTGTCCACTCAGACAAACCACAACCAAATAGGGCTGCAGGCACCAATGCCTGGTTGCAGAACCAGATGCATACGTGAAGAAGTCATGCTGCCCATTCCAGCCCAATGGACAGCGTGGGGAGCAGAGACAAAATTCCCCACTGTGTCATGTCTGAATTCATGACCAACAGAATCATGAAAAATAATTAAAAATTTTTCAAGCCATTAAAAAAAAAGTAAAAATTATTCTTAGCTCATGAGTCATACCTAAACAGGTAGCTGGCTAGATTTGGCATGAGAGCCACAGTTTTCCCAGCTCTGCCCTAGCCACTCATTATAGACCCTAAGGAGGAACAACTTGTCAAAACTATACTGTAAGATTTGTTGGCTGGGCATGGTGGCTCACACCTGTAGTCCCAGCACTTTGGGAGGCTGAGGTGGGCAGATAACTTGAGGCTAGGAGATGAGACCAGCCTGGCCAACATGGTGAAAACCCATCTCTACTAAAAAATACAAAAAAATTAGTTGGGCATGGTGGTTTGCCCCTGTAATCCCATCTACTTGGGAGGTTGAGGCAGGAGAATCGCTTGAACCCTGGAGTCAGAGGTTTCAGTGAGCCAAGATCGTGCCACTGCACTCCAGTCTGGGTGACAGAATGAGAGTCTGTCTCAAAAAATAAATAAATTAAGTTACACTAAATTAGAAAAAAACTATAAGATTTGTTGACATCTCAAAGGAGACTCTGCAGGCTGAGAATCTGCTGTGATTTCAGGGGAAAAGTGCTCAATCAGATGTCTTTACATTTTAATGCTTTTATCTAAGTGGGCTATTTTTAAAAAGACGCCTGTAATCCCAGCACTTTCGGAGGCCGAGGCGGGCGGATCACGAGGTCAGGAGATCGAGACCATCCTGGCTAACATGGTGAAAGCCCGGCTCTACTAAAAAAAAAAAAAAAAAAAAAAAATATATATATATATATATACAAAAAAAAAATTTAGCTGGGTGTGGTGGTGGGCGTCTGTAGTCCCAGCTACTCTGGAGGCTGAGGCAGGAGAATGGTGTGAACCCGGGAGGCGGAGCCTGCAGTGAGCCGAGACCGTGCCACTGCACTCCAGCCTGGGCGACAGAGCGAGACTCCGTCTCAAAAATAAATAAATAAATATATATATATATAAGAAAGACCTTCAGTGGAAGATATAATAAGTGTATATTGCCTATGTTTTGTACACAGTACCTGGAGTAAACGTTAGTTAAAAATTAAGGAAGAAGAACTATTTTTGTTAACCAAAGTCTTCCTGAGACTGGTCACACCTCTGGATTGGTAGCAGTTCCACAGTAGTCAGAGTTTCTCTGGGAAAAACTGCTCTGCAGCCTGCCTCTCCATAAAGTTTGACTGCTCAGATACCACATTATCGCCTTGTAAAACCAGAGCATCCCCTTCTATTATTATTCATTTCAGGCTTAACGTGTAACAGATTATAATAAAGACTCTCTTTATAAGATATGTTTAAAGATTATTTCCCAGTCCATTTGGTAGCACTTATGTTAATACCATCAAAGCAGGTCCCCAAAAGGTAGTAACAAAAAACTTCAATGGCACTTACAAGATTTCTTCAAAGGGAGGTTCTGGTGACAGCTTTTCATTTTGGAGGAACTGGTAAAAGTAGAAGTTCTAAGGTACTTATTTCTACTTTTACCTATTGGTTTCAATATGTGAGGCTTTATCCATCACTGACATGCACCAATTCTCTTCTTCTTTTTTCTGTTTTCAATATTAGACTCGGGGGGACTTGATATTTGTCTCCAAATATTTGAAAGTCTGTCACATGGAAGAGGGATTAGAATTTTTCTGCCTGGTCCCAAGTGGTAGAACTAAGACCAATTCTGCAGAAACCACAGGGAAACATTTTTTTCCCCCTTATAGTGAACATATTTTTCACAGAACTGTCCAAAACTGGGATGACTCTCTTAGAATTTCAAGTCACTTAAGGTATTCAGGCAGAACCCAGATTACAATTTGAAGGGAAATTTCCAAAGAGAATTCAAACATTCTACAATAGTTAAACTACCAGTTACAAGATTCTGTGAGTGTTGAATTGTTGGCCATTATATAACATCATAATGATAGCAGCTCCATTATTTGACTATTTACTATTTTCAAATACTGCACCAAAGTCTATATATTTAATTAATCCACACAACACCAATAAGGTCTACATAATTAGTACACAAATTTCATAAATAATGATATCAAGGGCTAAGAAATTAAGTAACTCGCCCTAAATTATGTAACTAGTAAATGAAAGATTCCAGGTTTGAATTCAGACCTACCTGACACCAGGGTCCAGACTCTTAAAACTATGCTGCTTCTTTGTAATGGTGATATGTAATGAGCTTTAAGGACCCCATTTGTGTTCCATGATAGCTTTTAATCTAAGATAGGCAAAAGTCAGAGACAAAGAATATATGCATAGAACACCTTAAGCTGTAAAATGAATGTATCAACGTGTCATGTACATGACAAAAACATGCTGAGTGAAAAAAGTGGCAGAATAATATGTGCAATTTGACACTATTTACATAGAATTGTAACAATAGAAAGAAAATAAATTATATGGGGCTACATACATGTACATTAAGAAATAAACATGGGGCTGGGCGCAGTGGCTCACGCCTGTAATCCTAGCACTTTGGGAGGCCAAGGCAGGCAGATCATCTAAGCTCAGGAGTTCGAGATCAGCCTGGGCAACATGGTGAAACCCTGTCCCTACTAAAAAATACAAAAAAAAAAAAATTAGCTGCACGTGGCGGCACACACCTGTAGTCCCAGATACTCAGGAGTCTGAGGCAGGAGAATGGCTTGAACCCGTGAGGCGGAGGCGGCAGTGAGCCAAGATCGTGCCACTGAACTCCAGCCTGGGCAACAGACTGAGACTCTGTCTCCAAAAAAAAAGAGAAAAAGAAATAAACATGGATGGATATAAAACATACCAAATGAAGTTATAGTAATTACCTCTGAGGAATGAGGGAAAGGAATGTAATTGAAGTTAAGTTAAAAGAGGCTTTAACTATCCATCTGTGATATTTGGGTTCCTTAAAAAACGAAAGAGAGAGAGAGAGATCTGATCAAAGTGACTAAAATAAGATTTTTCTAAAAGATATGGAAATATTTTTTTATCTTATATACTTTGATACTTGAAGTATTTTATATATATAACAAAATTAAGGCAGAAAATCTCATGTTGTTATGTGGCAGACTAAACATACATTAACCTGTATCTCTCCCATTGCCAATGTCAACAAAAATGACAGAAAAAAATAAACAGTCCATGAACCACATACATATCCAGAACAGGAAAGGATCCAAGTGTAGTGAAGAGAAACTGATCTGAGTAGAGGAGCAGCAGCTGAAGTAGCATACCTGAGAACGCTGAACACCAGACCTACAGGGCAGGGGTCTGCAAGGGAATTAAAAATGCTCAGCCATCAAAGGCCAAAGTTATGAAGTCATGTATTCATTAGTTCAACAAATATTTATTGAGCACCTAATAGGTGCTAAGCACTGTTCTAAAAGTGGGACTATTCAGTGAACACACAGTGAAAGTGGGGAGCAGAGTCAGTCGGTGAGCTCCTAGGACTGGCTGAAAGGCTTTAAGATTTGCAGGGAGACTCCCAGGCACGTTCTGCATCACACTGGGTGGCTGCTTTATGTCCTCCACACCGAGGTTACTTGCTTAAATTGTCTGCTTCCTTTTGGTTTCATTGCCCGATTAACTAATAATTTAAAAAAGAAAAACCCTGTGGTGATTTTAATACAGAGAGAAATAGACCCACAGCATTGTTTCCAAACCGTGTCTCCTTTCCATGATAGCAGCAGAACTAGAGAAAGAATAGAGATACAGTTACAGAAGAGTGTGTCCCATACTTAGAGCAGGGAGAGTGATGGTGAATATACTGAATAGTGAGACTGCTGTACAACCCCTCCACCCCCACTCCAGGCTTATCTCCGGCAGTGCTACCTGTCAGGTTTCTATCCCCCTCCCAGAAAATTGCTACATTCTTATGTGAGGAAATGGACAAGCCCCAGAGAAAACAAGTTTGGATATTGACATTTGGAGATCCTTAAACCAGACAGGCAGAGTCAACCTTATTACCCAACCGTGAAGCTCACCAGTTGACAAGCCCCAACCATTCAGAGAGTTTTTCTATTTTCTTTTTTGATAGATAAAAACCGTGTTTTTTTTCCCCTAAACCTAGTTATTTGAATACCCAGGTATTAGGAGAAGAGCCCCAAAAGACAGGCTGTCTATATTTTAGAATATATTTGTAGCTGAAATCTTTTTTGAAACAAATACTGGTAATTCATCTGTTTGATGAAATTCCTTGCATATTTTAATGGCCAACGTGTAAAGTTTATTGTTATAAGACTTTTATAGGTCCTTTTTACAAAGCTGCAATCACACTTGGTTAACAACAATTTCTTCAGTTTCAATTAAAAAAATCATTATGGGCTTATTACAAAAGAAGGACAATGTTTCTTGCTAGAATAAATTAATGAAATTATCAACATGATTATGCTTTTACATTAAATTTTTTTTTTGCCTTCATCCCCCCCCGCCGCCCCCCATCCCCGACTCTCTGCTGCCCCTTCCTGGCCTCTGGTAACCACAATTCTTCTACATCATGAGACGCACTTTTGCAGCTCCTACATATGAATGAGAGCAGGCACTACTTGTCTTCAGAGAGCATTTGAATAGGGCTTTTTGTTTGTTTGTTGTTTTCTTGGTGCCTCATTTTTAAGTATGAAAGGAAAGTCAATGGTGACCAGACATTTGATAAAAGCTTCTAGTGTAAAAGGAGGATACCAAAATTAAAAAAGAGAATACAAAAAAACTGAGGAAAAAGATACAAGAGGATGAACAAAGTTGAGACTAAAATTAAAATGCAAAAACAAGAAAATAAAAGCATCTATAATTAATATACTTAGAAAGATACTGTAAGAAATACACCCCTAAAACAAGAAAAGGATTCCATATAAAAGTGTCAGAGAACAAAAAAGTGCTCTAAGAAACTAAAAATATTACACAAAAATTTAAGGTAATTCCACAGATATATTTATACAACCAACTTAATGGTTGATAAAAACTCCCAAAAAGTAGAACAAAAGATACAAAAATTGGTGAGGAAATATAAGAAAATTAAGGAATCAAGCTTGGAAATGCATATTCCCAGATAGAACAGATAAAGTGAAGGGTGTGAGGGGTAGAAGAAATTGCCAAAAAAATTGTTTTTAATCTACAATGTCAGGGATGACATAAACTAAAGATATCACTTCTGAAATCCTGAATAAAAAATATTAAAGGTCTGCAATTAAAGCTATACTTTGAAATTTCAGAATTTCAAACTCCTAAAATGGAAGTTACTATATGTTTTCAGAGAAAGGACATCACTGAAGTTCTCTATTCCAAGGAAAATAATTTAGAACCTGGAATTCTATACCTCGCCAAGCTATCACTAAGTTGGGAGGATAGAATAAAAACATTTTCAGACAGGAAATGTCTCAAAATTTTCTTTTCCTAGGAAACTCCTGGAAGATATGCTTATGAAAACGAAAGAGAAAACCAGAAATGGAAAAACGGAATACTAAAAATAAGGATCCAAAACAAATGAGAAGCAAAAGGGATTTCCAGGATTTTAGAGAAAGATAGTTTCAGGATGTTTGGTACACTTCAAACTTAGAAAGCAATGAATCAGAATTGAAGCCAGAAGCCTCTGAGTTCCAGAAACTGTACTTCTGCCAAGAAAATAAAACAGATATAATATCCAACATATTTGAATATATTCAGGGGGTATCATCAAAACTATTAGTGAATCTGGAGACATATTTGTGATTAATATAGAGATAACTAAGCCAAATTAAAATGAGGTAATAAGGGACCTCAGGACTTACTACTGTACTGGAAATAAGATGTGATTGTGTTATACATGGCTCAGCTGTGAATGATTGTTTCAAAATCCTAGTTGTCACACACATCTGTGTGAAGACCCCACCAAACAGGCTTTGTGTGAGTAATAAAGCTTTTTAATCACCTAGGTGCAGGCGGGCTGAGTCAGAAAAAGGAGTCAGCAAAGGGAGTTAGGGGTGGGGCAGTTTTATAGGATTTGGGTAGGTAGTGGAAAATTTCAGTTAAAGGGAGTTGTTCTCTTGCGGGCAGGGACAGGGGTCACAAGGTGCTCGGTGGGGAGCTCTGGATACTTATTGTCCAGGAGAAGGAATGTCACAAGGTAATGTCATCAGTTAAGGCAGGAACCGGCCATTTTCACTTCTTTTGTGGTTCTTCAGTTGCCTCAGGCCATCTGGATGTATATGTGCAGGCTTGGACTCAGAGGCCTGACACTAGTAATATAAACACATAATATTGATCTAACAAAAAATGTGATATAACTATATTGAAAGAAAAGAATAACTATATTGAAAAAATAGTGTATTATGAGTGAATGAGGTTGTGTTATGCATGCATGCATTTGTTTATGTGTGGGTGGTTGGGTGGGTGTATTGTTAAGTATTCAAAAGAATTGAAGTCTTATCCTGTCTAGTAGGCATTCAATGGAAAATATGTAAAGCTAAAAATTTTCAAGGAAAAGTATAACAACAGTATCTACAAATACAGAAGTAAAAATAAAAGAATAGCTAAAAAAGTTGAAAGGCGTTTCCTCAGGGGAAGAAGAATTGGGAGTGAATAGGATGGAGAAGAAAATTGCTATTTTTCAGTATAAGTTTGGAAGTACCATTTAACTTTTTAAAATTTATATTTGTACTTTACTGCAATAAAGAAAGGAAGAAAAAAAGAAAAGGAGTGAATCTACAAGTAGATAATGAGACATATTCATAAAAAGAAAAGGATTTATCTGGCAAGGGCAATTCATAGCACAGGAAAGAATAAGTGCCTAATTGAAGTGGAATGCCCCCACCACCTATTTGTTCACTTAAACTGGAGAATGGAAAAAAGAAACTTCACCAATCATAAATGTTAATACATTTAACAATTCCAACTGAGTGAAGCAAAAACCAGCATGAGGCCAAAGGTTAAGTGCATGATTATCTTTGCTTTGAGTTTTTACATGGTACTCCCACCAAGTTCAATGCCGAGTATGCTGTTACAGATGCAATTAAAATTATAATTCTCCTTAACCTACCTGGTGGGCTTAGGGATTGTTAGATGTATTAAGCCTGATTGAAAAAAACTGTGAGTAGATGCCTTTTTCTGACACATGGAAGATACAATCCAAGTCAGATCAATGATGTGACATTCAGGCTATGGAAGCCGAGACAGGTCAGAGCTGGAATAGCAGTAAGAAAGATAAATTGCCCCAAATCACAAGAAGCTGTAAAGCAGAAACACAAACAACCAAGCCTCTCATCATATATCAAACATTTCTCTGTTCTGAATCTTTAAAAAATGTGTTTCAAATGCCAGAAGGTGAATGTTCAGGACAGCCTGATTAAGAGACAGAAGCTATGCAAAGAATTAGATAATTCAACAAAATCACCTATGTTCTTTGCACTGTGCTAGGTTCTGTATGAAACACAGAGAGAATATAAGATATGGTTTCTGATTTCAAGGAGCATGCAATCTAGTTTTAGAGACACAATTAGCATAGAGGAAACTTAATGGATTTGGACACTCTTATAATGAATAATGGATAACCAAAATTAAAGGAAAACTTGAGGCAGTAGGTTCATCTGAGACCAGGAGGGTTTGAGAGCACCTTGGGCAACATAGCAAGATCCTATGTCTCTAAAAATAAAAAAAAAATTAGAGAGACATGGTGGCATATGCCTGAAGTCCCAGTGACTTGGCAGGCTGAGGTGGGAAGATCACTTATGCCCAGGTGTTTGAGGTTTCAGTGAGCCATGATCATGCCACTGCACTCCAGCCTGGGCAACAGAGCAAGTCCCCATCTTTAAAAACAGAAAGCGCAAACTTGTAAGACACCAAGCTCAGAGCAAAGGAATTAGGAATACAAGGATTTATTCAGAAAGTGGCCTTTAGTGAGGCCCTGAGGAATGGTAGGAATTTGGGCAGGTTACTGGAAGAGCTGTGAACAATTTGACTTTAGACTCTTGAGTTGAAAGCAATCACATTGTATTTGGGCTAGGAGGTGGGAAAGTCAAGGAAGTGGGCAGAATTGAGTATGTCATATTTCTTATCGATTTACTATAGATTCTGGGTGTATTTCCTTTCTTTGAGTTTTTTTTTTTTTATGGGAGGCAGTGTCCATATTAATTACCTAATACCCACCAGCTGTCACATAGTAAAAACTCTGTCAATATTTTCTTACTTGTACATTTATTTTATTGTAAAAGCGAGTTTAAAAAAAAAATCAAAGTCATCTGCCCAGCACAATTATTGCTCTTTGTAAATACACTCTTGAATACACTGTTGAATGGCTCATCTAGTAAAAAGTTGAGGGTCCAAAAAAGAGGAACACATTTGAAAGTGATTGATCATTACTTTTAAACAAAATGGGGGGAAACCAGCCATAAGCTGGGAATTTCTATTCTTCAAGGCCTAGGTATTTTCATTAGCCTGCACTGCCACTTCCTCTATGGCCTTTTGGAAACTATTCTTTAGAAGCTAGATCTTCAAGACAGCGGTAGGTGCCAAAGGGCATTATGGAATTCCCCAAATTCCTACTGCTTACCTTTGGGGATAGCTGGAAGAAATCATGGATATCCACAGAAGTAAATCATGGGTAGTTTTTACCTCAAGTTAATCAAAGAACGTGAATAAACAAAGAAGGATTCATCCTTCCCTTAGCCCATTTCAGTCCACATGTTCTTTGATCTATATGCTGCTGTTTAAACCATCTATCTTAGTTAAAAACAGGTTCCCACTAAAAAAAGACATTAATTTCCACTAATCTGATGCTAATCTATAATGTGGACTCACATTTCTGCCCACTGTCATGCCCACTTTTATAAGATATTTGCAAAGATTAGTCAAGTGACAAACAGAATGGATTCATATAGCTCTCCTATTGGCTAGAAAGAATTAGCACTGAAGAGAGGTATCCACATTCTCTCTTCCTTAATCAACTGGATAAACATATCTTGGATATATGGAGCACTTGCCTAGAATTTGTTGTTGTTCTTTTATTTTGACCTCCTCAAACTGTCTTTCGGGGGTGGACTTTTTCCTGTATCCTTGCCCAGGCAATGTTAGTAATCTAGTCTACACATAACCCTTCAAGGACTATTTAGGTTTACTGACCAGTTTAAGGTATATCCAGGGATATTAAATATTAGTAAGATTCAGGTTAGAACTCCTACTACAAAGGGGAGATTGCAGACAAGCAGTTTCTTTAAATGTGAACCTCCTATTCCTGGAATTCTTATGATTAGATGATTATTGTTTTAATTATTAAATTTTGAGGTACCAAGAAGATGATGAGACAGCATGGAAACAAGGTGTTTCTATAGATGCTAGCAGTGTCTGATCCATAGTAGGCAAAATTCAGCAATACAAACTATCTGAGCAAGATGACCATCAGAGGAAAGTAGCATTAAGCCAAGGAAGATAATTTACTGACAGAATTCCCAAACAGGAAGGATAAAGTAAACAGATCCCCATTTCTACCTTAGTGAAAGCTTAACAGGACTAGACCAGAGCAGGGTAAAGTCAATGTAAATGAAGAAGTATTAGAACTAATACAGACCTACCTCATTTTACTGCACTTCACTTTATTGAATGTCACAGATAATTTTTTTTTTTTTTTTTTTTTTACAAATTGAAGGTTTGTGGCAACCCTGTGTTGAGCAAGTCTATTGATGCCATTTTTTCCAACAGCATGTGCTCACTTCATAACTCTGTGTCCCATTTTGGTAATTTTCACAATATTTCAAATCTTTTCATTATTGTTGTGTCTGTTACAGTGATCTGTGATCTTTGATTTTACTATTATTATTTGGGGCATCATGAACCATGCTAACATAAGATGGTGAGCTTATTTGATAAAGGTGTGTGTTCTGAATTTTCCACTAATCAGTCATTTCCTCACCTCTGTCCCTCTCCTTGGGACTCCGTATTCCTTGAAATACAACAATATTGAAATCAGGCCAATTAATAACCATACAGTGGCGTCTAAGTTTCAAGTGGCAGGAAGAGTTGCACATCTCTCACTTTAAATCAAAAGCTGGAAAAGATTAAGCTCACTGAGGAAGCCATGTTGAAAGCCGAGAGAGAACTCTTTTGCCAGACAGTTAGCCAAGTTGTGAATGCAAAAGAAAACCTCTTAAAGGAGATTAAAAGTACTACTCCAGTCAACCCACAAAAGATAAGAAAGCAAAAGTCTTTATTGCTGATATGGAGAAAGTCTTAGTGATCTGCACAGGAGATAAAACTAGCCATAGCATTCCCTTGAGCCAAAGCCCAACCTGAAAGCAAAGCCCTAACTCTCCTAATTCTGTGAAGGCTGAGAGGTGAGCAAGCACAGAATAAAAGTTTAAAGCTAGAAGAGGTTGATTCAGGAGGTTTAAGAAGAGAAGCCATCTTCATAACATAAAAAAATGCAAGGTGAAGCAGCAAGTGCTGATGTAGAAGCTGCAGCAAGTTATCCAGAAGATTAGCAAAGATCATTAATGGAAGGGGCTACCCTAACAACAGATTTTCAATGCAGATCAAAAAGCCCTCTGTTGGAAGAAGATGTCATCTATAACTTTCAAACTAGAGAGAAGTCAATGTCTGGTTTCAAAGTTTCATAGGACAGGCTGACACACTTGTTTGTACCTTATAAATGGAACAACAATGCCTCAATGACAGCACGTCTGTTTATAGCATAGTTAACTGAATATTTAAAGCCCACTGTTGAGAACTACTGGTCAGAAAAAATAGATTCCTTTCAAAATATTACTACTCATTGACAATGCATCTAGTCACCCAAGAGCTCTGATAGTTTTTATGCCAGCTAACAAAACATCCATTCTGCAGCCCATGGATCAAGGAGTAATTTTGACTTTCAAGTCCTCTTATTTAAAAAATATTTTTTTTTTTGTAGTGCTATAGCTGCCAGATAGTGATTCCTCTGGTGGATCTGGCCAAAGTAAATTGAAGACATCTGGAAAGGATTCACCATTCTAGATGCCATAAAGAACATTTGTGATTCTTGGGAGGAGCTCAAAATATCAAGCGTAACAGGGGTTTGGAAGAAATTGATTCTAATCCTGGTGGTGACTCAGAGGGCTTCAAGACTTCAGTGGAAGAAGTAGCTGCAGATGTGGTAGAAATAGCAAAGGAACTAGAACTACAAGTGAAGCCTGAAGATGTGACTGAATCACTGCAATCTCATGATAAAATTTGAATGGCTGAAGAGATGCTTTTTATGGATGAGCAAAGACAGTGGTTTCTTAAGCTGGAATCTATTCCTGTGAACATTGTTAAAAAGACAACAAATGATTTAGAATATTGCATAAACTTATTTGATAAAGTGGCTGCAGAGCTTTAAAGGACTGACTCCAATTTTTAATGAAGTTCTACTCTGGGTAAAATGCTATCAAATAGCTTCATATGCTACAAAGATATCTTTCATGAAAAGACAACTCAATCAATGTGGCAAACTTCACTGTTATCTTATTTTAAGAAATTTCCACCCGAGTGTGGTAGCTTATGCCTGTAATCCCAGCACTTTGGGAGGTTGAGGCGGGTGGATCATGAGGTCAGGTGTTCGAGACCAGCCTGGACAATATGGTGAAACCCCGTCTCTACTAAAGATACAAAAATTAGCTGAGCATGGTGGCGCTCGCCTGTAATCCCAGCTACACGGGAGGCTGAGACAGGAGAATCACTTGAACCCAGGAGGTGGAGGTTTCAGTGACCCAAGGTCATACCATTGCACTCCAGCCTGGGCAACAAAGCGAGATTCCGTCTGGAAAAAAAAAAAAAAAGAAAGAAAAGAAATTTCCACAGCCAACACAACCTTCAATGACCACCAATCTGCTCAGCCAGCAGCCATTAACACTGTGGCAAGACCCTCCACCAGCAAAAAGATTGTGACTCACTGAAGGACCAGATAATCATTAACATTTTTAAAAAATGTATTTTTAAATTATGATATATGTGGCTTTTAAAAACAGAATGCTATTGCTCACTGAATAGACTACTGTATAGTATAAACATAATTTTTCTATGTATCAGGAAACAAAAACATTTGTGTGACTCGCTTTATTGTGTTATTTGTTTTTTAGTGGTGCTTTGGAGCCAAATCTGAAATATCTCCAAGGTATACCTGAAAATGAATTCAGCAAAGTTGCAGGATTAGAGCTAATAAATGCATTCGGTAAAATTGCAGGATACAAAACCAACATACAAAACCCAGGAGCATTTCTATACTCTAACAATTAACTCTCTGAAATAGAAATTTTTAAAAAATCTCATTTACCCTAGCTATAGAAAAAAATAGGCATACAAAAAATAGAATGAATAAGACCTACTATTTGATAGCCCAACAGGATAACTACAGTTGATAATAACTTAATTGTACATTTTAAAATAACTAAAAGAGTATAATTGGATTATTTGTAACACAAAGGATAAATGCCTGAGAGGATGGATAGCTCATTTTCCATGTGATTATTACTCATTGCATGCCTGTATCAAAACATTTCATTTACCTATAAATATGTTCACCTACTACCCATAAAAACAAAAAATTAAAAACAAAGTTTCAAAAGAAGTAGGAATAAATTTAATCAAGGAGGTGAAAGTTCTGTACACTGAAAACTATAAAACATTGATAAAGGAAATTGAAGAAAATATAAATACATGGAAAGATATTCTGCATTCATTGATTGGAAAAATATTATTACATGTCTGTACTATAGTATAAGATTCTGTACTATACCATACTCAAAAGAACTACAGATTCAATGTAAATTCCAATCAAAATTCCAATTGTATTTTCACGGAAATAGAAAAAAATCCTAAAATTTTTTTGGAAATACAAAGGCTCCAAATAGCCAAATCAATCTTGAGCAAAAGGAACAAAAGTAGAGGCATCACATTACCTGATTTCAGAATATACTACAAAGCTATAGTAATCAAAACAAATGGGTACTGGCATAAGACAGACACATAGATCAATGAGCAGAATAAATATCCCAGAAATAAATCCACACTGTAGTTAACTCATTTGGACAAAGATGCCAAAAATACAAAATGGGCAAAGGACAGTCTCTTCAATAAATTGTTAGCACAACTGGATATCCTCCTGCAGAAAAATGAAATTGGTCCCTTATTTTACCCTATATACAAAAATCAAGTCAATATAAATTAAAGACATATGTTAAAAACTGATACTGTAACACCACTAGAAGAAAACATACAGAAAGAGCCTCATAATATTGGTCTGGGCAATGATATTTTTATATGACCCCAAAACCAAGGGCAAAAAAAAATGAAAACAAATGGGATCATATGAAACTAAAAAGCTTCTGAACAACAATAAAAATAATCAGAGTTAAGACAGAAACCATGGATTGGGAGAAAATATTTGCAAACCACATATCTGACAAAAGACTAATATGCAGACTATATAAGAATCTCAAACAACTCAAGAGCAAGAAAACAACCTGATTAAAAAGTGGGCAAATAACATGAACAGACATTTCTATGAATGGCCAATAAGTATTTAAAAAACATGCTCAACATCACTAATCACGAGAGAAATGCAAATTAAAACCAGAATGAGATATCATTTTATGTCTATTAGGATGGCTATTATGAAAGAAAAAAAAAACAAGAGATAAAAACTGTTGGTGCAAGTGTGGAAAGAAGATAACACTGGTATACTGTTGGTGGGAATGTAAATTAGTACAACAATTATGGAAAACAGTATGGAGGTTTTTCAAAAAGTTACCATATGATCATAATTTACCATATGATCCAGCAACACTATTACTGGGTATACATCCAAATGAAATGAAAGCACTGTGTGGAAGTCCTAAGTGTACTTCTACATTCATTGCAGCATTATTCAGAATAACCAAGATAAACAATCAGCCTAAGTGTACATCAAATTGATGAATGGATAAATAAAATGTGGTATAAATACAAAATAGCATACTCTTCAGCCTTAAAAAGAAGGAAATTCTTTTATTTGTGGCACTGATTAACATAGAGGACATTATGTTAAGTGAAATAAGCCAGGCACAAAAAGACAAATACTACATAATTTCACTTATATGTAGAATCTAAAAACGAGGAATTCATAGAAGCAGAGAGTAGAATGGTCGTTAATGGGGTCTAAGGAAAGGGAGAGATGGGGAGATATTAGTCAAAGGATACAAAATTTAATTTAGACAGGGGGAATAAGTTTGGGAGATTTATTGTATCCCATGGTGACTGTAATTAATAACAATGCAATGTATTCTTGAAAATTGCTAAGAGTAGATTTTAAGAGTTTTCACCACAAAAACAAAAGGTTAGGTATGTGGGGCAGTGTGTATATTAATTAGCTTGACTTATCCATTCCACAAATATATATGAAAACATTGGCTGGATGCGGTGGCTCATGCCTGTAATCCCAGCACTTCAGGAGGCCGAGGTGGGTGGATCACTTGACGTCAGGAGTTCAAGACCAGCCTGGCCAACATGGTGAAACCCCATCTCTATTAAAATAAAAAACCAAAATTAACTGGGCATGGTGGCACACACCTGTAATCCCAGGTACTCGGAAGGCTGAGGCAGGAGAATCACTTGAACACAGGAGGTGGAGGTTGCTGTGACCCGATTGTACCACTGCCCTCCAGCCTAGGCAACAGAGGGAGACTCCGTTTCAAAAAAAAAAAAAAAAAAATCTATCTATCTATCTATCTATCTATACACACACACACACACACACAGTTTTGTCAATTAAAGAATAGAAAATAGTATTGAGATTCTAGAGTGTGGGTTTGGAGGTAGATGGTCACCTGAGCACACCTAAATTGTGTTTTTTAGGTTTTGTAGAGCAAATCTAATGAGAAGTCCCATGAAGATTACAGGAAGGAATGAACAAAGTAGGGAATCAAGACTAAACTCAGAAAGTTCGGTGGAGATTTTTAGGCCTAAACAGCATTTTTAGTGGGGAGGTTGCTCATGGAAATGGGTAGGGGTAACTAGAATTATTTGTTACAAGACCCTGGGTTTTGGAATTGGAAAAATTCTGGAATTTGGCATTGGATCTGAGTTCCATTCCATCCCACTTATTAAGATGTATGACCTTAAGCACATTGCTTAACACTTGTCTAAAACTCACAATTCTCTTCTGTAATTTGGGCAAAATAAAAGTACACACCTCCTTGAAAGTTTGTTTTGTTTAAAGACTAAATAAGCAAATGTATTAAAGGTGCCTAACACAATTACTCGCATATAATAAATGTTCGATAAATGTTAGCTGTTGTTATACTCGTTATTAGTGGGCCTAGAATATACCCAGGAATTACACCACAGATGTCTTTGTGCCTCTTAGTGGCTTCCTAAGTAAAATCCAAAGAGATTTTTATATCTAGGATGTACAGGCAGAGCTTCCTAACAATTATATTTCTAATAATGTAGAAGAAAGTATAATTTTGGGGTAAAGGGCTAACACTGGGAACTAATACTAAGACTTTTATTGTATACAAACTTAATTGTTCCAAGCACAGTTTTTGGCTAAAAGACAAACAGCCTGGATTCTTATCACACCTATGAACCCTATCATCCACATAATCTTGTGAAATCTACTTATTGTCCTGGTACCTCAATGTCTGTATCAGCATAATGTGAGTATCAAAAATTCTACACTGCCTATGGGCTGTTTGAAGGATTTAACATCAACAACGTATCTCTAAATGGCCAGAGAACAGCAAGTACTATGATGGTTACACAAAAAATATTAACCTTTATGTAACATCTACTATATATTAGACAGTGTTAAAACATTTATTAATAGATACATCATTGGTATGATGATCATCACTGATGTAACAATGATGAATGTTCTTTCCCTTTTAGAAAACTAAAAGAGGATTTAAGAAGGGCCCCAATAATTAAAATACAGTTTTTTTTTGTTTTTTTTTTTTGAGACAGAGTCTCACTCTGTCACCAGGCTGGAGTGCAGTGGCGCAATCTCGGCTCACTGCAACCTCTACCTCCTGGGTTCAAGCGATTCTCCTGTCTCAGTCTCCCAAGTAGCTGGGACTACAGACGTGCACCACCACGCCCAGCTAATTTTTGTATTTTTAGTAGACATGGGGTTTCACCATATTGGCCAGGATGGTCTCGATCTCCTGACCTCGTGATCCGCCTGCCTCAGCCTCCCAAAGTGCTGGGATTACAGGCATGAGCTACGGTGCCTGGTCTAGAATATAGTTTTAAAAGCATGAACTCTGAAGCCAGCCTACATGGATTAACAACTTTGCGCTATCACTTACTAGCTCTGGAGCCTTGGACTAGTTTCTTAACCTCACTATGCCTTGAATTTATCATATTTTAAATGAAGACAGTAATAATCTAAGGCTTTCTGGGGTTCAGTTAATACATGTAAACGTGCTTAGAACAGTTCCTGACACAGTTATGGGCCAGGAAATTATCGTAATAATGACTATATGACATCACCACCTTCCAAAGATAATTTAATGGGAAAATTGGCACAGTTACCACCTTAAAGGTATAGAAGAAGATAGACATAGTAATTAGATTACATGTATATGAAACAGCCTGGTGCCTGTCATATTAGTCAATGTTAGTGTTGCTAATATTATTATTACTATTACTGTTATCACTGAGGTAGAGCTAGAAATTGAAGTCACTATGAATCGCTTCCAGCAGAAGATAACTGACAACGACATAAAGCACCAAAGGAGTCAATGTTTTAAGTGTACATCCTGCAGTTTTGTCCTAGATGTTGTATTTACTTAACAAATATTTACAGACTCAATCAATAAATAAGTGAATAAATGAATTTCCACATGACCCATCTTTCTGGATAAGCTTATGGAATTTGCAGCAGATGCTATTTTTTTCATTTCTTTCTTTTCTTTTTAGAGACAGGATCTCATTCTATCACCCAGGCTGGAGTGCTGTGGTGCAATTATGGCTCACTGCAGCGTCAAACACCTACGCTCAAGCGATTCTCCTGCCTTGGCCTCCCAAGTAGCTAGGATTACGGGCTTGCATGACCACACCCAGCTAATTATTTTATTTTTTACTTTTTGTAGAGACAAGGATCTCACTATGTTAACCAGGCTGCTCTCGAATTCCTGGGTTTAAGCAATCCTCCCACCTTGGCCTCCCAAAGAGCTGTGGTTACAGACGTGAGCTACTGCACATGGCCTGCAAATACGATTTCTATCAAACTTAGAAGTCAGCCCTCTCAACAGCCTGCCTGGCATCTTTACACTTTACCAAATATAAAGACAGAAAACCCAGATACTTTTCTTACTCCATCAATGATTTCAGTTCCTGTCTACACTAGCTCTCCTCACACTATTTTATTTTAAATTTCCTAAACAATGTTTGTATCCTAGTTCTCTATTGTAACACGCATTTAACTGCTTAGTTCCATATTATATTGGGATGTTTAGAGGATAGACTTTTCTATTAAGAAGCAATTGTTATTATTAAAGTATTTGGTGAGGGACTTATATATTCCTATCAATTTGCCTAGAAAGGGACTGATAGAAGGAGTCCAAACACAATGAAGAATTTGGTAATGCTTTTATAAAATGTTATTTTGTATGTAATTTAACATTTTAAAATAGCAAAATTTAGTCTAAATAAGGGTGTTAATACTAACAACGTATCACACCTTGATCTAGTTCTTCAATGGAAAGTAATCACTGTACCATATTTAGCAAACAAAGAGCCCTATCCATTGGGTACCAATGAGAACATTTACAATGGGCCTTAGAAGTCTTTTCAATACAGTGTCTTCGGTAGCCACCTCTACTCACTAGAACTTAGTCTTTGGATAAAAACTATTTAATATTTCTGGCCAAAGAAAAAAATAAAACTGGTTTAAAAAATATATTGTCTGGCCGGGCATGGTGGCTCACGCCTGTAATCCCAGCACTTTGGGAAGCCAAGGCGGGTGGATCACAAGGTCAGGAGATCGAGACCATCCTGGCTAACATGGTGAAACCCCATCTCTACTAAAGATACAAAAAATTAGCCAGGCGTGGTGGCAGGCGCCTGTAGTCCCAGCTACTCGGGAGGCTGAGGCAGGAGAATGGCGTGAACCCTGGAGGTGGAGCTTGCAGTGAGCCGAGATCGCGTCACTGCACTCCAGCCTGGGCAACAAAGTGAGACTCCATCTCAAAAAAAAAAAAAATATATATATATATATATATATATATGCATATATATTTGACTTACATACACAGCCATGTAACATACACAAGTAAGTTAATTCCTCTTTATTAAAAGAAATGTCTACTCCAGGTGAGACCCCATGGCCCCAGGGTCCAGGTCCATCCCAGTAGACTTCAGTGCCAGATTGGTCAATATGAATGCAGACTCCAGGACTACCCCTGCAGACCAAGGTTTCAGACAGCTCCCACAGCACCAGGCCTGCCTCCAGGCCCACCCCTGAGCCAAACCAGCTGATACAGCCTGAGGCTTCAGGTCAGCATTCATACACTAAACCTTCAGACTGGCCCCCATGGACCCAGGCTCCAAGCCTGCTCCAGAACCAGACTAGCTTCAAGTTCCAGGCAGGTTCTCATGGTGCTATGGTCCAGGACCCAGGCCCACCCCTGAAGACTCAGGATCTAGGCCCACCTCAGTGCCAGACCAGCCCCCACAGACTCACACTCCAGAGTCATACCCATTGACCTGGTTGCCAGGCCCATCCCAGCACCTGGCTGGCCCTCATGGACCCACCCCAGCAGATCCATGCTTCAGACCTGCCCCAGTGGACCCAGGCTGAAGGCCCAAGCCTGCAAACCCAGGCACCAGACGTGCCCACCTGTTGACTGAGGCTTCATGTTAAGCTACACAAGGACACCAGCAGGGAACCAGCAGGGACACCTGTGGAACATGATATATGGCCTTCCTAGAATGTCTGAAAGGGCTGACTGATGAAGGGCTTTTCCTGCCACAGCCAGTCTGTAAAAACTGAAATAAATGCCTATGTTTTCAAGTATGCAAACATTAATGCATAGGCACAGGATCACAAATAATTAGGGAAGCAAGACACCATCAAAAGAACAAAATAAAGCACAAGTACCTGAACCTAAAGAAAGAGAGATTTATGAACTCACTGACAAAGAATTAAAAATAATTGTCTTAAAGAAGCTCAATGAGCTATAAGAAAAACAGACAACTAATTGATATCAGGAAAATAATATATCAGCAAAAGAAGAAGTTTAACAAAAAGATAAAAACTATAAAAAAGAGCTGAATGAATATTCTGGAACTGAAGAACACAATTACTAAACCAAAAAATCCCCTGGAGAGCTTTAACAGAAGATTCAGTCAAGCAGAAGTCTCAATGGTCTCAAAGACAGGCTATTTGAAATTGCCCCATCAGATGAACAAAAAGAAAAAAGAGGCTGAGTGTAGTGGCTCACATCTCTAATCTCATCACTTTGGAAGGTCAAGGCAGGAGGATCACTTGATGTCAGGACTTCGAGACCAGCTGGGAGAAAAAAGAGAAACCCTGTCTCTACTAAAAGCTAAGGTGGGAGGATTGCTTGAGCCCAGGAGTTTGAGGCTACAGTAAGCTAGCTAGGATCATGCCACTGTACTGCAGCCTGGGTGACAGATAAAGACCTTGTCCCTTAAAAAAAAATAAAAAGGAAAAAAGTGAAGAAAGTCTACAGAAATTATGAGACACCATTAAGTGAACTAATTTATGTAATATGGAAATTCCAGAAGGAGCAGAGAAAGGGCAAAAAAGCTTATTCAAAGAAATGATGAGAGAAAACTTCCCAAATCTGGAGAGGGACATAAATATCCAGATCCATGAATCTCAAAGAACCCCAAATAGAATAAATATAAAGAGATCTTGGCTGATGCACATTGTAATTCAATTCTCAAAAATCAAAGAGAAAGAGAGACTATTGAAACCATCAAGAGAAAAGCAACTCATTATGTACAAGGAAATTTCTATTACTATTAGCAGGTTTCTCAGCAGAAACTTTGCAGTCCAGGAGATGGGATGATACACTTAAAGTGCTGAAAAAAAAATAATAATACTATGCCTGGAAAGATTGTCCTTCAGAAATGAAGGAAAGATAAGGGCTTTCACAGACAAGAGCTGTGGGATGTCATAACCATTACATGGATTATAAGACCTGCATTATAAGAAATGCTAAAGGACATTCTTGAAGCTGAAATAAAAGGACACTACTTAATAACATGAAAACATATAAAAGTATAAAACTCACTGGTAAAGGTAAGTATCTAGTGAAATTCAGAATATTATAATATTATAATGGTGGTGTGTAAATCATGTACATCTTTAAGTTTTTAAAAATTTTAAGTTCCAGAATACACATGCAGAACGTGCAGGTTTGTTACATAGGCATATATGTGCCATTGTGGTTTGCTGAACCTAACAACCCATTATCTAGGTTTTAATCCCCATATGTATTAGGTATTTGTCCTAATGCTCTCCCTTCCCCTTGCCCCCCATCCCCTAAAAGGGCTCAGTGTATGTTGTTCCCCTCTGTGTCCACGTGTTCTCATTGTTCAATTCCCATTTATGAGTGAGAACAATCATGTATATCTTTAGTATGAAGGTTAAAAGGCAAAACTATCAAAAATATTAATGACTATAATAATCATCAAAGAATACACAACATTAAAAGATATAAACTGAAATCAAAAATATAAAATATGGAGGTATATGGAGTAAAACTGTGGAGTTTTTTAATGCAATCAAAGTTAAGCTGCTATAAGTTTAAAGTGGTTTGTTATAACTATAGGATATGTTATGTGACCCTCACATTAACCAAAAAAAAAAAAAAAAAAAAAAAAAAAAGAAACCTATAGTAGATACACAAAAAATAAAGACACAGGAATCAAAGTATGCCTGACATGGTTTGGCTCTGTGTCCCCACTCAAATCTCATATTGAATTGTAATCCCCAGTGTTGGAGGAGGAACCTGGTGGGAGGTGATTGGATCATGGGGACAGATTACCCCTTTGCTGTTCCCATGATACTGAGTGAGTTCTCACAAGATCTGGTTGTTTGAAAGTGTGTAGTAATTACCCCTTTGCTCGCTCTCTCTTCTGCTGGCCATGTGAAGATGTGCCTGCTTCCCCTTCTGCCATTGTTGTAATTTTCCTGAGGCCTCTCCAGAAGCAGAAGCCTGTACAACCCACAGAACTATGAGCCAATTAAACCTCTTTTCTTTATAAATTACCTAATCTCAGGTATGTCTTTATAGTAGTGTGAGAACAGACTAATTATCATATCACAAAGACAGCAAGAATGAAAAATGGAACAAAGGAAATTATTTATTCAAAAAATTATCATACCACAAAGAAAGACAGCAAGAATGGAAAAATGGAACAAAGGAACTACAGAACAGTCAGAAAACAGCAAATGGAATAATTTCATTATTTAAAATAACCAAAATGCAATCAACAAAATGGTAGTAGTAATTCTTTGGTTATCAGTAATTACTTTAAATGTAAATGGATTAAATTATACAATCAAAACACAGAGTGGCTAAAAAAAATTCCCACTATCTATTGACTATAAGTGACTCACTTTAATGACGTTATAGGTTGAAAGTAAAGGGATGAAAAAGATATTCCATGCTAATGGTAACTAAAAGAGAGCACAGGTCTCTTATATTCTTATATTGGATAAAAAGAGACTTTAAAACTGTAAAAGAGATAAAGAAGGTCATTATCTAATGATAAAGGGGTAAATTCATTGAGAAGATACAACAATTGTAAATATATATACACCAACATTAGGCCATCTGAATATATAAGACAAATATTAATACATTTGAAAGGAAAGACTGACTGCAATACATTAATAACAGGTAGCATCACTACAAAACTTCCAACAATGGAAATATAATCTAGAAAGAAAATTAATAAGGAAATTTTGAATTTGAACTACATTATGGACACAATAGCCTAATCAACATATAAAAAACATTCCATCCAACAATAGAAAAATACACTATTTTTTCAAGCACACATGGGATATTCTCCATGATAGATCATATCATGTCTTAACAAATTTAAGAAGACTAGATTCATATCAAGTATATATTCTGATCAAAATGGTATGAGACTCAAAATCAGTAACAAGAGAAAAATTGGAAAATTCACAAATATATGGAAATTAAAGAGCATGCTTCCAAATATACAAGTCAAAAAAAAAGTTAAAAGGAAAATTTAAAAATATTTTGAGATGAATGAAAATGGAAATACATCATACCAAAGCATATAGAATGCAGCAAAAGCAGTTCTAAGAGTAAAGTTTATAGCAACAAATGCCTACATCAAAAAAGAAAAAAAAGTCTCAAATAAGTGACATAACATTACACCCAAAGGATCCTGAAAAAGAACAAGCTAAGCCCAATGTTAGTAGAGGGAAGGAAATAATAAAGATCAGAGAAGATATACATAAAATAGAGACTAGAAAAATAATAGAAATTTTCAATGAAATTAGTTTCAGTGCACTAGACTTCAATGAAACTAGTTAGATTTCTGAAAAGATAAACAAAATTGACAAAACTTTAGCTTAACAAAAAAAAGAGATAAGACTCATATAAATCAAATAAGAAATGAAAGAGGAAACATTACAAATAATAGTGTGAAAACATAACAGATCATAAGAAACTATGAACAGTCATATGCCAACAAATTGAATAAACTAGAAGAAATAAATTGCTAGAAACATATATTCTACCAAGACTGAATCCTGAAAAAATAGAAAATCTGAACAGACCAGCAATAAGTGAGCAAACTGACTCAGTAATAGTATAAAGACTACCATCAAAAAAAGAAAGCCCAGGATCTTATGTCTTCACTGCTGAATTCTATAAACATTTAAAGAATTAATGCCAATTTTCTTCAAACTCTTCCAAAATATTGAAAAGGAAGGAATCCTTCCAAACTCATTTTACAAAGCCAGCATTACCCTGACATCAAAGTGAGACAAGAATATAATAAGAAAATTTTAAGCCAGTATTCTGATGTACACAGATGTAAAAATCCTCAACAAAATACTAGCAAACCAAATTCAACATTTAAAGGATCAGTAGCCACAGGCAAGTGGGATAATCATTAAAAGGATTATTCACCATAAGCAAGTGGGATTTATTTGGGAGATGCAAGGATTATTCAGCCTATGCAAATCAATAAGTACGTTATACTGCAGTAACAGAATGAAGAAAAAAAGATAATTTCAACAGACACAGAAAAAGCATTTGACAACATTTAATGTCCTTTCATGATTAAAAAAACTCAACAACTTAAGTATTAAAGGATGTACCTCTACACAATAAACACCATATATGACAAATCCACAGCTAACATCATATTCCATGGTGAAAAGTTAAAAGCTTTTCTGCTAAGATCAGGTACAAGACAAAAGTACTCATTTTTGCCACTTACATGCACCATAGTACTGGAAGTCCTTGCCACAACAATTAGGTAAGAGAAATAAGTAAAAGATATCTAGTCAAAAAGCAAGAAGTTAAACTGTCTCTGTTTGCAGATGACATAACTTTACACACTATGGAAAACCCTAGAGACTCCACCAAAAAAAACTATTTAAACATAAATTCAGTAAAGTTGCTGATTCAAAATCAACATACAAAAATCAGTAGTATTTCTATATAGCAATAATAAACTCTCTGAAAAAGAAATCATGAAAACAATTTTATTTACAATATCTACCAAAAAAAATACTTAGGAATGCATTTAACCAAGGATATGAAAGATCTGTACACTGAAAACTAAAAAAATATTGATTAAAAAATAGAAGAAAACACAAATACTTGGAAACATACCCTGTGCTCACGAATTGGAAGAATTAATATTATTAAAATGTCTATACTCCCCAAGAGTATATACAGATTCATTGTGGTCTCTATTAAAATTCCAATGACATTGTTCACAGAAATAGGAAAAATGATTCAAAATGTAGTATGGAATCACAAAAGACCTGAAATAGCTAAAGCAATCTTGAACAATAGAACAAAGATACAGTTGAACCTATAGAGATATAGAGTAGAATGATGATTACTAGAATCTAGGAAGGGTAGTAAGAGGTGGGTGGAGGGGTGCGGGGATGGTTAAAGTGTACAAAACTATAGTTAGATGAAATGATAAGAGTTGGTCAATAAGACTCTAGTCACAAAAGGGTGACTAGAGTCAATGATAACTTATTGTACATTTTAAAATAACTAGAAGAGTATAATTGAATCGTTTGTAACACAAAAAAAGGATAGATGCTTGAAGTGATGGACACCCCATTTACCCTGATGTGATTGTTATACATTGTATGCCTGTATCAAAATACCTCATGTAGTCCATAAATACTTACTATATACCCATAAAAATTTAAAATGTTTTTTAAAAAAGTAGAGGCATCACATGACCTGGTTTCATAATACACTATAAAGTTATAGTAATCAAAACAGATTGGTGCTGGCATAAAGATAGACACAGACGAATGGAATGGAACAGAGACATCAGAAATAAATACATACATATAGAGTCAATTGATTTTTTTACAAAGACGCTGACAACACACAATTGGGACAGGACGACCTCTTTAATAAATGGTGTTGAGACAATGATATCTACATCCAGAAGAATGAAATTGTACCCTTTTCTCACACCACATACGAAAATCAATTCAAAATGGATTAAAGGCTTATTAAGACTTGCCACTGTAACATCACTAGAAGAAAACAGAGGAAAAGCTACATGACAAAGGTCTAGGGAATGACTTTTTTGGGGGGGGATATGACTCCAAAATCATAGGCAACAAAAGAAAAAATTGACAAATGAGCTTATCTCATTGTTAAGATTCTGCACAGCAGTGAGAGAAAAGATTTGCAGACTATACATCTGAAAAGTGATTAATATCCAAAACATATAAGGAACTCAACTTAATAGCAATAAAACAAATAACCTGATTTTAAAACTGGGCAAAGGGCTTGAACAGACATTTCTCAAAGGAAGATATACAAATGGCCAAAAGGTAAATGAAAAAAATGCACAATACAACTAATCATCAGGAAAATACAAATTAAAACCACAACGAGATGTCACCTCATACCTGTTAGAATGGCTATTATCAAAAAGATGAAAAATAGCAAGTGTTAATGAAGATGTGGAGAGGAGGGAACACCTGCACACCATTGGTGTGAATGTGAATTAGTACAGCTGTTATGGAAAACACTACTGAGTTTTCTCAAGAAGCTAAAAATAGAACTACTTTATAATCCAGCAATCCTATTACTGAGTATACATCCAAGTGAAATGAAAGGATTATTGTAGAGATATCTACACTCCGATGTTCACTGCAAGATTATTCACAATACCTAAGATTGGAATATCTAAGTGCCTATCAACAGATGAATGGAAAAAGAAAGTGTGGTATGTATTATATATACAATAGAATACCAATCAGCCTTAAAAAATGAGAGAAATCTTGGTGTTTGTGACACTATGGCTGAACCTGCAGGATGTTAAGTGAAATAAGCCAGGAACAGAAAGAAATATGCACAGTCTCACTTAGGATGTGGAATCTAAAAAAGTCAAACTCACAGAAGCAGACAGTAGAATAGTGGTACCAGGAGCTGGGGGAGGGGGTTGGAGAGAGACCTGGCTTAGGGAGATGTTGGTCAAAAGATAAAACATTTCAATTAGGCAGAATATGTTCAATGACCCATTGTACATCAATGTGGACATAGTTAGTACAATGTATTGTATACTTGAAAATGCTAACAGAGTAGACTTTAAGTGTTTTCAACACAAAAGAATGGTAAATATGTGGGATTATGCATATGTTAATTAACCTGATTTAACCGTTCCACAATGTATACATATTTCAATGTATCAAATTCTACACCATAAATATACACAATTATTATTTGTCAATTAAAAATAAATTAATAGAGGAAAAATAAGTGCTAAGGAACTTTTAATTATAGTTGTCTCTGTGGAGGCGAATTGAGGATTCAAACATGATAGGGTATTTTATTTTTTAGTACATACTTTCTCTTATGATTTGGTATGTTTAACATGAATGATGTCCTACATTATTTTTCCATCTTAAAAGATAATTAAAAGAATTTGATGAGTACATAAATGTAACCTAAAGAGTTTAACGGATAAATAGTACAGCAGTCATTTTATTCCTAATTACATTCTTAACATTTTTACTTCTAAGCAACGATTCATGTTTCTGTTTATGCTCAAAAAGAACAAAAATTCCTGCAAATAGTGCCTCTAAGATGAAATATCATCTCTTCCAAATCAGTATACCTAAGAGTGAGGCAAAGCCTCTTATAAATCATAAAGTGCTGTGCCAATGTATGGCATTGCTTTTATTCAATAAGGGACACTAAAATCATTGAGCTCACATGATTTTCAGAATAATGGTGCAAAGTAGGTAGAGTAGATGATTCAATTTTCAGAATTTCAAGTCAACTGGGCTTCAGAATTCAAACACAGTCTCTTAGCAATGACACCCTGCACAGCTCTTTAGAGTCTAAATTGTCTAAGCCTGTATGTGGTGTTTTAAACTGTAGCAAGCTACCCAGATCCTCTTTATATCATTACTGTTCTATAAGAAATTACAGCTTCTCAGTCAATAAGAAAACTGCCAATACCAGAAAGTAAAGTGCCTAAGATTTTTTTTTTAAAGAATGCACTATATGTAATAACTGATAATGGAAAGAGAAATCCTACTGACCTCTTGTAACGGAATCATTTACACAGTACATTGATTTTAGAGTTTTTTTGGATTCCTTTCCAATAAAAAAAAAAGTTATTCTTCTGTTATACATGGTTGATGTTGCCTAAAATCTGATTTCCTAAGTAGGAGATTATCCAGATTATTATTTAATTTCAGCTTTCATTTCAGATACATGGAGTACACATGCAGATTTGTTACATGGGACTACTGTGTGATGCTGAGGTTTGAGGTATGAATCCCATCATCCAGGTAGTGAGCATAGGACCCAATAGGTAGTTTTTCAACCCAATTCTCCCTCCCTCCCATCCCCATAATGGTCTATGCTGCTTACTGTTCCCATGTTTATGTCATGTGCTAAATGTTTAGCTCCCACTTATAAGTGAGAACATGCAGAATTTGTTTTTTTTTCTGTGTTAATTTCCTTAGGATTATGGCCTCCAGCTCCATTCGTGTTGCTGCAAAGGATACAATTTCATTATTTTTTATGGCTGCATAGTATCCAATGGTATGTACATACCACATTTTCTTTATCCAATCTACCACTGATGGACACCTGGGTTGATTCCATGTTTTTGCTATTGTGAATAGCACAATGATGAAAATATGAGTGCATGTGTCTTTTTGATGGAACGATTTATTTTCCTTTGGCTGTATACCCAGCAATGGGATTGCTGGATCAAATGATAGTTTTATTTCAAGTTCTTTGAAAAATTTCCAGACTGCTTTCCACAGTGGCTGGCTGAATTAATTTACATTCCTACCAACAGTGTATAAACGTGTCCTATTTTCTGCAGCCTGGCCAGCATCTGTTGTTTTTTGACTTTTTAATAATAGCCATTCTGAGTGGTGTGAGGTGATATCTCACGGTGGTTTTGATTTGCATTTATCTGATGATTCATAATGCTGAGCATTTTTTCATGTTCGTTGGCTGCATGTATGTCTTCTTTTTTAAGAAGTGTCTGTTCATGTCCTTTGCCTATGTTTTAATGGGGTTGTTTTTTGCTTGTTGATTGGTTACTTATAGATTCCGGATATTAGGATTTTGTTGGGTGCATAGTTTGCAAATATCTTCTCTCACATATAAGTTGTTTGTTTACTGTGTTGATGGTTTCCCTTGCTGTGCAAAAGCTCTTTATTTAGGTCTTACTTGTTTATATTTGTTTTGTTGCTTTTGAGGTCTTAGCCAAAAATCATTTGCCAAAGTTAATGTTGAGAAGAGTATTTCCTAGGTTGTCTTCTAAGAATTTTTATAGTTTGAGGTCTTACATTTAAATCTTTGACCTATGTTGGGTTAATTTAAAGCTAAGGGTCCAGATTCAATCTTTTGTACATGGCTAGCCAGTAATCCCAGAACCATTTATTGAATAGAAAGTCCTTTGCCCATTGCTTTTATCAGCCTTGTTGAGGATCAGGTGGTTGAAGATGTGAGGCTTTATTTCTGAGTTTTCTATATTGTTCAGTTTGCCTATGTGTCTTTTTTTGTACCATTACCATACTGTTTGGTTTACTGCTGTTTTGTAGTATGATTTGAAGTCTGGTAGTGTGATGCCTCCAGCTTTGTTCTTTTTGCTTAGGATTGCTTTGGTGATTTGGGCTCTTTTGGATTCCATATGAATTTTAGAATAGTATTTTCCTATTTTGTGAAGAATGATGTTGGTATTTTAATGGGAATAGTGTTGAATCTGCAAATTGCTTTGGGAAGTATGGCTATTCCATTGATATTGATTCTTCCTATCCATGAATGTAGAATGTTTTTCCACTTATTAATGCCATCTCTGATTTACTTCAGCAGCGTTTTATAGTTCTTCCCGTAGATATACTTTACCTCCTTGGTTTGTTGTAGTCTTAGGTATTTTATTTTTTGAGGCTATTGTAAATAGAATTGTGTTGTTGATTTGACTTTCACAGCCTGGATATTATTGGTATATGGAAATGCTCCTGAGCTTTGTATTGATTTTGCATCAATGTATAAGCCTTACTAAAATTGTTTATCAGTTCTAAATAACCTTTTGGTGGAGTTGCTAGAGTTTTCTAAGTATAGAATTATATTATCAATGAAGAGAGATCGTTTGGCTTTTTTTATTTGGATGCCTCTTCTTTCTTTCTCTTGCCTGATTGTTCTGGCTAAAACTTCCAGTATTATGCTGAATAGGAGTAGTCAGAGTGGATATCTTTATCTTATTCCAGTTCTCAAGCAGAACTGTTCCAGCTTCTTCCTATTCAGTGGGATGTTGGGTGGGGGTTTGTCATAGATGGCTCTTATGATTTTGAGGTATAATCCTTTGATACCTAGTTTGTTGAGGGTTTGTATTATGAAGGAATATTGTGTTTTATCCAAAGCTTTTTCTCTATTGAGAATATCATGTAGTTTTTTATTTCAATTATGTTTACATGGTGAATCACATTTATTGTTTTGTGTATGTTGAACCAGACCTGTATCCCAGAAATAAAGCCTACTTTATTGTAATGTATTAACTTTTTGATGTACTGCTGGATTCAGTTTGCTAATATTTCGTTGATTTTTGCATCTATGTTTACCAGGGAGAGTAGCCTGATGTCTTCTTTTATTGTTGTGTCTCTGCAGATTTTGGTATCAGGCTGATGCTTGCTTCATAGAATGAGTTTGGGGGAGGTTCTCTTCACTGATTTTTTTTTTGGAATAATTTCAGTAGGACTGGTATCAATTCTTCTTTGTATGTCTGGTAAAATTCAGTGGTGAATCTATATGGTTCAGGGCTTATTTTGATTGGTTGGTTCTTTATTATTTATTCAATTTCAGAAATTTATATTGGTCTAGTCAGGGTTTCAGATCTCTTCCTGATTTAATCCTGGGAGATTGTATGCATCCAGGATTTATCCATTTCCTCTAGATTTTATAATTTATTTGCATAGAGTTGCTCCACACTAGTCTGAGAATCTTTTGTATTTTTGTGGGATCAGTGGTAATATTGCCTTTGTCATTTCTGATCGTGCTTATTTGGATCTTCTTTTCCTTTTTCTTTGTTAATCTTGCTACCAGTCTATCAGTCTTATTTGCTTTTTCACAAAACAAACTCTTGGTTTTATTGATCTTTTGTATGAATTTTTGCATCTCAATTTCATTACATTCTTCTCTAATTTCAGTTATTGTTTTTCCTTGATAGCTTTGGGATTTTTTTTTTTAGTTCCTTTAAGGTAAAAAATTAGATTGCTAATTTGAGATATTTCTAATTTCTTCATGAAGGTGTTTAGGGATATAAACTCTACTTTTAACACTGCTTTGGCTGCATCTGAGAGATTTTTGGTAAACTGTCTTCCTATTTTCACTGCTTTCAATTTTTTTTTTGGTTTCTGACTTAATTTCAATGTTCACCCAGAAGTTATTCAGGAGTAAATTGTTTAATTTCTATGTATTTGTATAGTTGAGATCTTCTTGATGACAATTTCTATTTTTATTGCACTGTGGTCTGAGTATGTGCTTGGTATAGCTGCACTTTTTAAAAAATTTCTTGAGATTTGCTTTATGACTAAGAATGTGGTCAATCTTATATTGTATGTGCAGATGAAAAGAACATATATTCTTTGCTTTTGGGGTTGAGCATTCTATAGCTGTTTATTAAGTCCAATTTGTTGAGTATCGAGTTTAAGTCCAGAGTTTCTTTGCTAGTTTTCCGCCTTGATGATTTAACACTATCAGTGGAGTGTTGAAGTCTCCCACCATTATTGTGTGGTTAAGTCTTTTCATAGGCTAAGAAAAACTTGTTTTATGAATCTGGGTGCTCCAACTTTGGGTGCACATATATTTAGAATAGTTAAGGCTTCTTGTTGGATTGTACCCTTTATTATTACCCTTCATTGTCCTTCTTAATTTTATTGATTTAAAGTATATTTTACGGCCTCTAGATCTGCACTGTTTAATTCAGTAGCCACTACCTTCATATGGCAGTTTAGCACTAGAAATGTAACTGATCCAGAATGTGGAATAGGGGGATCATGGCGGATGGGAGGCAGGACTAGATTGCAGCTCCAGACAGAGCAGCATGTGGACGTTTGCACTGTGAATTTTATCTCCAGATCAACTGCAAGAACAAACCAGCAATCCCGAGAAGGAAAGAAGGAAGCGGGCTGCTCCTACAGCACCCAGGAGATATCTCAAATACTGTGAATGCCCAAACTGGGGAATTGGGAAAGGGAGACCCTCCTCTCCCAAATATGCACCCCCACTGGACAAGACGAAGTCTGTGTGTGGGAGAAGTTTCCAACTTTACATGAGGCTGAGTCAAATTAGAGAGCCAAGTGAAATACAGGGGTGGAGAAGTAGCAAAAAGGCCCCAGGACCTCGCTGGGTCCCCAGCAGCCCATTCCTGCCTGGCACCACAGGGATCCATCGGGAGAGTGGCCAGAGGAGCAGCGGGTAAAACTCTACAGGAAGAAAGCATTCTCTAGCTGAACTTTGTAACAATTTGAATGGGGTGAGAAGTCTCCTAGACAGAACTCTGGAAAGTGTGTGAACTGGGCATGCAGAATTCACAGGCAGGGGAAGAACTAAAGCCCTTTTCTTTTGCAGCTGGGAGGCAGATAGCCTCAGGCAAATTTTCAAGCCCAGCTCACCCTCCACCTGGCAGGCTCGGGGCTGTTAGCGAGGCTGGGAGTGGGCATGGTGGGAGTGAGTCTGGCCCTTCAGTTTGCATGGGAGCTGGGTGAGGCCTGTGACTGCTGGCTTTCTGTCTTTCCTGACAACCTGCCATGACTCCACAGAGGCAGCCATAATACTCCTAGGTACCTAGGTCCTCAATTCCAGTGAACTGGGAGTCCCACCCCCACCCCCACAGCAGCCACAGCAAGACTTGCCCAAGGAGAGTCTGACCTCAGACATGCCTAACCCTGCCCCCACGTGATAGTCCTTCCCTATCCACCCTGGTAGCAGAAGACAAAGGGCATATAATCTTGGGAGTTCTATGGCCCCACCCACCACTGGTCCCTCCTCCACACTGATGCTTTCTGGAAAATGCCACCTCCTGGCAGGAGGCCAACTAGCACAACAATAGAGCATTAAACCACCAAAGCTAAAGACCCTCATGGAGTCCATTGCACTCTGCCACCTCCACTAGAACAGGTGCTGGTATCCACAGCTGAGAGACCCATAGACAGTTTACATCATAGGATTCTGTGGAGATAACACCAGTACCAGCCCAGAGCTGGGTAGACTTGTTGGGGGGCTAGACCCAGAAGAGAGACAACAATCATGGCAGTTCAGCTCACAGGAAGCCACATCCATAGGAAAAGGGGGTGTGTACTACATTAAGGAAATGCCTCATCAGACAAAAGAATCTGAACAACAGCCTTCAGCCCTAGACTTTCCCTCTGACAGAATCTACACAAATGAGAAGGAACCAGAAAACCAACCCTGGTAATATCACAAAACAAGTCTCTTTGACACCCCCAAATTCACCAGCAATGGATCAAAACCAAGAAGAAATCCCTGATTTACCTGAAAAAGAATTCAGAAGGTTAGTTATTAAGCTAATCAAAAAGGCACCAGAGAAAGGCAAAGCCGAATGCAAGGAAATCCAAAAAAATGATACAAGAAGTGAAGGGAGAAATATTCATGGAAATAGATAGCTTAAATAAAAAACAATAAAAATTTCAGGAAACTTTGGACACACTTTTAGAATTGCAAAATGCTCTGGAAAGTCTCAGCAATGGAATTAAGCAAGTAGAAGAAAGAAATTCAGAGCTCGAAGACAAGGTCTTTGAATTAACACAATCCAGCAAAGACAAATAAAACTAAGGTCACATCTCGAGGAACTAGAGAAACAAAAACAAACCATACCCATATCCAGCAGAATAAAGGAAATAACCAAGATCAGAGCAGAACTAAATGAAATTGAAACCAAAAAAATATAAACGATAAACAAAAAGCTGGTTCTTTGAAAAGAAAAATAATATACCATTAGCAAGACTGTACAAGAAAAGAAGAGAGAAAATCCAAATAACCTCAGTAAGAAATGAAACAGGAGACATTACAACTGACACCACTGAAATACAAAAAAATCATTCAAGGCTACTATGAACACCTTTATGCACATAAACTAGAAAACCTAAAAGAGATGGATAAATTCCTGGAAAAATACAACCCTCCTAGCTTAAATCAGGGAGAATTAGATACCCTGAACAGACCAATAACAAGCAATGAGATTGAAATGGTAATTAGAAAATTACCTACAAAAAAAGTCCAGGGCCACACGGATTCACAGCAGAATTCTACCAGACATTCAAAGAAGAATTGGTACCAATTCTTTTGACGCTATCCCACAAGATAGAGAAAGAAGAAACCCTCCCTAATTCATTCCATGAAACCAGCATCACCCTAATACCTAAACCAGGAAAGGACATAACCAAAAAAGAAAACTACAGACTGATATCCTTGATGAAGATTAACGCTAAATTCCTTAAAAAAATACTAGCTAACTGAGTCCAAAAACATATCAAAAAGATAATCCACCATGATCAAGGGTTTCATACCAGGGATGCAGGGATGGTTTAACATATGCAAGTCAATAAATGTGATACACCACATAAATAGAATTAAAAACAAAAATCACATGATCATCTCAATAGATGCAGACAAAGCACTTGACAAAATCCAGCATTCCTTTATGATTACAACTCTCAGCAAAATCGGCATACAAGTGACATACCGTAATGTAATAAAAGCCATCTATGGCAAACCCACAGCCAACATAATACTGAATGGGGAAAAGATAAAAGCATTCCCTCTGAGAACTGGAACAAGACAAGGATGCCCACTCTCACCACTCCTCTTCAACATAGTACTAGAAGTCCTAGCCAGAGAAATCAGACAAGAGGAAAAAAATAAAGGGCATCCAAATCAGTTAAGAGGAAGTTAAACTGTCACTGTTTGCTGATGATATGATTGTTTACCTTGAAAACCCTAAGGACTCCTCCAGAAAGCTCCTAGAACTGATAAAAGAATTCAGCAAAGTTTCCAGATACAACATTAACGTGCACAAATCAGTAGCTCTTCTATACACCAACAGTGACTAAGAAGAGAATGAAATCAAGAACTCAACCCCTTTTATCATACCTGCCAAAAAACAAACAAACAAACAAACAAAAACTTCGGAATATACCTAACAAAGGAGTCAAAAGATCTCTACAAGGAAAACTACAAAATACTGCTGAAAGAAATCAGAGATGAAACAAACAAATGGAAACACATCCCATGCTCATGGAATGGCAGAATCAATATTGTGAAAATGACTATACTGCCAAAAACTATCTACAAATTCAGCGCAATCCCTATCAGAATACCACCATCGTTCTTCACAGAATTAGAAAAAACAATTTTATAATTCATATGGAACTAAAAAAGAGCCCACATAGCCAAAGCAAGACTAAGCAAAAGGAACAAATCTAGAGGCATCACACTACCTGATTTCAAACTATACTATAAGGTCATAGTCACCAAAACAGCATGGTACTGGTATAAAAATAGGCACATCAACCAAAGGAAAAGAACAGAAAACCCAGAAATAAACCCAAATACTTATACCCAATAGATCTTCAACAAAGCAAACAAAAACATAAAGAACACACTTTTCAGCAAATGGTGCTGGGATAATTGGCTAACCACATGTAGGAGAATGAAATGATCCTCATCTCTCACCTTATACAAAAATCAACTCAAGATGGATTAAGAACTTAAACCTAAGTTCATTTTGGGTCTTTCTTAAAATGGTTATTTCATCTTTCAGCTCCTGAATCATTTTACTGGTCTCCGTGGCTTCCTTAGATTGAATTTCAACTTTCTTTTCAAACTCGATGAGCTTCCTTGCCATCAGGATTCTTGATTTCATATCTGTTATTTTGGACTGGTTAAGAACTATTGCTGATGAGCTGTTGGGCTCATTTGGAGGTAAAGGAGTCATCTTGCACTGATTCTTTCTTATCTGGGAGGGTTGGTGTAAATTGAATATATTCATTTAACTTCATTTCTGGAAGTTTTCAGAGGGCTAAGGCTCTGTACAGGTTTTGTTGTTGAATCCTTCCCTTGGTTTTACAGAGGGGAGAACAGCAAAGCATTTTTTGGTGTTGCAGTTTGGACTGCAATTCAATAGATGGCGCTTGAGAAAAATGGGCGGTAGATAGCTCTCAGCTGCGTGGCTGCTTTGCTTATCCTGGTGCTTGCAACTGTGTTCTGTAGGGCATCTAGTCAGGGATCTTCCAGATTATTAATATTGTCATCAAATGATGTTAAATGAGAAATACAATGAGTTGAATTCATTGGTTATCTTCCACTTAAAGTTTTATATTTGAGGACAATTCAGCCTATCAATCTGTCCTTTGTGAAAATGAAATTCACAATTTTCCCGTGGGTAGGAGTCTCAACAGTAAATTCTATCAGGGGTCCTCTTCTCTATTCTGCCATGAACTTGATTTAAAATAAACACCAAAGACTCCTTGAAAGACTTAGTAGTATGTAGCCCAAGAAGTATCTGCATAAGGAGTAGGAGCAGATCACACAACTGGCCTTTGAGAAGATGGATGGGACATTATCAATAGCAATAATAATATCTAGCAGTTATTAAATATTCCTATGTGAGGCTACCAGGTGCCTAATTCCAGGCAGCACCTTTTACATCACTTTAGTTGCCAATAAAGCTTTTCTGGATAATTCAGCAGGGGCACTGCTACTCTTTTCCAGGCAGTTTGTTCAACACTGCACATGCATTATTTCATGCATAGTATTGAAAGCAATACTGAGGTATGAATAACAAATGGTAAGCATTTATTGGATAATTATGTTCTGGAAATTGTGATGCAAATGTATTAATTAACAGTTCTATAAATGTTGGATGATTAATATTTCTTCTCTCATTTTACAAATGAGAAACTGGGTTTTAGAGTATCTAAATGACTTATTCAATAGCTATTGAGTGATGGGGCCAAGATACAGGGATACATATTGATTGCCCAAGATGGTAGCTACCCAACCTTGAGCCTGTTATCAAAATTCTTCCTTGCATCACTTACCTGTCAGACATGTCTTCAAGTTAGCATTCACTGTCTATGCTTGAGTTTCTGAAAGATGGCCTTCACACAGGCTGCTGAACACAGCCACATAGGTTGTCTACTGCATGGATTAGGCAGTGTATGTGTTCCAAAGCCATGCAGTTTGCTACTATGTGCACAATTCCCCTAAGCAGGCCCAGTCTTTTAGGAAGTATGGCTTCTGGAAGAGCATTCTCAGGAAGTATGTGGTTTCTAAGAGTCCAGGTCCTTTCTTCGTACATATCACAGACATATAGTTTACACATTCTTTAAACATCTCAGGCAGTTGGTAAAACAATATTGGTTGTCAGAACCACAGGACTGTAACCTGTGCATGCTGACAATGAACATACAACAACAACAAAAAAACAGAGGCCCTTTGTAAAAACTAAATGCAAGTGAATAACACATAGTTCCATTGACATTAAGTACATGACACTTCCTTTATCATGAGTATAGGCCTAAAGCCCATAAACAATAAATCCTGAATGTGTTCACGATAAGGTCCCTAGTGGGTCTTACTCCTACAGCCTTTCAGCATTCCTCCACTGATTCAAAACAAAAGACAATCAAGGGTGGGTCTTAGAATAATTATTTTATGTGCTGAGAGACACTTTTGGTTGACCACTCAACTGTTTCTGTTCTTCCTATTTCTATTGTGTTTGGGTGTTCTTTCACCATCTTCCATATGACTTGGAATTAAATTCTTATTAGTCTAAGTTAATCATAGTGTCCCATTTCCTTGCCAGCAACTGGTTAACAGGTGGGTATCTGGCCCAGTTCTAGACAGTAGAATATGAGAAGAGACCTGCTGGAGGCCTTCTGGGAGAGGGCTCCTTATCCCTAAAGAGAGATATAAGGGGAAGAAGAATCCCTTTTGTTCCTTCCACTAGTCTGGATTCCTGGAACTGTAGCATATCTTGCAAGCTAGAGAAACTTCGCTTTTCCTGTCTTGAGGCTTTTAGAAAACTTTGAATTTAGCTTTTATTTTTATCAAAATATATGTGCATACTTGAAAAGAATCAAGTGATCTACAAGACTTATTCTAATGATAAACAATTCTTTGACTCACCCATTCCCATTCAATTTATTCAGCAGAGGGAGCTGTTTTGAACTCTTAGTTTTCTTCGGTTTACCTCCATGTTTCTAAATATAACAACATTGCTACTTCTTAAATTTTAAGTTTTAGATACTTTTAAATTTTCTTTGATGAAAGATGATTTAACTCTTACAACTTCCACATAACTTCTACCAACAGCTCTATCCTCCTAATATATTCATTCATTAAATATTCAGTTTTTACAGCTGAGCCAAGTGGGGCAGATCACATTGTCTTCTTTTATCACTTTTGGTCTTCCTTAGAGTTAATAGTTGCCTCAATATTTTTCTTTGCATAGTTTTGTTTTTAAAATGTACGCCACCAATTTATTTCTAAGTTCTTTAACAACACTGGAAAACTGCTCTCAATATGGTCAAGCTCACCGTCTATCAGCTCCATTTTTTTCTACACAGTGTCTCAATGCTGGCAAAGGAAATGATAGCCTATATAATGAAATTCTGAGGAATGTTAATGTGTCTCCTCTTCCTCCTCTTTAAACATCTATGCCATTGTCTAAATTGATATTTTGTATTTTTCTTTCTTTACTTTTTTCTTTTAGAGACAGGGTCTCATTGTCACCCAAGCTGGAGTACAGTGGTGCAATCAAAGCTCACTGCAGCCTTGAATTCCTGGGCTCAAGGAGAGTTGAAATAGGCCAAGAAAGGCTTGATTTTGGCCCACTGAGTAAGATTTCATGCAGCGTCCTGTCTTTCTCCTTCTGCTATTTCCAGCCTTGAACTCCTGGGCTCCTCCTGCCTCAGCCTACCAAGTAGCTAGGACTACAGGCATGTACCACTATGTCTGCTAATTTTAATTCTGCTTTTTGTGGAGATGGGGTCTTGCTATGTTGCCCAGGCTGGTTTTGGATTTCTGGGCTCAAGAGATCCTCTCATCTTGACCTCCCAAAGTGCTAGGATTACAGGTGTGGGCCACTAATTGCCAGCCTTGGATTTTTACTTTTGACACGTCATTTCCTCATATTAGTCATGAGGTTCTCCTGATGACCGTCTTTGAAAATGTGTGCACATGTAACAGGAAGAACATGTTGAGTCATCTACCTGGTTGCGTGTGTGGGTCTCACATATCTCTTCTTCTGTGGCTACGGGAGGGAGTGGTGAAGAAAAGAGAATGGGCAGGCAGTAACAGTGATGAAGCCAGCTCTTGTTTTACAGATTCACTCTGCACAGCTCAACCAGAGTGTTCTCTATACACTTTTTGAAGCACCCAGCAAAGGAGAGAGCGTTAGTCAGATTTGAGACAGGTAACATTTATGGCCTTTCATCCCTTGGAATGCACAATAAATGGGTCTTGCCTTAAAGGCCACCACTATCAGTCTAGTTTGTGTTTCAAGACTTCCCCCCACCACAGGTGAATAGCAATGATCACACACACACACACACACACACACACACACACACACACTCTTCCATGAACATGCAAACATATCTCTGTACACAGAGATGCATCTAAAGGAGAGTTGAAATAGGCCAAGAGGGGCTTGATTTTTGCCTGCTGAGTAATGCAGCATCCTGTCTTTCTCCTTCTGCTATTTCCAGTAGTGAGTAGAATAAAAAAGCTGAGAGAAACTAATATTAAAACAATTGTGCTTTCCTGGCATTCAACTGTGCACCTCCAGACATACAAAACAAAGTCTGAATGGCAAGCGATCCATAGAATAGACAACCAGATTTCCCTTTGTCTCAGTTTTTGGTTAAATGTTTAACAAATTTGACAATGCAGTATCTCCATGGTCAATATTGACATGATCATTAGGCTAAGGTTTAACATCCCAAGGCTATTGTTTACAATGTTTCTCCTTGTTTGGCTTGGATCTTAACATATTATTTAGTGAATACACAGATAAATTAATCTCAGGGCTAGCTAGTTCCAGACTCACTTGCTCTCTTTTATTTGCTTTTCCTCGAATCCCTCTCCCCATCTGGTTATGCTTCCAACTGAGTATAGCTCAAAGATCTGCAAGAATGTGCATTTAAGAAAACAAACTTTTTTTTTAACTCCCACTACTAAGAATAACCACATTCCATAATTTGCCTGGGAGCAAGAAGCCAATGGGTAAGAATATAAAAGCTGACCACAACTGGGATTCAGAGAAGTACAGATATTTATGAGGAATTGAATAGACCCTGATAGAAACCAGATTGCAGGGGAGGAACGATATGGCTTTGATGAAAAACATCACCAGAAGGAAGGAAGGAGCTGGCTTAATAATAGTGGCTAAGTCAGAGGGAAGAGTATTTCTAAGTAAGCTGAGGCTGTGTTTAAATGCATCCCAACTTAGCTCCCTGAGAGTGACTCAGCTCCCTTGGGAGGAGAGGTGTATTAAACATTCAATAACTGTGTTTTTGGGGTGGTGGCAAATACCAGTGCTGGAAGATACCCTACTGTTATAACCAGCTCCCCATTCCCTCAGCTAAAAAATCATCATCCCAGAGAAGAGAGAGGCAGGAATTTCTCTGCAAGCCAGAGAGAGATGAACATCAGACATCTGGAAAGAAAAGCTGAGAATTCTAAACAGTAAAGAGGTGAGCACAGAAGTCTGTGACTTGTGTGTGTGTGCTTGGGGGTGGAGCGGAGGTGAGAGGGTTGGAAGTTTAAAAAAGGGTTGGCAGCACTCTTTTTGAGCAGATTTAAATTCCATCAAGTGAGGTAAGCATTAATACCTAGTGGGCTGGCAGGGAAGCACAGGGGTAGCCCAGAGCCCAAAGTAAATGTAAAACAAATTCCATCTCCTGTTTACAACTCTCTTGGGAGTACCTGGAGTAAGACAATAAGCTCCTGCTATTCAACAAGAGGAAGTTATTAATACCGCAAATATAGGGTCTGACCTATAGGCATTCAACTTAGTATCCATAAGTGGATAAGGTTAGGGAGCATTAAGGGGTTTTGTATATTTATATGTACATTTATATATACATGTGTTTATATATACACATATATACTGCATATATGTCACTTATAACTACATAAATTTATGTGAGCCTCATCGATAACAAAAGCTAACGTTTGCTCTGAAACTAAAATGCATAGAAATTTGAGAAATGGTAATTACTATATGCACGTAAATATCAAATATATTTTTTCTTTTACGAATGAATCATGTCCAAGAGGGAACTAAATGCATGTATTTCTTGAATGGTAAATGGTAGTAATACTTTTTCTCTGGAGGCTTTCATATCATATGGTTTTCATAGTTAATACTAAATAACAATGTTGAGATGAAGAATAGTGAGATGCCGCCCCTTCCTGCCCCAGGGGACATGGCTTTAGGCTTCTCTGTCAAATAGCTCTCACCATATGGTGTTAGCAAAATTGTGTTATTTCCATTTCAATGAAGAGGGCACAAAAACTGATACACATGCTAAAAGCCTAAATTGCTGTAGATTCATTAGCTTTAATCATATTTGGGCCACAAATATGAACTCCATGTTTCCCTTCCCAGCCATAGCCTTGGAGATCTGAGGGCTGCTAATCGCTCCCACTGGACGGCTTTCTGGCTACTCTGCCACCGAGCACCCTTCAGAGCCAGGAGTCCGTCGCCTGCCGCATCTGCCTGGTCTCCCTTTGTAATTGGGTGCATCTTGAGAAAAGCTGGGAAGCTTGGGCGACAGCTTCCCCCTTCCCTTTTGGTGAGATAACCAGCTCATTAAATCTAAACGTGAAGGGCATTTTATTATGAAGAGTCAGACCCAAAGATTTACTTGCCCATTTTTCACCTGCTTCCCCATCCTGCTTATTCCTTTGTATTCGCTAATGGTCTTTCTCTAAGTTATATAATCCTGTCACGAGTATAAAAATATCACTCCAAGGCTGCTCATTTGGCCTAAATCATTCAGCTGTTAGCAGTGGCAGGGCAGGTGTCTGAACCACACTGGAGGCAGGAGGACAGCTGTCCCACTCTCTATTTGTTGTCGCAGGGCTAAGAAATGCAGAGATTTTAATAAGATCATAAAGTAGAGTGACATGGACTGGTATGATAGGTGGTTTTCATTAGCATTCAGAATGCCTGGGATAATAAATTAGAGCAATTGAGCAGAAATGGGCAATTTGATTATTCAACATTTTTCAGTACCAGCCCAAGCAGCTGGACCCAGAGCTGTTCTGCTGACTTCTCCCCATGCAGTCGGGCTGGTGGGGCACAGGTGAATGCACAGCTATCATTTTCTCCTACCCAGACTCCAGAGTGAGAGCCTTGGACATTGTCTTACATGCTTGGTGAGTGTGAATTGATGATCAGGAAGAGGTCTTCATATATCTTTGTAGTGGAGTTGGCAGGATTTGACTGGCTGACTTTCTTTTATGGCAACAGGCCTATGCTTATTGAGAATCCTGGTGCAAAACAACATGAGGGGAGGCCCTACACACACAGCAATTTACATTCCTGGCAGAAGCGTGATTAGTCAACTTGCTTTTCCCGTGGAAACTCTAATATAGTGTGAGACTAGCCTTGAATTTATTCACTCTAGCTAAGGGGTTGGGGGCCAAATTTCTAAGCACTGTTATCAAACTATATATATATATATATATATATATATATATATATATATACATACACACACACACACGTATATATATGCATATATATGTACATATATGGTTTGTATATATGTGGTGTGTATATACACACACATACACATATAAATATGTATAATAAACCTTTTGTGTAAATTGATTAGATGAGGATGCATCATAAACAATCATAGAATTTTGTATATGACACAGGATCATTCGAACCACTGTAAAATCCTCACTGTTCTTTTGTGTTTCCTGTTTTTATTGATATTCCATTAAAATAACTTTAAACTTTTTGTTAATAAGAGGCTGAATGAAAAGTTCATCAGAACTGATAAATGTACAATGGCTTCCTTAGATATTTTCACAGGTACCTTTGAGGAAGTTTAAAGCATGTTCAGAGCTACATCATGGCTTTATGAGTGCCTGAGCCTCCAGGTTGTGTTTTGACAACCTGTTTTCTTCATATCATAGTATCTTACAAACACCATGTGGTTCTACTGCTTTTGAACAGAAAGCCTTTTGCTTTTCTTGACTTGTCTTCTCGTTAATGCTAGACACTTGGCCTCACTTCCTAGTGTCATGGTGGGGCCTTATACTTTTAATTTGAACAGTAGAGCAACTCCAAAGTGTTCAGTGCTAAAATGGATTATAATGCCACATGTTGAAAAATTTACCAATTGGGCCACAGCAACTCTACATATTGATGCATAATGGAGGACTATTAATCATCTTTCCATGCTTTTTGGGGTGTGGTATCCGTATATATATGTGTGTTTAACATGTACATACACATATATGCATATACATGCAAATAAATTTTGCTTTTGAAATAGCTTAATTTTAAAGTTTACCTACCCATCCAATAATTATGCCAATACATTTCAAACTACTTTTCACAGATGTTTATAATATTACCATTAAAACATTAGCATTATTAGTGTAAGATAGACAGAATCTGTCTTAGTCCATTTGTGTTGCTACAAAGGAATACTTGAAGCTGGTATTCCTTTATAAAGGAAAGAGGTTATTTGGCTTACAGTTCTGCAGGCTGTACAAGAAACATGGCCCATCCTCTGCTTCTGGTGAGGACCTCTGGCAGAAGGTGACGGAGAGCTGGCATGGGCAGACCACACAGCAAGAGAGAAATCAAGAGAGAGGGGGAACAGGCACTAGGCTCTTTTATGAACAACTACCTCTCACAAGAATTAATAGAGTAAGGGTCAGGCACCGTGGCTCATGCCTGTAATCTCAGCACTTTGGGAGGCCAAGGCAGGTGGACTGGTTTACCTCAGGAGTTCGAGACTAGCCTGGACAACATGGCAAAACCCTGTCTTTACCAAAAATGCAAAAATTTTTGCTTTTTTTTGCTTAAGCCCAGGAGATCAAGGTTGCAGTGATCTGAGATCATGCCACTGCACTCCAGCCTGGGTGACAAAGTAAGACCCTGCCTCAAAAAAAAAAAAAAAAAAAGAAAGAAACAAAGAACTAATAGAGTAAGAACTCACTCATTGCCTAGAGGAGGGCACCATGACATTCATGAGGCATCTGCCTCCATGACTCGAACGCCTCCTACTAGGCTCCATTCTAATATAGAGGTTCAAATTTTGACATGAGATCTGGCAAGATCAAATATACAAGCTTCAGCAGCATCCTATATTAAACAAATATTTGTATTATATTCCCCCTCCCTTGTTTCTTTTAGCAAATTCTACTTCCTTTTAGTTCTTCAGCCAATAGCTTAATAGTTTCTCAGAAAGTGTGGATGGGAGCAGAATGAAAGCCAAGTGACCCAGGAAGAACCTTGGGAATAGAGCTCTGCAGTGGCGGCTCTGAGAGTACTGCCCGAAGCTGCAACACAGGGGGAAGCTTATGGGGCAGTGGCATGGAGCCTTAATTTTGGAATATTAAAGAGATGTGCTCTGAAGTCCAGAGTTCGGTTCAAATCCTGATTTAAGTACTCACAGACGTGTGACGTTTGATGACGAAGTTGACTTCTGAGAATTGTTTGTCTCACGTACAAAGTAGGGATAATAATTTAGTCATGTCATGGGATTGCTGTGTGGCTTAATTACGTGTGAATGATTTAAGGTAGCTCAGGATGCAGAATTTAGTCCTCTCCTCTATTAATACACACTCCCTCGGTGGTCTCATGTGATCTCAGGACTTCAAATACCATCTGTATACTGTGACCCCCAATTTATACATCGAGCTAAATTTCTCCCCTGAACTCCAGACTTGTATATCAAACTGTGTACTAGAAATCTCCTCTGTGATGTCTAACATGCAATTAATAACATATCCCAAACTGAGTTATTTATCTCCACCCCCTCATCAACCTTCTCTTGTAGCTGTTCTCCTAGGCGAAACTACCTTCCTCATTCCTCAGGCCAGAATCTCTGGAGACATCCTTGACTCCTCTTTTTCTCTCAAGCTCCAAATCCAAGTCATTTGTAATACTTTGGGGTCTAACTTCAAAAGAATTCCAGAATCCTTTCACTTCTCACTATCTCCTCTGCTAAAAATCAGCTTGACATAGTTGACATTTATAGAATTCTTCATCAAACAACAGAAGAGACATATGCTTTTCAATTGCTCCTGGAACATTTACCAAGATAGGCCACAGACAGAGACATAAAACATATCCCAACCCCTGTTATCTCTTTTCTGGTGTGATAGATAGCTGCCATTTGCCCCTCCTTAGCCACTCACTGCCCACCATACATTTTATCTTGTGTCCTGGAGGCAAACTGGTGTGAGCTACCTCAGGGGTCAAAAAAAATTCTGTAGAGGGCTAGATAGTAAATATTTAAGGCTTTTCTGATCAAATGGTCTCTATTGTAGCAATTCAATTCCACAGTTATGGTGTAAAAGCAGCTGTAGATAAGAAAATTAAGAGCAAGAGTATATTCCAATAAAGCTCCCTCTACTGAATCAGGCAGTAGGTCACATACCTACAGTTAGATGACATCAAGGATTTCCCTTGCATTCTATTGGGATTCCACTGGTTTGGTCAATAGGGTATATTAGCAAGATATGAAAGGAGGAGAGAAGAGAATGTTGGTGTGTTTATTCCACAGGAACCTGCAGGGTTCCTGCAGCTGTTACTGAAACACCAGGGATTTGATGTAGGTCCTGCTGCTCTCTGCACAGAAATGCAATCACTGAGACAATGAGTATTGCCAGGAAAGAAGGCTTTAATCAGGTGCTGCACCTGAGGAAATGGGAGATCAGTCTAAATCCATCTCCCTGACTGACTACAATAAGGGGTTAATATAGCAGGGAATAAATGTAACTTGCAGGAAAACAGGAAGTAGGGAGGGGTAGTGAAGAGGAGTTGGTTAACAGGAAGCAGGTGGTTGGTTAGGCAGTCACAGTGGGTGAGGGGTCTGAGATCTCATTGTCCAGACACAAGAGATCTGATAAGTTTCAATTCCTTTCCTTAATACTATCTGGGAGGCTTGATGGTTGGTTTCCTGAGAAATGAACTCAAATAAGACAAGTGTAACTTCCTCAAGTTGCAAGATTGCGAGGGCTAATTTCTATCTTTATTTAAAAGAGACCATACACATCAGTTCTCTGGGACAATTGGGCAGGTGTCACAGCCTGGTTGTACCACACCTCAACCAAAGTTCTCAGTTCTCATCAGGGGGCCCTCTCCACCCAGCACTCTCTGTCACTGATTCCTTCTTGCTCATTCATTCAGGCCTAAAGGTGGTTATAGTACCTGCTCTGTTCCACTGGTTTCCTGACGTCCTGGCCACAGCTTTATAGTGTAATAGCCCCTTTACTAAACTGTTCTTTAGATTACCCAGTGCAGTGTACCAGTGCTGCTTCTGGGATGCTGACTAATATACGTACGATAGTCCTAAACCTACTCTCCCTCTCTCACCCAGTCTGTGTGTGTGTGTATTTATTGATATGTCATAGTTGTACAAATTTTGGAGGTAATGTGATATTTTAAAGTATACAGTGTATAATGATCAAATCCAGGTAACTGGGTTACCCATCTCTCAAACATTTATCTTTTTCTAATTTTTATTTTTCGAGACAGTCTCGCTTTATTGCCCTGGCTGGAGCGCAGTGATGCTATCTCAGCTCACTGCAACCTCCACCTTCTGGGTTCAAGCAATTCTCCTGCCTCAGCCTCCCGAGTAGCTGGGACTACAGGCACACACCACCACGTCCAGCTAATTTTTGCATATTTAGTAGCAACAGGGTTTCACTATATTGGGCAGGCTGGTCCTGAACTCCTGACCTCAAGTGATCTGCCCACCTCAGCCTCCCAAAATGCTGGGGTTATAGGTGTGAACCACCATGCCCAGCCTGTGTTGGCATGACTCTACCTTTAACAGAGAGAATGATCCTGCTAAAACCAGTAACTTCAGGTCATGTCCTTCATCTGCTCTATACTTCAGTGGCCCCTCAGTTTCCCTCAAAGCAAATGGCAAAGTTCTGACATGGCCTGGAAGTGAGGCAAGAGAATAGAGTCTAGAGGCAGAGAACTTAAGGACAATTCATATTGATTGCCTAAAGCTGAATCAAAGGAAAACACCAAGGTCTGTGGTTAGGGAATCTGAGGCCAGTTTGTGATAATTTCCTAAAGTTAAAAGGAAACCACCTGGGTCTCGGGGCAGGGACCTTAAAGCCAATTAACACAAACTTCCTAAAGCTAAACCAAAAGGAAAAACCCCATCTCCCCACACCGAGAAACAAAGGATCCAAGGCTACTCTCCCTACCACCCTCCTGCTTCCACCACGTCTCAAATGGAAGGAAGAGTGCCTTGGATTGGCCTCGGGCCAAGCACGGGCCATCCCTTTATCTGCAGATGGCACCAATTCGCCTCAGCCTTTAATTAGCCACAGAGCAAATCCTTCATCCCTGGTAAGGGGGTAGCCTATAGGGACCTCAAAAGGAGTACTTAAAAGCCAGAAAACATTGTAACCGGGCCTTTGAGCCACTTGCTGGGGCCCTCTGCCGCCCTGCGGAGTGCTTTCGTGCTTTAATAAATCCCTGCTTTCTCTGCTTCCTTCCTGTGTTTCATTCCTGTGTTGTTTGTGCATTTTTAATTCTTCGTTCAAAATGCCAAGGACCTGGACAGCTCACGCTCAGAGCCTTCCTTCCGGTAGCAGGAGGGCTCTGCACTTTCTGCCCCCCACAGCCCAGTGTATCTGCATTTCTTTTCTTGATTCTCGATTCTCCCCTCATGCCATCCCTGAGTCATGGGAGTGCCTCGGGCTTGTTCCTGCCTCGGGGGCCTGGCACTGGCTGTTCTTCCTGCTGGACAGGGTCTTTCAATAATCATAGGGCTTCCTCACACCACTTTGCTTCTTCTCTCAACTTGGCCCAAAACTCAATGAGTCCTCCTCTGGCTGCCCCATTTAACATTTTTTATTTTTTAATTTTTTTTATTTCCATAGGATTTTGGGGAGCAGGTAGTATTTGGTTACATAGGTTCTTTAGCGGTGATTTGCGAGATTTTGGTGTACCCATTACCCCAGCAGTATACGCTGCACTCAATTTGTAGTCTTTTATCCCTCACCCCCTTCCCAACCTTCCCCCGACCCCCGAGTCCCCAAAGTCCATTGTATCATCCTTATGCTTTTGCAACCTCATAGTTTAGCTCCCACTTATGAGTGAGAACATACAATGTTTGGTTTTCCATTCCTGAGTTACTTCACTTAGAACAATCTCCAATCCCATGTACCCTGAGGAAAAGAAGTAATTATAGGAAAAAGATACTTGCACACTCATGTTTACAGCAGCACAATTCACAATCACAAAAATGTGGACCCAGCCCAAATGCCCATCAATCAATGAGTGGATAAAGAGACTATGGTATATATGTATGTGATGGAATACTACTTGGCCATAAAAATGAATGGATTAATGGCATTTGCAGCAACCCATTTAACATTTTATGTCCTCACTCCTCTTTCATTTCTAAGCCGACTTTCCTAGCTTAGTTTGTTTGATATAATGCTTACCATATTCTAACAGGCTATATAATTTACTTCCTGCTTTTTGTCTCTTTCCCTACTACACGTTACACTTCACTAGGGCAGGGATTTTCGTCTCATTTGTACATTGATGAACTTTCAGTATCCTATCCCTATGACAGCATAGGCACCCAGTACATGCTTACTGAATGAATACTGGTTATTTATGAAAAGTGCTAGACTTCGAATTGGGAAACCTGGTCTGAAATTAAGGTTCTGCTTCATGTTTTCCATCATTCCTTTCTTCCCTCCTATGTGGTTCCCTTTCTTCCTCCAATACCCCTTGAAATTAGTGATTTTATAATTGCACAGGGAAATTAATAGAAATCTACATTTTTTAAAAAAGTTATTTTCACCTTTTCAGACTCTCAAACTGATGTCAATATTCAGTATTCCTTTCCAACGATTGTTCGTATGCAAATACAATCTTATAAACATAACAAGGGTACTGTTTGTATTTTACTTGTGGCTTATTTTTTCCACAATGAAAATGGCTTTTCTCCCTGATTACACATACATGTTTATTGTAAAACAACTGAATGGTGAATAACATAAGAAAAAGAAAATAAGCAATATTAAAATCTTACCACCTGAAATACCACCATTAGCATTTTGATTATCATCTGTATTTGCTTCCCATTAGGCATCTGTATTTGTATATATGTCTATTTTTTTAAAAAACAGAAAAAGGACTGTAAAATAAATTCTATTTATGATAGGTCATTGGATCTATTTAAAAAATACGTATGAATACAGCTTTTCTAAACAAGATACTAACCTGGTATATGACATTTTATTGATAATTTTCTCTAGTTTGCTTTATTTTTAGGTTGAGATTCCAATATTTGTATTTACCTAAAGGAAGCAGTTTGTGTAATCGCTTTCAAACTTGAATATCATCTATGGACCATTTTACAGTAAAAATAAAATTATTCTAAATCCTGAGCACTGATTGTAGTTATTTTGTTGGAATATTAATGTATATTAACAAGTAACTCAACATATTTTTTGTTTATAGCTCTTATGTAAACTCAAAGTTTGTAAATTAAATATAAAAGCAACACTGCAAAAATCAATAAGATTCAAATTAATATTATTAACATAATATAATGCATGATACTATTTTGATAAAACTAAATTTATAATGTTTAGTTTAATGATTAAATGAAATAGTCTCAACTTTGGTCCTATATTTAATCTCTCTCAGTATTTTTGCTTAATAATACAGAAAATGTGAATTTGTAATTGTGTTTTACCAATTAAAATTAGTACCTTTAAGGCATTGTCGGCTAGTTCAAGTCAGTCAAACCACATGCTTAATCAAAACTTACACCAATCAATTCATGTTTACAAATTTTAACGAAGTTTCATTCTATAAAATTGTCTCATTCAATTAAAGATACTAGTAATCTTAGCATTGTGGCATTATTAAGGTCTACTTTCAAATGGTCAGTTTTTACCAGGATTATGAATAGAAATAATTGGCATTTCATTTTTACCACTACCTTACTGCCACTTCACCAGCATGCACAGAGATGGGCATCTTTGCAGGATATCGCCTGGCAATCTGCCAAAGGCCCTGGCAACTCTGGTGCAGCTTTAGTTGTATGATATTGCAGGACATGGGATGGCTCCACTTCTTTCCCCTATTTAAAGCAAAGTAAAACACGGGTTTGTCAGGTGTCCTATGACATTATTTGGTTATGACTCAGAAGGAATCTGCTCATAAACATAAACTTGGACTTTCAAGATACATAGTTATGACATGGTTACATTTCATTATAAGTTGGCCACAGTGCTGATGAAGGTGCTTATCTTTTACAAGTAGATTACTGCTGTAACTAAGCACATTATCTAACTTTGCTGGAGACCTCACTGGGTTGAGGGAATGGGAGTTCTGTGTCCCAGATGGGAAAACACAGACATGATGGGTTTTAGAATCTAGATAGTCTTGAGCTTAAATGGTAGTTTTGCAACTTGATAAGCTATGCAAACTTGTGCAGTTTACTTAACCTTTCTGAACCTCATTTTTCTTATTTGTAAAATGATTATTATCCTCATGGCTCTCATGCGAAGATCAACATTGCAGAGTTGTGGGGAGGACTTAAGGAGTTAATCCATGCCAAGTGTCTGCACAGTTCCAAGTGTTACCTTTCAGTTCCAATATAAATAGTACAGCTAGTGGAGCCTCTAGCCCCAGGGAAAAAGCCTCAATAGATCAACAGTTCTTTTACTGAGTTCCTAAATCACTCCACAGAGTGGGTGATTATAGACTTAATCACCAGCTAGATATTAAGACCTAATTTTACAACCACAACATTGCATAACTTTTCAGCAAGCAAGGGGATAATCTTTTTGCATATGAACAGTCTCTGATCTAAGAGAAGCATTTTTCTAAGGTTAAGACCCAAACTCAGTCCAGAGACAGCAGGCCAGTTTAATATGCATTCAAATTACGTGCAACACTCTTAAGGAGCAGTGTTCAAGGCAGAGGAGGATATGAGGTAATTAAGAAACTTTTGTGGATGATTAAATGTTCAAACATGCTATGGACAGCTTTCCATATCTGATGACAGTAAAAAAAGAACTATGGCTGATTGTCATGGCTTCTATTTAAAGAGCAGCTTTTATTTCATTCATAGATATTTATCCAGACCTATTTTTTTCTTCTAAGCACTTTTCTTGAAGAGTAGACGGTAACATACTAGAGAAAATCATGCATAGATACATGGACACAAGGCAATATGAGACATACTGTATTCCTGACATCTGCTAAATGCTGCGGAGGGGTTGAGAGTTCTATCGATGGATTTAAAATAAGCCTTTGCAGATCAAGCAGGCTTTTTTTTTGCTTTTTTAATTTTTTCACCTGTACACTTTTGGAAGCATCGTGGACTTAGTACTTTCTCAGTTCACTTGCATTTTCTGTAGAGTCAAAAGTTAGATAATTACCTCAAGGTGGAGTCCAGGCTGATTCCCAGGATGGTTTATATTTGAAGGAGGAGTGATAAGTTCAAGAGTGCATAGTACCCTGGACCTAACGCCAAGCCAGGAAAGGACCCACTCTCTTTTCAGCGTGACAATGGAAAGTTGCTTTTGTCTTCGAATGCACGCTTCCTGAGTCAGTGCAGGAGATGAACTGGTTAAAAAAAAATGTCTACTTGGTGGTTTAAAAAAAAAAGTAGAGGAAGAATGAGGAGCTGAATATAAATTGCCAGGGGAGGCTGGAAAGAAAGAACTGACGCTAACTGTGTTATCCATGTAGTAGCGGAGGCCTCTAAGCTTGGCACCAGCTGACAGCAGCGTGCTGTAAGTAGGGATTAGATCCAGTGCCGGAGCAAAGAAATATTCCTTTCTCTCCCCACTGGCGCCCCGGACACCTACCGTCATTACTTCCATTATCTCTTCGTCCATGAGGCCACCTGGCCACCGCCAAGCTTTTCTCAGCTGACACTGTTGATTGTGTTTATTCAAAGTCCTCCGCGTGTATCGCTCTGCATCCGCGTTCCCCCACTGGGCTGTGTAGGTCTGTGGAGCTTTATAAGTTTCCTTTCAACAGCTGGCAGCTACAAATTAACTTTTTGACTTCATTTGACTAATAGGCTGAATTATCCCTAATTTGGAGCACCTGAAGCGCTCCCCGCCACCTCCCTCTCCCGTCTAACCACCTTTTCTTATCCATCAGGAGCTGAGTGGCAGGGAAGCAGCATATGGAGAGTCAGGCAGTCTTGGTCAGAGCCCTGAAGTTTGTTTTTCCATCCCTGCCGAATCACTGAACGGCTCAGACTGTTCCAATCAACACATCCTATCTCTGTGGTCAAGGCTGGTGTGAATGCAAGATGCCACTGCAGTTGCAAGGGCGAAAATGACCAGGGAAACCAATCATTCCTCTGCCTTTGGGGCATGTACCTTCCCTCAATAGGCAATTTCTTTTCTTTCCTTATTTTTTTTAAAATCGTTTTTATGTATTTCAATTTTTTTTAAAATTTCAGCAGCTTTAGGGGTGCAAGTGGTTACATGGATGAATTGTACAGTGGTGAAGTCTAGGATTTTAGTGTACCCATCACCCAAGTAGCGTACATTGTGCCCAATAGGTAAATTTTCATCCCTCATCTCCCTTCCATCCTCCCCCTTCTGAGTCTCCAATGTCTATTATACCACTTCATATGCCTTTGTGTGCGCATAGCTTAGCTCCCACTTGTAAGTGTGAACTAAGTATCTGGTTTTTTATTTTCCTGAGTTACTTCATTTAGAATAATGGCCTCCAGGTCCATCCAAGTTGCCGCAAAAGACATTATCTCATTCTTTTATATGGCTGAGTAGTACCCCATGATATATATACCACATTTTCCTTATCCACTCATCAGTTGATGGGCAATTAGGTTGACTCCATATCTTTCTTTGCAATTGTGAATTGTGCTGCGATAAACACATGTGTGCTGGTGTCTTTTTGATAGAGTAACTTATTTTTCTTTGGGAAGAGGCCCGGTACTGGGATTGCTGGATCAAATGGTTGATTTAGTTCTTTGAGAAATCTCCATCCTGTTTTCTATAGAGGTTGTACTCATCTACATTCCCACCAGTAGTGTCTATGCATCCCCTTTGCACCACATCCATGCCAACATCTATTGTTTTTTGACTTTTTAGTAATGGCCATTCCGGCTGGGGCAAGGTGGTATCATTTTGTGGTTTTAATTTGCCTTTCCCTGATGATTAGAGATGTGGAGCATTTTTTCATATGTTTGTTGGCCATTTATATGTTTTCTTTTGAGAAATATCTATGCATATCCTTTGCCCACTTTTTAATGGGCTTGTTTTTTTTCTTGCTAATTTGCTTGAGTTCCTTGTAGATTCTGGATATCAGTACTTCGTCAGATGCATAATTTGCAAATATTTTCTCCCATTCTGTGGGTTGTCTCAATAGGCAATTTCCAGCCTAGAAAGTCTAATTCAGGGTTGCCTGTGGCACCGCAAGCTTTGATTTCCTCCAGTATTCCCAGGAGGTTAGACTAAGTGGGACAGCGTTCTCTTTCACCCCTCCTCATTTTCCCAGGAACCAGATGGTTGAAAACTCACTTCGCTCACACAATCAGTAAGAAATGAAAAAAAAAAGTTTTATTTTCTGCCTCAGAATCCCACCTGCATCTACTGATAGGGGCTTCTGGCCCACTCTCTTCCAGCTGGATTTCCTTACAGCCCCCAAAATAGTTCAACAGAGTCTGTAAAGTTGAATAAAGATCTTCCTACTATCCTGTCAGGCTCAAGTACCAATTTTCTTCCCAGAGAGTTTTCCCTAGAGGGCACTGAAGGAAAACCAGCACAAACACAACTCTTAAAATCTCTTGCAGATCCATGGTGCTCTGCTCCCTGCAGTTTTAGCTGCTAAAGCTCTTTTCATCATACGGCTCTCCTGGAACCTCCCCTCCGTAAAAGCCTGGCCTGGAGAATGAGGCTGGGGAGACGAGAAAGGCAGATAAACAAGATTTGCTGTAACAAAAAAAGCCAAAACATCCACGACTTAAATCTTATAAGGGGAGTTACACTTTATAAAAGCAATTCAGATGCACTTTGCACATGGAACAGAGTGGAAATAGTTTCCTAGAGATAAAATTGGAGCACAGGAAGTGAACATCCATGCCAGAACCTTAAATTGGATGTTGCTTGATTTTATTCCCCCTAGGTTTTATTTCCTATAAGCTCTTATTTTACGGTTTATAGTTTAGTCAACCATATGCCCTAATTTTTCTAGAACAACCCTTGTTTATACCTGTTGTCATGACATAATTTTAAATAGAGTCTTCTTCCACTTGCAGAAATACTCCAATTAGGATAACACATTTTATAAGGTCAGCCTGTTTGCTATTAACTCTCAAATCATCATTTGTCCCATCTCCCAACCTAAAGATGATAGGCAGATTGGATCAGTTGCTTTTTGAGAATTTACATTAATATTATAAGAGGAAAATATCATTTGAAGTCTCATTTCCTCTCTATAACCTTTTTCCCTTCACTTGGGGCAAATAGTGATTGAGAGGCAGTGTGTTGGAAAGAGTGTGAAATTTGAAGTGCTACAGGCTTGGGTTTTAATCCATCGTGATGACATTGACTCTAACTTTGGTCGATTAAGCTCTTCCTTTTCCTCATTGCCTTCATTTGAAAAATGAAGCTAATTATAATTATCCTAAAAGGCAGTTGAAAGAGTTATATAAAGATAATGTAGGTATGGAACCTACCACAGTGGCTAGAAGTGGCAGCTAGAACAGTCAGCAAGAGCTCTAGCAGTAGATACAGCCACCATAGTGGTAATAATCACAGGCAGGTCAACCTCTGTAGTAGCAGAGGAAAAAGGCATGAAATTTGGGTCAGAGATCTCTGGTTAAGCTATTGTTCTGCAGCAAAATACACAGGACAAGCAAGCTAATTCCCTCCCCTGAGTTTCATTTAGGCTGTGCCAAAATTGCAATTACAATTGGCCCTTGAACAACATGGGTTTGAACTGAATGAGTCCACTGATTCAGATTGTTTTCAACTGAATGTTGATCAAAAATACAATATTCACCGGATGGGAAACCCGAGTATGTGGAGGGCTGGGCAGGGCCAAGCAGGGCTGAGCAGGGCCAACTTTAGGACTTGAGTGTGCGTGGATTTTGGCATACCCATGGAGTCCTGGAACCAATCTTCCAGGTATACTAAGAGATGACTGTAATGTCTTTTAATGGCAAAATAAAATAATACTTATGAAGAACTCAGTAAAGTTTATATGGCCTTAAAGTATCATTTTCTGGATGTTCTATCAATGCTCTTTTGGAGTATTCCTGCACACTGTGAGATCATGTTTGATACTGCAGTCTAAGAGCTGGGAGATACACTCAACTCAGAAATGATGGCCCTGGTCTTGAAAACCCAAGGTCTGCAAGCAGTGAACTGGGAACTGAAGTTAATGAGTGGAGACTTATAGAAGCAAACTGGTTGTCAATGGAAGAAAGAACTCTAACAATCCAAGGTGTTGAAGGTACACTGTCCACTCTGTGTGGCTGACATGATTAATTGCTTACCCAGGAGCCACCTTCTCTCATTTTCTGGTAACAGACCCCTGATTTTTAGGTAGAAAGAGATCCTCCATATCAGTGGAAGCTGGCCCTGCATCGAGGCCCAAGCAATGATTCAATACTTGGTTCAAGCCAAACATGGTGATCCCATTTTTCTGTGCCAGTGATAATCCTAGCAGTGGGGTCCTGCTCCCATTCTGGCCATAAGACATAAATCCTGGTGTGGGAGATGGATCGGGGGGTGAGGGACATGACTTGGAGATTTAAAAGATGCACTCTGTCTTTCCTTTCATTCCTACTTGCTCCCATTCCTACCTCCTTGATTTCTTTGTGGAAGGAGTTTGGCAGCCATATTATAATCACGAGACCAACAAGCATGAGGATGAGCAGCCAAAATGGTGAAAACAGACCCAGTGACGTTTCTGCACAACTGATCAGCCCAGGAGCATCTGCCACTGGTCCACTTAAGGGAGATAATACATGTACATGTGTCATTTGTTCCACTCTTAGACATACAGTCTATGACTTATGGCAAGAAGCATTCCTAACTGACATATCCTCATAAGCTAGAATTAGATCAATAAATTTCAAAGAGTGCTTAATAGTCTCTTTTTTCTTCTGCATTCCCTTTCAATTGTCTTTGACAATGAGCACTTTGATGGAATATCATGCTTGGGTCATGCAAAGAAGAAAATTCATCAGCTGCGGAGAGAACTCTCTCATATTAACAAAAACATATCCCCACTTATTTGTGAAGATAAGTGTAGAAATTAGGTGTAGCAAAAGATGTTGTTCTCTAAAAAGAATGGGATTTTTAGATTCTCAATCAGTGGCTGCATAAAATCCTGCTGTGATGAAACCATGAAATGCAACTCAGTCAATTGGTCTGAACATTTTGAATTTGTAATTTTGGAGTCAGCTGGCATCCTTTATGTCTCCAGTCCACATAATATGCACATAAAACCAAGAGTTAAAAATAATAAAAATAAGATCTGAAAATCCACACTGGGCTTTCCTGTCGGTTGTGGTTCCATTTTTATGGCAGGATTAATATTTGACACATACCAGCTCATTAAAAAAAAGTAACCTTGGGACACAGTGTCAGGTGGAGATATTTTGTTAATATGTGCTTGAAATTATGCAGCCATAAAGAGCATTCCCACTAATTATCTTGGCATTCATGTTAGGCTGACCGGTTTGTCACCAAGTTAGGGGTGGCAGAATAGATAGCTTCCTTCATGCTGTCTCATGCATTGCTTTACTCCATTTTTCTCTCAAACTCATTACTTCATGCTCAAATTTATGCAAAAGAGGGTAATGAGGTAGCCAAAGGTTATGGGGGGAGGGGCAAAGGGCTTTCGGATGATGAAAACATTGGTAACTAGGGAGGCCAGCCTCAGGCTGTCTGAAATTGAAATTTGGGGCTAAATTAATAACTCAACCTGAGCATAAGCAATTTCACAGTAAGACTCCTCAAAGGTTGAAACTATGTAGTTTTACATAAAAGAATCTCTAGATATGACAGGAAAAACAAAGTTCAAGACTGTTCCATTGCAAAGTATCACCTTTTGGGCAAGGCAAATAGAAAGAGGTGTGGTGCACCCATTATTCAAACTTTCCATAGAATATGCTTTCAGATTTTGATCTATAGAATGTGTGTTTCTGTATATAGTCTTAGGGATCAATAGTGATCTTGCACATAATTATATGTGCAAACAAACAGACACCTATTCTACAGTTATCCCCCTCATGACCTGTCCAGAGTCAGTGTCAGCTAGTGTCTTGGAAAAGCTCAGGAGCAGAGCAAGATGCTGACTGGGACCATGACTGTGATTTTCCTTTATTTCTTTGCATTTCAGGGCCAGGAACATTGAGATAATTTCCCAAAGTCTACTTAAAAACACAGTGGACTATTTATTTGTATTTTCAGGGTGGGCATATTTAAGGGAACACTCCCAGAGGGGAAAAAATGTCAAAGAACAACAGCAAACAAGTAAAAACAGATACCTGGGAGAGAGTATAGATTGGTCTCTGAAGACACTAGCCTACAGCTATTCTGTAGACTGAAAGGTTATCACAATCCTTGGCATTAGAGATAGATGAGAATGAAAATAGAAAATACAATCCTCTCTTTCTCCTAAACCATGTTTGCCCTTCCAGTATGCTGTATTTGATTATGTTTCAAATTAGTTATAACCTCTTGATAAGATCAACAGAAGGACACAAAATTGATTAGAAGGATTATAAGGTTGGCATAAGATGGCCAGCTAAAATTCTTTGACCTATATAGTATGGAAAGCCATGGTTAAAACACAATTGATCAGAGGCTACACTGGGGATAGAAGTAATGATCTAGAAATATTTGCAATTTAAAATACTCAAACGTTGGACAAATCGAAGGATTTCTTTGTACAAATGGAAGAAGACAGGATTTAAGTGATCTTTTGAATGTCAGACAGAAGCTGAACTAGAGCTCTGGTCTTGTGATGCACACTGCAGGGGTTTTTCACTACCCAGCATGCTCTCATGAACTGTGAGATGAGACAGATGAAAGAAATGATCTCGAAGCTCTGGTCCAGCTATCTGTTGTCGACTGTGCCATCTCATTATCTGTGAGAGGACATTAATAAGAGCCAACTTTGTCTACCGATAATGCAGAGGTTGTCAGGTGGTCTATGTTCCTTTTAAGCAACAGTTGTTCCATGACTTCCTTTCTTCCAAGAATTTATTCACATCAGTCCAGAAGCAGCCACAAAAAGTGGAAGACCTCTTCCTCTCCCCTAGCACAACCAGGAAGAATAAAGATGTTTTATAAAAAAAGAGTCTCTTCTGTTTAAGTTGAAAAATAAAGTAGCTTTTAGTTACAGGTTCCTTTTTTCCCACTTCTCCAGTAAGTCAGCCAGAAGTGTAAGGGCAGGCATGCTGAGCTTTATTAGCCAAAACTGTCTACAATTTGCCCCCAGTTTTCACTCCCAACCTCATTTCTGAAAATTTCCACCACTCAAACCCTAAGTCAAACTGAACTGGATTTTTCTTTTACAAATGCCCATTTTCATTTGCTTCAACCTCTAACAGCATTTCCTTTCTCTACATTTTTTAAACCATAAGGAAATTATCTGGCCTCCAGTTTCTCAGAGAAAGAGAACCACAGGTGCAACCTCAACTTACCACTTCTAAATCACCAAACCCTATACATAGACCCATTTTCTCTTGCTTCTGATTTTTAAAATCTAAGGTCATGTTGTCCGGAGACTATCCTTTTTGCATTTCATGAAATATCATTCCTTGGTTATTTGCTCTTTCAATTGTATCTTAACCTTATCTTCCATATTACTGCTATCAGGATTATAACATGTTCAAATTTCACTCATTATAAAAGCCCATTAGTAGTAGACTGGATAAAGAAAATGTGGTACATATACACCATGGAACACTAAACAGCCATAAAAAAGAATGAGATTATTCCTTTGCAGCAACATGGATAGAGCTGGAGGCCAATTTCCTTAGCATACTAACTCAGGAATAGAAAACCAAATACTAATGAATACTAGGCTTAGTACCTGAGTGACAAAATAATTTGTACACCAAACCCCCATGACACACAGTTTACCTGTAAAACAAACCTTCCCATCTACCCCGGAACCTAGAATAAAAGTTATGATAAAAATACACTTCCTCAATCTCATTCTCCTGATAAGTATGACCTTCTTCTTAAATATAGTTAATATAGTACTTTTACAATAAGTAGATAATTATGAACTAGTTATTTAATGTTTTTCTTTCCTCTTAATAAAAGTGTTATGGAGTAGGTACTGAGGTTGTTTAACTCGCTACTGAATATCTAGTGCCTACCACAGTTTCTGACACATAGTAGGAGGTGGTCAATAAATTTTTGATCACTGATTAATATGTAAATGAATGAATGCATAAATAAATATATGAATAACGTTCTTTCTTTGGATCTTTGCTCATATTGTTCCTTCCCTGTAATCAGAATCCTCTTTCCTGCCTTATCTTTTTTTAATACAAATCTTACATATTAACTGTTGATATTAAAATAAAATGTACTATGTTGTCCACCTTCTCCCACACCAGAAGAATTCCCTGATGTCTTCAAGGAAAAATAGTTACTCCTTCCTCAGAACCCTTGTTATTAGAATCTTTTGGTAACTTACACTCTAGTAATTTGTGTGCATGACTTTTCTGCAGTGAAATACTGAGTGCTCACTCCAGTATAGGGACGTCATTGTGTCCTCCACAAGAACATGGCATTGCACAGAAAAAAATGCTTAATAAGTTTTGAGCTAATTGATTCATTCATTTGTTCATTCACTCAAGAATACCCACCAAGTACCTACCAAGGCCAGGGCTAGAAATAAAACGGTATATAAGGCATAGTCTCTGTCTTCACAGGGCTTTTCATAGGTGATACAGAAAAAGTAACAGGCAATTATGTTAGTGTGGTAAATATTATGGTAAATATAACTGCAGAACAAGGAGCACCTAAGATAGTCTTGTGTCTATAGGAGGCTTCTCAGAAGAAGGGATACTTGAGTTGAGTTCTAAAAGGTGGGTAGAAATCAGCCTAGGCTAAAGAAGAAGAAATAAAGCATATAAAAAGCTCCAAAGGTGTGTCAGAGTGAAGCCATTCCAGAAAGTTAACAACAATTCTAGCCAGAAATCATTATAACTAAGCACGAATTAGGCTGCACTTTGACCCACTTCCTTGTAACTGGAAGTCATATAACACTAGTTACAGAGCACATGCATCTTTATGGTTTCTATAGATAGGATCTCTGACATTAGAATCATAAGGTTTTTGTTTAATAAATGCTTAAGCAGATCCTGGATCCTGAATTCCAGTGAAGTAGGTGACACCAACCAGTTTGACCCTCCCCACCCCCAAAGGAACCAAATCAGCCTGAGAATGCAGGTTCTTCATCTCCCTGTCCCATGACTTTGCCCTGAACTCTTTGACCAATCAACATCTCCACACTTCAGCCCACTCCAAAATCCTTAAAAACCCTAGGCCCAAATGCCTTGGGGACACGGATTTGATATTTCCTCTCATGTCCTCATTTGGCAGACCTCCAATTAAATCTCTTTCTCTGATGCAACCTGGTGTCTTAGCATGTTGACTTGCCACATGCATCAGGAACAAACCTATTATGGTTAAAAGAACATGGCAAACTCAGGGAACAGAAAGGGTCAAGTATGGTGGGGACTAAATGGACACGTGGAGGAGGAGCCAGAGCTAAATCCTCAAAAGCATTCTAGCTTTATTGAAAAGGAAAGAGGAATCACTAAAGCAGAGAATTATATGACAGTGGGTTGGTGGCATAGAAAGTTCTTCACTGGAAAAATGACAACACAAAAAATGGTCAAAACCAAAAAAAAAGACAGGAACTTCCATGGGAGAATATGACAGTTAAACCCTCTCATCTTGGATTTCTCACTCTAGGTATATATTTTCTAGGATTTTACATTCACCCTGATAGTAATGTGTATTGTGTATTATGTCCTTTGGTCATTTTTTTTCTGTAAGACTTTAATAGTCTTCTCAGGTTGTTTAAAATTAATGAGGCAAATGTCCTCAATCAAGAAGCAATTTAAGAACATGCTGCTAATTTCAATGAGTTCTGTAAATGAACTAATTTAATACCAGTTGACCCTTTTATTTGGGGAGAATGATTTGTAGCTATATTTTCTTGATTTGTGCCTATAAGCCTTGGCAGTTTGAATGGGCATTTTGAGCCCAGGGGTAAACATTAATTATGGTACAAGGATGGTGTTCTTGTAAGGGGGGCATAGAACATTCCCCTCAGTAAATAAGTGGACAGTATTTTTTTAACAGGAATGTCTTGACCATGTTTATTAAAACTGAAAGCCATAGAATAAACAACACTGATATAGTTTGGATGTTTGTCCCCTCCAAATTTCATATTGAAATGTGATCCCCAGAGTTGGAAGTGTTGCCTAGTAGAAGGTGTTTGGGTCATGAGTGTGGATCCCTCACGAATGGGTTGGTGTCCTACCCACTGTAATGAGTGAATTCTCATTCTCACTTTATTAGTTACTGCAAGACCTGTTTGTTGAAAAGAGCCTGGAATCTCTCTTGCTCTTTCTCTTGCTATGCGACATGCTATATGACATGTACCAACTTCACCTTCTGCCATGAGTGGAAGCTTCCTGAGGCCTCACCAGAACCCAAGAAGGTATTGGTGCCCTGCTTCTTATACAGCCTGCAGAACTGTGAGGCAAATAAACCTCTTTTCTTTATAAACTACCTAGTCTCAGGTATTCCTTTACAGCAATGCAAAACGAATGAACACAAATACTATTCTTTTTTTTTTGACATGGAGTCTCGCATTGTTGCCCAGGCTGGAGTGCAGTGGTGTGATATCGGCTCACTGCAAGCTCCACCTCCTGGATTCACGCCATACTCCTGCCTCAGCCTCCCAAGTAGCTGAGACTACAGGCGCCTGCCACCACACTTGGCTAATTTTTTGTTTTTTTAGTAGAGACGGGGTTTCACCATGTTAGCCAGGATGGTCTTGATCTTCTGACCTCGTGGTCCACCCACCTCAGCCTCCCAAAGTGCTGGGATTACAGGCATGAGCCACCATGCCTGGCCCACAAATGCTATTCTTCTTTGGTGACATAGACCAAGTAGGTGCATGCTAATTAATATTATGAAATTTTGCTATCCTATTCTTTTTTATTTTTTAAACCTCTTTAGAGGTGAGATTGTACCAACTGTTTTTAAAATTTATTTATTACCGAAAAGGAAAATCTCACTTCCTGAGTAAAACTGATGCATGCTTAATGATATTTTAATGATCTTGCCATTTCTTCTGCCTTTTACCACTTCATCCAGTGAAGAATCAATATTTTGGTAGCATTTTCTTGAACATCATGCTGTCAATAGGAATGTATCTTTTACTGATGATCTCCTAGGAAGGGTTTTGCTTTAAACCAGCAAATCCACAGGTCTACAAGCAATGAGAACATTTTACAATGCTGTCATATCAATAAAAGGATAAAATATGATTTCTGCCACTGAAGCAGTTTCCATTTAATAGGAAACTATTGTTCTAAGTATGGTTTAGCATTGTTCAATCAAGGCTGAATCAGCATCTTTCAAGAGCCTAGTAAACTCAATCTTCTCTGAAAACAGAGGGGAAGGAGAATGGAACTGATAAAATCAGAGTAGGGTAGAATTTCTTTTAGAAGAAGTGAAAAGCACTAACCATAATGGAAATTATTAATAAAATGACTACATATGACTACATTAAAATTAAGAACTCCTAGTAATAAAAAAGACTTCATAAGCAGAACAAAAAGACAAGACACTGAATAGGAAAAGATATTTGCCATATACATGACTGCCATGAGACTTATATCAAGAATAATAACAGAACTCCTACAATCCTGTAGAAACATGGCCAAGAGACTTGAATTAGCATTTTAGGAAAGAGGGAATCCAACGTTAATGAATATTTGAAAATGAGCTCAAATTCTTTATAATTAAGGAAATGCAAATTATGTACCATTATACACCCACCAGATATGCAAAAATTAACAAATCAAACAATGCCTTCCTGGATTCCCTGAACCAAGAAAAACAGGAACTCTTCTACACTGCTGGTAGGAGTGAAAACTGTCAAAACCCAGTTGAGAAATACTTTGGCATTAACTAGAAAAGTTGAAGATACATATATATTCAGTGACTCAGTATTTCCACTCAAAATTGACAAAGTTATGCACATACATTCACTTTAAAGAAAGTTTCACTTTAAAGAATGTAAAAGAGAGTTTTCTTCTTGTTATGTTTTGAATGAAAAAGACACTCTGGAACAGCTGGAGCAGCTGCAGGGTAATAGAGAATTAGGGAATGAGTAAAGGAAGCCTTTTCTAGAAAGAGAAAGAGAAAGAAGAAAATGAGTTTCTTCTTGAAGAAACTGAAAAACGTTTGGATTTTGAAGCTTTGCAAGCCATATAATTCCATTTATTTTTTATGAGTTATTAACTGGGATAAAGAAGCTTGTTTCTGAAATTATTACATTACTTTTAATGGAAAAAAAATCACAATCATTTTTGCACCAATCTAATAGATGCTGTGGCCTGATAAACCAACATTGTCCAAAATGTGGGAAAGAATAGATGAAGCCACACTCATTCATCTTGGATTTTAATGAAAGAAAAATAACACAGCATTATTTAGTATTTACTATGTTCTATGCTTGGTATAAAACACTTGACATGTAAAAATCTCATGTAATCACCACATAAGATAACCCCAAATATCACACTAAAACTAAACTCTATAAAAGATTATCCCTATTTTACAAAAACTGACACTTAGAAAAAGTAAAGCCTAGGATTACAGAATTTATGGATGATACAGCTAGAATTCAAATGTAGGCCCCTGGTTTCCAAGTAAAACAGACAGGTCTATGCAGCCTCTCTTCTTTTGAGCTATAGGCCAAAAGCATATGTTAAAGAGAAACTTAGCCACAACCCCTTAAAACCTAGCCCCCTTTCCCTCCCCAAAAAGCAAAAAGATTCCTGTTTGTTGCTTGCCAAAGTAATAGTTCTTAGACATTACCAGCCTTACTCCTCCTTTAAGGCATGATTTTTGCCTGCAGAGAATAAGGAAAATAATGGAGCAGATGGTTCAGTCCTACCACCCCTTTCTCTGATTCCTGCTTTCATTCCATCACCTTCTGTGCTTCTCCAGGTAGAGCAGAAACACAGGAAGAATTCATCATTGTCAAGCTGAGTAGCTTATCTTCGGAAAGTGGGAATATTTACTGAGGTGGAAAAGACAGGTCCATGAAGAGTTTCCTGAGCTTAAAGATAGGTATATATAAAGATATATATGTACAAATACATATAATCTTCTTCACTTATGCCTGTGTGTCTGTGACTTTTGGGTTGTTTTCTACCAGGTCTGTTGGCTTCTTCTAGGTCCTACATGCACTTGACATGTTGTGTGGTCACAGCAAAGCTTTGATTTGGCCATTGTATTCTCTAGAGTTAGTAACATCTAAAGAACAAAAAGCAAAGGGAAGGCAGAAGAGTATAAGAATCAAAAGTATAAGGTGTGTTTTATTCTGGGATCTTAACATCCTTTGCTTGGGGGCTGAGATTGATCTTTCTTTGAAAGGTTATTTCACAAAGAAGATAAGAAATGACATATTGGTGTCTTTATTATTTTTATACCCATTTTTTCATCATGTTTTCCAATCTTTACTTAGGTTTACAGGGATCAAGTAATTCTTATACCTCCAAATGCTATCCTTGTTATCCTTTCACTGACGTTTTCTAGCCACAAACTTAATTTCTATGTGTCTCATTGATCTCCATTATTAAGTAGAAAGAGTAATATTCATTTATCTATTTTCAAAGGAAGTTGTTCTGATTATCAATGTTGTAAGAGAATTACATCAATAAACGAATACGCTGAATTCCTTAGAAAAAGCGTATACAGGTGGTCTCTACTTTCCATAGCTGTAAGTTTGGCTAATGTGCTCATCCAAGAATGCTTACAACACACTTGTAGCTAGTATTTTTTTGCAACATTCTGAATATTCATCACTGTTTCTTAAGGTGGGGAAGTGAACACTTGGCTGTGGAAGGCCATCTGGTGTCGGTGGAGGGTAACTACGTGTTTATGTGGAAGTTTAGGAAATGTGTTTCCCCTTCATTCTGCTATCCAGTGTCTGTTTCAAAACACTCACTAGACACATCCAGACAGGCTACATGGCAACTCTTCTTTATCTCTGCAGACTGGGGGTGGTTATGGTACATTTTTGGTGGTGCTGTTATTATGTCATGGTATAATTTTATGGTATAATTTTATAGGATTTATACTTCAGAATATGTTTGAAGTATCATTTGACTGTGGATATGCCTGATAAGTTGAGGTTTTATAACATATTTCTACAATACGGTATGAAGTTCTGGCTCAGAGGACTCTACTAAGTTGTTCCAGATCTCTACCGCGTCCTCTCGCTCAGCTCTTCTCTTCTGCTTCACTTCATACCAAGCAGAAATAGCATGACCTCTGACATTAATACAAAGTCCTCCTTCTACCACACTCTTGCCCATGGAACCCCGCCACTCTCATTTTCATGTCACTTGAGACATAGGCCCATCTTGATGACTCCTTTTGGTGTTAAGGGAAAAAGGAAGGACCATGGGGTCAAAAAAGCCGTATCTAATTCTAGTGATGAAAACATGTAATTAAAGACCCAAATGCAGTAATGTAGAAGGTAAATTACAAGTGACAATATAATGACTATTTTACAGAATTTAATATGTTCAATTCGGTAGGCGTAGAACAGATAAAAGTCTTCCTTTACCCTTGGTGAAAAGTTTTCAAAATAAAAACTCCAGAAATGATAACTGTAGAAGTTATATTCAATTGTTTACAGTGGGAATGAATGGATTAATTCAGTGGCTTTCCATCTCATCTTTGTTCATAAACTCAAAAAGATTCACTCAGGATATATTTTTATAAAGAAGTAATTATAAATCCAAAAGGACTCACTCAGGGTAAATTTTTATAAAGAAGTGACTTATTACTTAAATGTACCTGAAATTAACGTTGTTCTCTTTGACAATTGCTTTCTTTCTCACAGTATAATGGATGATGTTGTCAATGATTCACTCAGTTTTGGGAAATAACTTGTGTCACCTAACCTGTCCTTTTCAGTGCTTTCAGGCTGGAACATACATGGATAATGGAGATGCCTACTGAGAAGACACTGAATATGTGGGCATCTCCCTTTGGTTCTTTGTCTTTCCACTGAGAGACTTTTGAAAATTCTGGCTGGATCAATTTCCTGTGAATAATTTTCAGATGTAGGACAGACAAAATTAGTGGGTATTGAGGGTCTGCCTGTTCCCTTTTAAAATGATCTCATTAAGCCTCTTAATGCCTCAGATTTACCTATGAAGCAGCAGATAAAATGGGAAGCAAAAAAAATGATAAAATATTTTTTAAAAAATCATGGCTACTCTCTAATGGCTTGTGCTGCTAGAAGTAAAGCATTTTGCTATGAAAATGGATGGGAGGCTTTCTGCCTTGCTGGGATGTTAGGAAGTGTAATTCATTAGTGGTTTGAAAAGTGCTTTGAGCTAATGGAATAAAAGGCACTGGAGAAATTTGAACTAATATTATTAAAAATGAAAAATTGCAACAGAGAAACTTATTTCCCCTAGAACACAGGCATCAATTTTGAGTCTAATGTTGCCTAAACAACCAGTTTGAGAAGGAAAAATGCCAGTCACTCATGTGGACGTTTTGTCTACACGTTCCCAAATTACCAAATTTGACTGACATTGTTTTCCCACTGAATTTTATAAATTTAGTTCTTCTCTGAGTACTTAGATTCTTGTTCATATTTGGGGTATGACAGATTTAAATCTATACTATGTAGTGTAAATTCTTCAATTACACTATCTTGTGTGTTTCCTCTGTCACTCTATCGTGACCTGCAAGGTCACATGTGTTCTTCTCAACCTCTCCTCATACAACCCTTGAAAATCATATTTGAAATCAATGCATTTCCTCATCATCTTCAGAGGCTGTTTTATTCATTATATTGCCACAGTAATTAAGATGGGACGTTCCGAAGTAAAGGTAATGAATAGAAAGCATTTGCGCAGGTTTCTGAGAATATGAGGTAGATTATTGCTTTGTTCACATTTAGTTTTCCCACAATAATGTTGGACTGGGAATTAATGAACACAATTAGAGCTTTTTGATATGGTAAACCTTTGAAACTATTCATTATTCTGTTAACAGAACCTTGCTATTTTTCTTCTAAATTAATGTTCTCCTGTTGCGATGTAGATTATGTTTTATAATGCAACTCAGTTGGCTTTCTCTTTCCTTTCTTTGCTTGCTGATTTCAGTTCCTTTGTTCAACATGTCATTCAGGTGAGTAATAAACTAGAACGTCTTTCAATAATCTTTTAGGGAAGAAACTATAATTTAACTTAATGATAACTGTTCATCATTGCATCTTCCTTTTAATGCTTCATCCAAATGCAAAGACACAAAAAAATTAGTATATAAAATTAATTAATACATATTTTTAAATAGACTTACTAGGGCAGTTTTGAAATAGTAAAGAAGGTCCTCTTTTTTTCGTTTGAAAATTATGCTTCATGTCCTCTGTCAAGGCTCTTAACGCAACTCGTATTTTGTCATTACTTTGTAATGTAATGTAAAATGCCAACAGCAACCAGAGAAAGTGAGCATTAGAGACTCCAGACATATATTATGTCGATGTTCCTGACCTAATTACCAAACAACTGTACATAGGAAAAGGAAGGAAGCAAAGGTTAAGTATTTGCCTTTCAGTAAGTTTTAAACCTGGATGAGCTATGCTGAGCCTTAATGCAAAAGCAGAATTGGCCCATGCTAATTCACAAATACAAGTGTTAACAACACTATTTCATGACTATTTTATTTTTTGCTCAGCTGTGAAGAGAGAACCTCTTTCTCATTGAAGATCAAAACTGAAGTGAACTCAGGAAATGAATGACGACATAAGCCATCCTCCTTTTTTGCAGGTGGAAAGGGATGCTTTGGAGTTGGCGATTACGCATGGGCCATTTTCTTTCCTTTATTGTTTCTTGTCTCATTTGGTCTTCTTTTCTCTTTCCTTTCCTCTCTACTTTCCTTCCTTCCGTCTTTTTTCTTGGGTGGAAAAAAATAAAACACAACAAAATTATCTGCATGGGAATCCATATCAATTCAGGAAGTGAAAACTGCCAAGTTCAAACCTTAAGAAATCTTTGGCAGGATTCCCCCTGCAAACAGCTAAATTTGTGTGTGTGTGTGTGTGTGTGTGTGTGTGTGTGTGTGTGTGTATCCATTTTAGACAGCTTTAGTGTCTCAGGATGGCGTATGCCTAATCCAGTTGGAGTTGGGTCTAATAGAAAGGTTCACAGAAGATTAAGTTTAATGCACTGTAATAGGTAACTGAGCTTTTGCCAGTATGAATTTTATAAATGTGACTCTCAGTAAGGACCAGAAAATTCGGTTTACAAGCATCTTGAAGTGTTTCCTTATGGACTTTTGCATCTTTTCTTTTATGCGGAAATCTCCAAAGAGACCATATGAGTGTTGGAAATACCAAGTGAAGAGTCAGAGAAGGCAGCGAGAGAAAGAGACTTTGAAGCCTGGTATTTTGAAACTGTTGTTTCAAGAGGCCGATGGTGAGATTAAATTGAATTGATTTATACAAAAATTGGATATGGAGCATCAAGTAAAATGTCAGAGGCAAAGGAAGAATTACAAAATCTGTAAGAGCAATAATTATACAAAAGAATAATAATGGTTTTCACAGCAAGGAGCTAAGTGTGTGTGACTTTAGCTTATTTACCTCTGTGGCAGGGCAGAAATTAAGGGCCAATGAAGGAAGTGTACCACCCTATGTTATATCTGAAAGCCTAAAAAACCTGGTGCTACCAGAACTTTGCTGAGCAAAGAAGCCAACATAAATAATGATAACGTAACCTGAATGCATTTAGTTTTACGCTTTTCATAGCATTTTCACTTTTACATTTTGAATTAATATTCTCTATTATTTTGAAACATGGGTAATGTAGGTCTCCCATTTCTTTCTTCTGTTTTTTTTTTTTCTTTCTTTTTTTTCTTTTTTGAGACGACATCTTGCTCTGTCTCCAGGCTGGAGTGCAATGGTGCAATCTCGGCTCACTGCAACCTCCGCCTTCCGGGTTCAAGCGTTTCTCCTGCCTCAGTCTCCCAAGTAGCTGGGGCTACAGGCATGTGCCACCACGTCCAGCTAATTTTTTGTATTTTTAGCAGAGACGTGGTTTCCCTACGTTAGCTAGGATGGTCTCGACCTCCTGACCTCGTGATCTGCCCGCCTCGGCCTCCCAAAGTGCTGGGATTACAGGCGTGAGTTACTGTGCCCAGCCAGGTCTTCCATTTCCACAGATGAAAATATTAACGTAGAGAAGAGTCACAGAAATAAGTGTAATTTTTTTCCCCCTTGACTAATGCAAATGCGTAACTGTGTAACTCAGTCTGCATTCACTTTCTGTTCAGGAATTTGAACTTTATACCTCAGGCAATGGGGAAACACAGAAGATGTCTGAACAGAGACATATCAGGATCAGAACTGTGTTATGCAGGGGATACCCAGAATGGTTTGAAGGAGTTGGGCATGATCCCTGGGAGGAAGAAGAGACTGCACTAGAAAGGGGTACTGGTTGAAAAATAAAGGGTGAGGCCAGGCACTGTGGCTCAAGCCTGTAGTACCAGAGCTTTGGGAGGCTGAGGCAGGAGGATGCCTGGAGGCCAGGAGTTCAAGACCACCCTGGGCAACATAGCAAGACCCCATATCTACAAAGAAATTAAAAAATTAGCTTGGTGTGGTTGTATGTACTTGTAGTCCTAGATACTCAGGATGTTTGGTTGAGCTCAGGAGTTTGAGACCACAGTGAGTTATGATCGCACCACTGCACTCCAGCCTGGGCCACAGGCTGTGACTTTATCTCAAAAAAACAAAACAAAACAAAAACAGATGCTTTTGAAAAGACACTGAATGAGAACTCTCCAATGTGCTAGAGATGAGAAGATAGGAAAAACACTTGGGAGAAGGAGGGACATAGATTGGAAATGTGGGCAGAGCTCATTCTGGGTTGCCGAAAAAACCATAGGCATTGTGTTGTTGTTTGTTGTTTGAGAGAGTCTTACTCTGTCGCCCAGGCTGGAGTGCAGTGGCTCAATCTCAGCTAACTGCAACCACCACCTACAAGGTTCAGGCGATTCTCCTGCCTCAGACTCCTGAGTAGCTGCGATTACCAGCATCCGCCACTGCACCTGGCTAATTTTTGTATTTTTTTTTCAGTAGAGATGAGGTTTCACTATGTTGGTTGGGCTGGTCTCAAACTCCTGACTTCAAATGATCCACCTGCCTTGGCCTCCCAAAATGCTGGGTTTACAGGCGTGAGCCACCATGCCCAGCCACCACTGGCATTGTGAGTACCCACATTTTCAAACTCAGAAGTTAACTCTTATATTCATTATGTCCTTGATGGAATTTGAACTCTAATCCTCCAGAAACAAATCTCTGAGATGGAATAAATAATAAATGCTAGTTTCACTAATTTGAAAGCTGTGATCACTTGAATAGAATCTATTAGTTAGAAATTCGAAACCATCTGTAGAAAATAATTATTCCTTGGGCAGACCAGACATTGTCCTGAAAATCGCAAGGAAATTAATTGTTTTCATGTATTCTGAAACTACTTGAACAACAGGCGCTAGCATATGATTAATGTTAAAAATATAAAGGTCTCATTAATATTACAAATAGAGCATTTCACAGCCTTCTGTTGAAAAACAGTTTAATTATATAACACATTATATATGTGCTCAAAATAATGTTAACATTTCTATATTCTGGATATTTTACTTTTGCTTAATTATTCTAAATTAATGTGAGATTACTGACCAGGCAAATCTGTATATCAAATCCATATTTTTATTTTTCCTAACTCAGGATTCATGTGTTTAAACAATAGTAAACAAATGGAAAGAACTTCAGACTAGCTCCAGAAAGTTTTGAAATACTACAAATTTTATAGACATTTTAGTTTTAGAATTTGATCATTTTTAATTTTAAAAATTTTAATTGACACATAATTATATATGTTTATGTAGTACAGTGTGATATTTCCACACATGTATACAATGTGCAATGATCAAATCAGGGTAATTAGCATAGCCATCACCTCAAACATTAATCATTTCTTTGTGTTGGGAACATTCAACTCCACTCCACCAGTTATTTGGAAATATGCAATAAATTATTGTTAATTGTAATCACCTTACAGAGCTACAGAACAATAGAACTTATTTCTCCTATCTAGCCATAATTTTGTATTCATTAACCAAGCTCTGGTTCTCTCCCTCCTTCCCAGCCCTTAGTATACACTATTCTGCTCTCTGGTTCTGTGAGATCAACTTTTTTAGTTCCCCATACGAGTGAGAACATGCACTACTTGTCTTTCTTTGTCTGGCTTATTTCACTTAACATAATGTCCTCCAAGCTCATCCGTGTCACCACAAATGACAGGATTTCATTCATTTTAATTGCTGAATAATATTCTATTGTTAATATATACCACATTTTCTTTATCCATTCATCTGTTGATAGGCATTTAGGTTGAATCTGTATCTTGGCTATTATGAACGGTGCTGCAATAAGCATGGGAACACAGATATATCCTTGGCTTACTGATTCTCTTTCCTTCGGGTAAATATCCAGCAATAGGATTGCTGGGTCATATGGTAGCTCTCTTTTTAGGTTTTTTTTTTTTTTTTTTCGGAACTTCCATATTATTTTCCCTATTGGCTGTACTAATTTATATTCCTACCACGAGTATGCGAGAGTTCCCTTTTATCCTCATCCTTGTCAGCATTTATTTTTTTTTTTTTGTCATTTTGATAACAGCCATTCTAACTGGAATAAGATGATATCTCATTGGGGTTTTGATTTGCATTTCCCTGATGGTTGGTGATGTTGAGAATTTTTTCATATACCTTTTGGCCATTTGTATTTTTTTCTTTTTGAGCAATAGATATTCAACTCATTTGCCCATTTATTTTGTTTGTTTGTTTTAGATGGAGTCTTGCTCTGTTGCCCAGGCTGGAGTGCAGTGGTGGGATCTCAGCTCACTGCAAGCTCCACCTCCCGGGTTCACGCCATTCTCCTACCTCAGCCTCCTGAGTAGCTGGGACTACAGGCGCCCACTACCACACCTGGCTAATTTTGTTTTTGTATTTTTAGTAGAGTCATGGTTTCACCATGTTAGCCAGGATGGTCTCAATCACCTGAGCTCGTGATCCACCCGCTTCGGCCTCCCAAAGTGCTGGGATTACAGGCATGAGCCACCACACCTGGCCGCCCATGTTTTTAATTGGATGATGATGATGATGATGATGATGATGATGATTTTGCTGTTTAGTTATTTGAATTCCTTGCATATTCTGGATACTAATCTCCTGTTGGATACATCGTTTGCAAATATTTTCTCCTATTATGCCAGTTGTCTCTTCACTGTGTTGATTCCTTTTGGTGTGCAGAAGCTTTTTGGTTTGATTTAATCCCATTTGTCTATTTTTGCTTCTGTTACCTGTGCTTTTGATGTCTTTTTCATAATATCTTTTCCCAGACCAATGTCCTAAAGTGTTTTTACTATATTTTCCTCTACTAGTGTCATAGTTTCAGGTCTTATATTTAAGACTTTAATTCATTTTGAATTGATTTTTGTGTATGGTGAGAGGCAGTGGTCTAGTTTCATTCTTCTGCCTATGGATATCCAGTTTTTCCAGCACCATTTATTGAAGAGACTGAGACATGTTTTCTATTACAGGAGGATATGGAAAGAAAGTAAACCAAGCTGTTGATCTTTAGGGTTGTTTAATTCATTTCACCATGCCTATTTCTACTCTCCAAATACACTGTAGTTCCCATAGAACACTAAGGCCTTGTCAATTTGACTTACCATGGTGGGGCCTGAGCAGGTGTGTGCTGTTTAATGTCAGCAGAAAATCAGACTGAGCCCACTCCATTTATGAATGGCTTCCTCCTGGTTCCCATTTGCATGCATGTGAAATTATGTTAAAATGAACATCAAAAGCTGTCAGACTGAGGTTATATGGAAAAAGAAGCCCACCTTTATGCTTGGCAATATTGCCAAGGTATAAGGGCCAATTTTATACATATGTTGTAGAAAAGAGTTTGAAAGGCAGCTCTTTCTTCCTGTTGATCCCCAAGACAGTGGCCCTAATTCACTGTGCCCATCATGTGAATATTCTTAATGTAACCATCTATATTTCTGCTAGAGTTGTGTTAAATAACATGACACAGTAAGTTTCTGTTATGTCAATTTGGTTGCAGGAGCGGGTAAGTAATACTATCTCAAAAAAAAAAAAATGTTGACCTGATTCTTAATGTGTATAGCCAGCTTTTTGACTGTTATTCTTACAATGTAGAAACACACAAACATCTGCTTGCTAAGACATTGGAGAATGGTTTTATTTTCTTATACGTATATTTATCTCAGGCTTTATTCTTGGCTGCCTCTTTTGGGCTTACCCTGAAAAGATGTTGCATATATAATCAACTGGGTGTTCACATCAATGTCTGTCATTGCTTGGAGAGTTTAAAATGGAAAAATCTATTTCCTCTGGCAGAGCTTTTTGTCTTATTTTAATTATTCTTCGGAATTTTTATGAAACCATGTTGTGTTGTCAGAAATGGCCTCCATGTTGAACTTTGCCTTGTCAAAATAATTTTATCATTCATAAATATTTCAGTGAAAACCAAAGACTGCTTATAAATGATTGATTCTGTAGAGTTCACTGACATTTCCTGTGAAGTCTTTTATTAAAATTAGAGTATCCCATCCTAAATCTGACCATTAATTGTTAATAATGTGCAGATTGAAACCTAGGTGTCTCTAAAACATGAAAAATTAAATTAGTAGTTATAATGATACATTGAAATTAAGAAGGTTCATCACAGTTCAAAGAAGCTCATTCTCAAGCTTAGCACTACACTAAAGTGTATTTTGGTTTCTAAATTAAATAAGGCAAGCTTTGTACCTAGAAGTATTCTATATGATATAGAGAGGACCAGAAGCAATGAGTAAAGAAAGTTGAACGGCGGAAATTAACATGGATGGGTTATTTATGTCATTTATTTAATCTTACCATTTCTTTTCCATGATGAAATATGGCCTATTATTTTAGGTGGGCAGACAAAAATAATGCTCACTTAAGTAACCAATTTCTAAGTCATTTGAATGTTGAAGCTTATGATATTGGATAGATCTAGTGCTGAATATGGGACTAAATTTGATTTTAAGAAGTAGCCAGTTTCTTTGCTTTTTTCATTGTTAGACAAGCAGTTTTTTATTACTCTTTCTATACTTTCCAAATTCTCCACAAGAGCACATATTGCTTTTCTGAAAAAAAGTTAAAAATAAAAGAAAGCAAAAGAAAAGACAGAAAACAATTCCACTAGCCATAGATACCATTTTCAAACTTATTTTCTTTTTAGTATTTTCTATACTTACTTTTTACAGTTTATTCAAGGCAACAAGTATTTGTAGAACATTCCTGTGTTCTAGGCACTGAGAATGGCATCGAATAGTAAAACAGAGGCTCTTTTCTGCAGAAACTTACAATATAGTTAGGAAGACAAGTCATCCATTTTCTTGTAGAACAAAAAAAGAATGCAGTAAGTTCTGAATGGGTGATAGAGACAGAACCTTCATAAAAACAGTCTGAAGAAAATGAAGAAGCTTGGCTGTGGTGATTAGGAGGTTCTTGATGGTGGCAATAAGCTTGAGTTGGTTTTGAAGTGTTCACGTTTGGGTTTTTTCCCCCAGTGGCATCCGTAGGTGGAACAATCTACAATAATCTACAGACTGTACTTGATACGTCACAGAGTTCTCAAATCTTCTGCGTATATCATTGGGGCTTAACAAATTGACCTCCTTTAGAGCAGATGTTCTCAGTGCCCCATTTATACCTTTGTCATCACAATTTCCATGCAAGCTGGCTGACTTTGAACACCAAGCACCACAGCTCTTTGCCTGAGGGTATTTTCTGGCCACCCAAGTCTGTTCTGCCTACCTTGGCATCAGCCACAAATGCTGGGGAGCTGATGCTCTACTTGGAAGAGTCTTCAAGACATAACTGATGGGAGTTAGTGGATAAACACCTCAATTCCGTCTATTCAGTATATTCCAGGGGTATAACCTACACTGTCTTTCAGAATTCCTGATGGGATGGAGGGCTAGTTACAACTGTGATCACAGACTTCTAAAGCTTATTGCCAAAAATTCTAAAGATGTAGTACTATGGCATTCAACCTCATCCCTCTCTGTTAAATAAGCTTTCAGGGATTGGAGGCATGTTAGAAGTCATCTAATCCAATCACCTTCTAGTAGATTCTGTCTGACTTTGCCTACATCCTGGTGACCCGCCCTGGAGACAGTTCCATGCTTGGAAGGTTTCCTGCAGCTCTCTGCCTGTGGGTCTCCTCTGGCTGCGGAAGCTGCCTGGTCCACATGGTACAGGCCTAAGTGCCCAAGAAACAAATGGCAAGGAATAAGGAATGAGTGCTAATGAACAAATACTACAGCAGGAAATTCTGAGGAGTGATCATCTCAGAGGAGCTCCTGCAGGGTTTGTCTTTAGTGTTTCAGAATTAACGCATTGAGCAGCACCCTTTTTTCTTTTCTCGATTTCACTTCCCCACCCACTCTTCACCCGGCTTCCTGAAGCCATTGCCCTGATAAACAACCTGCACTCAAACACTTGATCAGGGTGGGTATACTCTGGGGGAACTGAAACTGGGACACTTCTCATTACAGAGGAGAAGAAACTGAGACTGGAAGAGTGGAAGTCATTTGCTGGTAGTTCTGTGCAATTCTGTTATGTGGTAGAGATTATAGTACACATGCAGTTTGTATCATGCTTTTGCCATTTCAATACTTTTCAAAATACTTGAATTTAAATAAATATTTTAAAATAATAATCCATCATGTAAAAGAACCATGATTTGCTTAACCAGTACCTAATGGTGGACATTTAGGTTGATTCATTTACTGAAAGAATCATAGAAACCCATTGAGGGTGTTTTGTCAGAGAAGCTCCTGATTCTACCTGAACTGAAGATATTCTTCAGTTGCATTTATATCTGTCAAAGTCCACACTCCCCTGCATCTATTTATGAATACCAGATGGGCTATTTTTGAATGCTAGCACAGTAAAATAATGGCAACCTATTAAGGTCATTAAAGGAAGACTGCATGGAATTTATGATCAGTGGGCTGCCATTTATGCAACCAAGGAGGATCCATAAAATACAAGATAATCTGACATTGATTTGATTTCTGATCTGAGTGAATGCCAAGGAACCCCTACATCTGTGGACATACGATGTTTTCCAAGCTCTTTTCCAATACTGTCCATTTTTGTCCCATCGATTATCATTTCCACTGCATCATTCAGGGATAAAATTAATTGCTAACTGCAAGGTTTCCTGAGTGCAGTCAGTTAATGCATAAGCCTGTTTACTGCATGCCAGATGGTTCCACAGTTACTTAAGAAGGGACAAATATTGATAAAACAGTGTACAAAACTGTGCCACCAAACAATTCTATATAATAGATGTCTGAAGTGAGGGGACTTAGAGAAAAAAAATCTTGCAAGTAGTTACAGATTATTTCTTTGAAAAGCAATTAGGACTGCAAATGCCTTATTCTTTAACTTTAAGCTCTGCATGACAAGAGGATAATTTTCTTAGATCCCTTTAAAATGAGTCTTACTTTCACATTGCCATTTAACAGGATAGACAAGGAGGAGTAAAATGGAGGATGCCCAAAAGTTTGCAAAGTGGGGGTGGCAAATGGACCCCTGGAGGTATTTCTATCCCCAGCCCTAGCAATGTTCGGTTTAGGGCACTGGAAGGGTACACCCTCTTCTGAGAACTCCTCTCCTGGAATCAATAACTACTGAAGGTGTTCTTCCATGTTTGGAGTGGCTGTCCGCACCTTTCATCCTATGTAGTGACAGAGGGACACTTGCTTGGCAGTGCTGTCAGAGTGACAAATACATCTATACATGTGCTACCAGGGGCTGGCGTGTTTTTCCAAAGGCTGTCACCCAAACAGTGTGCTTCTGCTATTCAGGGTGGACTCACCATTGCAGAATCATTTTGAGAAACTGGTTATTGATTTTTCATCTTTCGGGCAAAAGGAGGTGGAGTGAAGTTGCTCTTCCTGCCAGTGGCTGCATATGATACTGTCTGTGAATTAGCCCCGAGCTCTATTAAAATCAGCAAATACCATCTTGAAATTGTGAGGTTGCTCCTTTAGGTGAAAGCCCTGGAAACTCAAACAAAAATGCAAGTATGTAAGTATGTTGCCCGGGAGGGAGAACACAAGCAACTCTTATAAACCATTAACGTGTGCATGCAAATTAGATTATTACAATCACTTTAGCATTGTAGCAAGATGTTTTGGGAATAGAGAGGAAGGGAAGCAGAACATCAAGAGTTATTGAGGGCTCTGGGTAACAGTGGACAGGAGGAAGGCACTGTTCATCTCGGGGAAGAGACACTGATCAGAGATGGGATGGAGCAGGAACAGAGGGTCCCTAAGGGCACATTTCCTTCATAATACTGCCCTTACGAGAACTAGTTTTGGTGTTTTTCTCTGTATCACCAACAGGGCTCTGTTCATGTTTTGAAAATTATAAATGTGTCTATGAATATTGATGAAAGGTGATGAAACAGGTATAAAATGTTACAGGGTCCCTGGAGAGATTTAGAGAGCCATTCCTTGATCATATTAGGAAATAGAATGCTCATTAACATTACCACTTTGGAATTACCTTGTAGACAAAACATTAGCATTTAGTTAAAATCTAAGTTATATTTCTGCATTTATAATTTGAGTAATTCTTTCAACTTGGGTAATAAAAGAAAAATTGTCATATTTCAGTCACTAAAGAAATGCTCATAGGTGTGGCTTCTAACACCTTCATGTTCTTAATAATTCTGGTGAACTTGGCACTAGAGATTCATGTATTTCTAGGATGGATTATAGAACATTTGTCTCATCAGTGTAAGTCTAACTTTTTTTTTTTTTTTTTCAGATGGAGTCTCACTCTGTCACCCGGGCTGGAGTGCAGGGGCAGGATCTCAGCTCACTGCAACCTCCACCTCCCGGGTCCAAACAGTTCTCCTGCCTCAGCCTTCTGAGTAGCTGGGACTACAGGTACATGCCACCATGCCTGGCTAATTTTTGTATTATTAGTAGAGATGGGGTTTCCCCATATTGGCCAGGCTAGTCTCGAACTCCTGACCTTGTGATCCACCCGCCTCAGCCTCCCAAAGTGCTGGGATTACAGTCATGAGCTACTGCGCCCGGCCAAGTCTAACACTTTAAGAACGTTGAGTTCAGTGTTGCACAGGGCTTGTCAGTTATGACATTTGAAAACCTAGCGCAATATAAACAGAATGAAATTATTCTAGAATATTCTATTCTATATTATTTCCTCTTTTTCCTCCCTTACTTCCTTCCTCCTTTCCTTTCTTCCTTCCTTCTTTTCTTCTGTCTGTCCATCCTTCCTTTTCTTCCCGTGTTTCTTTGTGTCCTACCTTTCTTCCTTCCTTCCAATGACAAGTTGTAACTTTTCATTACACACTAAGCTTTCCTGTCAGGTAAACAATTTCATGCTTCCTGTTTCTCATGTATACAGCTTCCTTTTGAAGGAAGGTGACAGGCAGAGGATTTGCATGGTGATCAGAAATGGCTACTTAGAAGAACTGGCCATTGCTTTGATTTTAGTCACAAATATAATTGTATCTATCTTTACATTTTTCTGATACTATACGTAAAAAATCATATTTTAGAAAAAGAAATCACTGAGAAAATCAATCTGTTGGGCCCATAGACTTGAAAATAAGCCTCAACTCTCTGGACAAGAGGTGACATTTTCAACATTTGAGAAATGAGAATTGAACCAAGTAAACAGTGTATATTGCTTTATGTTTTATATTGCTTTTCAGGATTCCTGAAAATCAACAAATTATGTCTGTTGTGGCTAATGGTCGTGAAGGAGGATAATTGGTACAAGTTAGAAATGGTACCCTGGGCCCCCTTTTTAAAACTTTCTCTGTTATATTACAGAAGGTGATTATTTAGAAGTGGAAGTTTATCCAGTCAATCACTCCCCAAGAGAACTGCCAGAGTTTTAGTTTCATATGACTTCACTAATTTAAGTGTGAGACAAAAATATAGTGCAATATGACAATAATTTGAAAAACACCAAATCAGTAGGTTTCATAACCTCTGAGAGCTCCAGTTTCATTTTTTTAACCCAGAAAATAGTAGCTGCTCCAGGGTCTAGAGAAATACATTCTTAATTGGTCTTCGGCATTATACTTATTCCAGGTAAATAAATGCCAAAGGTGTGTTAGTTGATAATGTTGAAGGTCATTAACTCTGACAATTGCACCATGTCCTCAAAATTATGTTTATCTTGACTGGCTGTATATCTAAAAATGTAGCCAAGCAGATAGAGAACAGGTCTGGTCTTGAGATTAAATAGTGAAAAACATTACAGCCTGTAATATGTAAAAATCTAGGGACAATCTATGCTTACAGAGTACAATCTTTGCATTTTATGGGTTTTAAAATTTATTTGCAGTTTTAATAGCATTCACATTTATAGCACAAGTATTTTGATTTCCACACTAATAGTGAAAATGCAAAATATGGTTTCTGAAGGTTTTCAGTATTCTAGTTAATATTTTCCCAGATAGAGGAAAAACAAGTTTAGTGATATTGAAAAGCTTAAGCCAGGTAACAGAGAGTGGCAATGAGTAGATGTCACTATTCTAGCAATTAGTTGTTCTTTCTGGGAAACATAGGCAAGGAAAGGGAAATTTTTTTTTTCTTAAGCTATATTGTTTTTTAAAAAATTCTACCACTAGAAGAAGCAGCTTAGTCTTATGCCATTTTTAGTGTCCTTGAGGTCAGGGATTCAATTATGAGGCTTAATATGCCAAATCTTAAATATATTTACTAATGATAGAAATTGGTGGAGGACAAAAAAGGAAAGAACTAATACTGAATATGCTTCCTGGCACTTTGAAAACAAGTGATTATTATAGCATTATCTTAGAATTGTTATTAGTATGTGATAAGGTTTGGCTGTGTCCCCACCCAAAATCTCATCTTGAACTGTAATCCCCATAATCCCCATGTGTCAAGGGAGACACCAGGTGGAGGTAATTGAATCATGGGGCAGTTCCCCCATGCTGTTCTCATGCTGGTGAGTTCTCACGAGATCTGATGGTTTTATAGGCATTTGGTAATTCCTCCTGTTCCACCTTGTGAAGAAGTTTCCTTGCTTCCCCTTCACCTTCTGCCATGATTGTTTTCTGAGGCCTCCCCAGCTATGCTGAACTGTGAGTCAATTAAACCTCTTTCTTTTATAAAATTACCCAGCCTTGGACAGTTCTTTATAGCAATGTGAGAATGGACTAATACAGTATCTGACAGATAAGAAGAAACTAAGGCTTAGACAGGCTCATGTAGCCTATGTGTGGCAGAGCTAAGATGTGAAGCCAAGGTGTCATCCATTACACTGTAGTGAGTGAGCGTCTGATCACCCAGCACCCTGTGGCAAGACCCATCTCAGTATCTCCATTGCTACTGTAATTGAGTATGGAGTGAAAAGTAAGGATATGTTCTATAGCAAATATGTGGAGGATACGAAGAGACCTAGGGGATAAACATTCCTTGACATCCTATGAAACCACCAAAGCTACAGTGCATCTGTTCAGGATTCTACAAAACAGACAAAAAGATGATTAAATAATTGAAGGGAAGAGGTTCTTAGACCAATCTTTTGAGGCAACAGATTGCTATTCGGTAAGTTGTGGGCATAAGGTAAGGCTTCAAACCCAGTACGGTTCTACTATTATTCTTTTAGTCCTTTATATAGTGTAGATATTTGTCTCCTCCAAATGGCATGTTGAAATGTGATTCCCAATGCTGGAGGTGGGGCCTGGTGGGAGCTGTTAGGGTCATGGGAGTGGATCCCTCAGGGTGGCTTGGTGCCCTCCACATGGTAATAAGTTTTTGCTTTATTGGTTCACATGAGAGCTGGTTGTCTAAAAGATGCTGGCGTTTCTTTAGCTCTCTCTCTCACCATGTGACTGCCTGCTCCTTGTTTGCCTTCCACCATGAGTAAAAGCCTCCTGAGGCCTCACCAGAAACTGAGCAGATGCGAGTGCCATGCTTGTGGTACAGTCTGCAGAACCATAAGCCGAAATAAACCTCTTCTTTATAAATTACCCAGTGTCAGGTATTCCTTTACAGCAACACATATCAGACTAATACAGTCCTTTAATTCGATAAAGCTTTGGGGCCAGAGAGGAATTAAAAATATCCCTGGGGTATATTAAATCTGCTCAGAAGAAAGCAAAGAACTAGAATAGAGTTGAGGCACCAAATATTTTTAGTAGCAGAAGAGCTAAGGAGGAAGTGGAAACAAAAGGACTTCAAAGACAAATTAACTTCACATTTGTCCTTGGTAAAACGGGCTACCAGATTATTGTAGAGAGCAAAACAAGTGTGTTTGAATGGTCTGCCTTTCCCAGTTGATTTAATATGTGTTATGGACATACTTTTCCAGATCTCTGGTTTGACAGGAATGAATACATATAAAAATATCATCTTATTATTATGTTAAAATTCTTTGAGCATGAGAAATTATGACCAAAACTGACAAAATCATGAGGTCCATCAATGTCTTGTAGGCTGAAATGCAAAAACTAGGTAAAAGGTCCAAATATTACTGATAGGTGACAGAATCTCTTCAGCTACAGAAAAATAAGTAGAGAAGGGAGGAAAAGAGATAGTGTTGTTATCATGTTACAGATCGTGTCTGACATAGAGAACACAGACCCGCAACATACACATTTAGCACCTGGATTAGAGGCAAGATTCATATATTCTGCAAAATGGCTTAGTTCAGTCACTCAGTGAATCAACACATTGCCTTAAGACATAGAACAGTTGGCAGATGAAGCAAGCTCTTTGTTGCTGTCTTTGCCTGTAGCTAAGGGAGATTACTCCTGGTAATCTTTTCAACAATGTGAGTATAACAAATTGCATCTCCTTTTTTTTGCTGTATTCTAAAGGTGAGAGAAGATATTCAACTTGAGGTCCATCTTCTCTTCCTTCCTCGCTCAGCCTGCAAACACTTTCTGTGTAGTTTTCAGATCAGGGCACTTATGGAAAGTCCTGGGCATCATAAAAAAATGTGCTGGACAAAGAAATTGGGCCTCTTAGAAAAGATCAGTGGTGAAAAGCAAACAAATTAGCAGACAAAATATAAATTTAGATTCCTTCAGATAGGCAAAGCAATCTGTTTACAATTTCTGCTTTTATATCACCTTTCTCTTTAAGTGTGTGTACATTGTGTATTTTAATTGAATGTTACATGAAGGAATTAACTCCTACCTTACCCCCTGCTGCTGAGGTGTACAGTTAATTTTAAATGACATACCACTTCCTCAAAATCACAGCTAGCTTTTGGCCCTAAAGTGCTACAACAGACATTAAGAAAAGTAGAACTGGGTGAGGAAGAAGACAGGAGGTAGGAATATGTTAATCTGTCAGCAGGAAGTTTTTGAAGATGTCTGGAGTTAAATGTAAGAGACGAAAAGTGTTATGAACAAGACACAGATACAATAAAGGTAGGAATAAGCATTTGCAACAGGAGGCATCTCCAAAAAGAAGGGGGTGTAAATTCAAAAGTGCTAAAATGCCTTCCCAACTGAAAAGATGTCTACTGGCTTTTGCCAGAAATTACAACGTTAGCTATTCCAGCTCGGTGGGGTGGTTCCTTTCACTCTGCTAGATCACAGGATTTTGGAGTTGAAAGAAATTAAAGGAAATCTGCATGAAGGTTTTGAATGGTTTTGACTATTCCTTGACACCTGAGAGACAGGCATCCTTATGAGTGATGGTGGCTTCTTATGGCAGCAATTGAAGTGTGTGTGTGTGTGTGTGTGTGTGTGTGTGCATGTGTGTACACATTCGGAAGAGAATATAGAAGGCCTTAAAGGGGCGTTTCAAAATGGCTGTGATTTGGAGATACGTGATTTGAAAATATTCCCCAGGTACTGAATGGTGATTTTTGTCATCATCCCCTTAAGAAACAGTGATTAGTAGTTTTCAAATCTATCATGCATCAGAGTCACAAGAAAGGCTTACTTAAACACCAGTTGCTGCCCTCCATTCCTAGAGTTTCTGATTCAGTAGGTTTCAGGTGGAGTCTGAGGATTTACATTTCTATTAAGTTCACAGAGGAGGCTGATTCTGCAGGGCTGAGAACTACTGATGTAGTTCAGTTGGATCCAATTGCACCTTATTTATTTTCTCTCCACATTTTACAGATGAGGAAACTGAAGTCTCAACATAGTAAGGGGCTCCATGTGTTTTGACTCCAATTCCAGGCTTCTTGATGCCAATCAAAGTGGTATTTAGAAAGGAGACCTTTCTCAAGAGTGGCCCAGCAGGTGTGTCAATCATTCATAGCTAACCAGCACGTGGGTCAGATGTACTGCAGCCCAGAGACATTGCCATCCCAGAATTTGATAAATGTCTTTTATATTGATGTTTTTCACCACAAATAGCTCTCTTTGGCATGCTGAGAAGTTCGTTATATTAGCCAATGTTTTCTCCATTTTAATCACTTAAAATGAAGGTTTATTTTTTCTCTTTAAAAATAGTATTTGTGCATGTTGAAAATATAGTAGCAGTGTAAGGGGGAAAGTAATAACCTTTAATTTTACCACCTAGAAATAATCACAGTGACTATTTTAAAGATTTTGAGGTTAATTTTTTGTTTAATAGAGTTGTATAGGGTTTTAATTTTTTCCCCTCAGTACTCTTTAAAAAGCAGGTATCAATTCATAGATTCATGTGAATATGTAATTCATATACCATACAATTCACCCATCTAACGTGTACAATTCAGTGGCTTCTCATGTACTCACAGAGTTGTGGAAGCATTACCACAACCAATTAAAACATTTTTGTTAACCAAAAGAAGCCATGTACTGTCAGGTTCACAACTACACCAAATGTCATGTTGAGGTCCGAAGGGAGTGGGTAGATGAGCAGTAAGAACACTAGGGGGGTGCTAAGCAGGTGAAAGATGATTTTATTCAGCAGCAACTCTCATCAGCAGCTTTCTTACACTAGCTCTCTACACTGCTCGCCTTTATCTTTGTGCCTGCTCCGGCTCTGTGGCTCCTGCCGCCCCCACTCCTGCAGCTGTATGGCCGGCTCTCCCTTAGCTTCAGGGTCAGCAGCTTAACTCTTTCTCTCTTTGGGCACGAGCCAGCCCAGCTGTGTCCTGGCTCCCCTCTGTCCATCTGCAAAGACAGACAGCTCTGAATCTCTCTCTCTTTCTCTGGGTGCCCGTGCCTGCAGTGTCAGGCATTAGCCACCACACCCAGGCATATGATTTTATATACGTGAAACATCCAGAATAGGCAAATCTACAGAGACAGAAAGTAGTATATTAGCAACTTCCCAGGGCTGGAGGAATGTTTGGCAGGTGTGGAGGGGAGTGACTGCTAAGGCTATGTGTGAGGGCAATTATACCTTTTACAGACAATAGTGGCATAGAGCCAAGGGATGGCCTTCCCATGTTATGGCTACATGGCTGTGTTAACAAGTGGAGTTACACGGCTGCGCTCTGAACTTGCTGAGTCACACAAGATGTAAACATCCTACCTCAGCCTACCCTTGACCGAAGCACAGCCATGTTCCTTACACATACCCTTAGCAGTCACTCTCCTCCACACCTCCCAAACATTCCTCCAGCCCTGGGAAGCTGCTAAGGTACTACTTTCTGTCTCTATGGATTTGCCTATTATGGGTGTTTCATGTAAATAGAATATGGCTGAGTGTGGCAGCTAATGCCTGTAATCACAGAATTTTGGGAGGCCAAGATGGGGGGAATCACCTGAGGTCAGCTGTTTGAGACCAGCCTGGCCAACATGGCGAAACCTCATCTCTACCAAAAAAAAAAAAAAAAAAAAAAAATTAGCCGGGCGTGGTGGTGGGCACCTATAATCCCAGCTACTCGGAAGGCTGAGGCAAATCAGTTGAACCCAGGAGGCAGAGGTTGCAGTGAGCCGAGATCGTGCCACTGCACTCCAGCCTGGGTGACAGAGTGAGATGCTGTCTCAAAAAATGTAAATAAATAAATAAATAGAATCATACAATACATGCTCTTTTGTGGCTGGCTTCTTTTACTTAGTGTAATTCTCAAGGTTCATCCATGTTTTAGCACATATCAGTACTTCATACCTTTTTTTTTTTTTTTTTTTTTTGAGACGGAGTCTCACTCTGTTGCCCAGGCTGGAGTGCAGTGGTGTGATCTTGGCTCACTGCAACCTCCACTTCCCTGGTTCAAGCAATTCTACCACCTCAGCCTCTGGAGTAACTGGGATTACAGGCACACACCACTATGCCTGGTTAATTTTTGTATTTTTAGTTTCACATGTTGGAGAGGTTGGTTTCAAACTCTTGGCCTCAAGTGATCTGCCATCCTCGGCCTCCCAAAGTGCTGGGATTACAGGCGTGAGCCACTGCGCCTGGCCAATACTTCATTACTTTTTGCTGAAAAATACTCTGATGTGTGGATATACCACATATTATTTATCCATTCATCCATCAGCTTTTATTTCTTGACTATTATGAATGATATTGCTTTAAATATTTGTGTAGAAGTTTTTGTGAGAATGTGTTTTCTGTTATCTGGAGTATATACCTAAGAGTGGAATTCTTACAGCAAATAGCTACTTTGTTTCACTTTTTGAGGAGCTGCCAGACTATTTTCTAAAGCAGATGCACCATTTTACATTCCAAGCAGCAAAATATGAGGGTTCTAATCTCTCCACATCTTTGTGAACACTTGTTATTATCTGACTTTTGATAATAGTCATCTTAGTAGGTGTGAAGTGGTATCTCACTGTGATTTTGATTTGCATTTCCCAAGTGGCTAATAATGTTGAGTACCATTTCATGTGCTTTTTGATGATTTATTTATCATCTTTGGAGAAATGTCCATTCAGATCCTTTGCCCCTTTTCAAATTAGTTTACTTATCCTTTTATGACTGAGTTGTAGAAGTTCTTTATATATTCTAAATACAATTCCCTTATCAGATACATAATTTGAAAACATTTTCTTCCATTCTGTGGGTTTTCATTTTCTTGATAGTTGTCTTCACTTCCTTTGAAGCACATTTTTTTTTATTCTGATGATGTCCTTTTTATCTTTTCTTGGTCACTTTTGTTTTTGGTGTCACATCTAAGACAGCTTTGCCTAACCCAAGATCATTCCTATGTTTTCTCCTGAAAATTTCAACTTTAGTTCTTACATGTTTTTAGGTCTGTTATCCATTTTGAGTTAATTTCTGTGCATTATATAAGGAAAGGGCCCAGCTTTATTCTCTTGCGTGTGGATATCCAGTTGTCCTAGAACATTTATCAAAGAAGACTGTTCTTTGCCCATTGACTTGTCTTGGCATCTTGCATATAATTTTGTGTCATGTTTTTGCATAAAATTTTAGGAACATTTCTCTATGGTTTTAGATATAGTTCCCTATTTTAAATGAGTTTAAGTCCCTTGGTAGATGTACTTTCCTACCTGCTCTCAAGAGTTATTTTAGAAAAACTGCCCTCCCCACCACTTGCACTGAAATAGAAGCCCTGTACAAATCATGTGACCTCATATTTCTCCATCACAACTGACTGGACTAAGGAGTGGGGGTTTTAGGGAGGACTCCAACTTACACACTTAAAACCACTGGAAAGACAGAAGCAGGAAAAGGCAGATGTTAGCTTTATTACTGATAAAGAATTGGAAAATATGACTCTAGAACTTTGGCCAAAGCAGCTTTCTAGCATTTTCTCTCACTCCTGCCCTAAGTCAAGACCTTGTAAAAGCCAACCTGGGTGAAACTTTGATTTTGTAAAGCACAGATCCGGGGTAAAGAAAGAAGCCAAAAGAGCAGTAATCTGGTGCTTGTAGTCCCACTTGAGAAATATAGACAAATGAATGTCACCTCTACGGGGAAAAATAATAAGAGGGGAAGAAGCAAGGACTACTAGTCCAGTGTAGTCATTCTCTAACTTTAGCATGCATCAGAATCAACAGGAGAGATTGCTCTGAAAATTTACTTTTATAACTTTTTATTTTGAAAGGATTTTAAATTTATAGAAAAGTTGCAAAAATAGTTCCCATATACTCTCCATTCAGCTTTTCCTAAGCAGAGTACAGTTACCAACAATAGAAAACTAATATTGATGCAATATATTAGTCAGCTCAGGCTGCCATGACAAAATATCATAGAGTGGATGGTTAAACAACAGAAATTTATTTCTCACAAATTTAGGAGTCTGAGCAGTCCAAGATCAAGGTGCTGGCAGATTCAGTTCCTGGTGACGTTTCCCTTCCTGTCTTGTGGTTGCTGCTTTATTACTGTGTCCTAATATGGCAGAAAGAGACTGCTTTGATCTCTGGCTCATCCTTTGAGGGTATCAATCCTATCAGAGACCGCACTCTTATGACCTCATTTAACCTAATAACTTCCTAAAATCCTGTCTCTCAATACAGTCATACTGAGAATTAGGGCTTCATTCAACATATACATTTGTGGTGACAAATTCAGTCCATAGCATTCTGCTCCAGCTCCCTGCAAATTCATGTCCTTCTCATATATATAACACTTTCATTCCATCCTAACAGCCCCCAGAGTCTTAACTAATTCCAGCATCAATTCTAATGTCTAAAGTCCAAAAGTTCATTAAATCAGATATGAATGAGACTAGAGGCAAAATTCTTCTCCAGCTGTGAATCTGTAAAACTAGACAAGTTATGTTCTAAAATATGGTGATAAGCAGACATAGAAAAAACATTCACATTCTAGAAGGGAGAAATAGGAAAAAAAAAGACATAACGGACCCCAAGCAAATCCAAAACTTAGTAAGGCATATTCCATTAGATCTTAAAGCTCAAGAAACAATCATCTTTGGCTTAATGCCCTGCCCTCTGGGCCACTTGGGATGGCAGCATCTCCTCCAGAAATCTTGGCTGGAGTCATTCTAACAGGTTCAAATTTGGCAATGTGTACTTCCCTAAAAAAAAAAAAAATCTATTTCACCTAGGTTTTGAAATGTATTTCCATAGCTGTCTGCAATGTATCTTATTTTTAATTTCTGTGGTTGTCTCTCCATTTTATTTCTTATTTTACATATTATGATTTCTCCCCCTTTTCTCTTTCCAGGTAGGTTAGTGGCTTGTCTATTATTTTTTAAAAAAATAGATTTGATTTGTTGATTAGGTCTGTGGTTTCATTATTTTCTGCCTCGTTGATTTATACTTTTATTTCTTCCTTGGTTCTTTCTTTTGTTTTGTTGTTTTTTTCTATTTTTTCATCTGGTACTTAACTAATTTATTTTCATTCTTTTACTTCACTATAGCATTTGATAGAAATGTTCAGTGCTATAAAGTTTACTCTGATCATGACTTTAAATGTGTTTCATAGATTTTTAGTATGTTGTTATATCAGTCTGTTCTCACGTTGCTAATAAAAACATACCTGAGACTGGGTAATTTATAAAAGAAAGAGATTTAGTGGACTCACAGTTCCACAGGCTGGGGAGGCCTCACAATCATGGCAGAAGGCAAAGGAAAAGCAAAAGCACATTGTACATGGCTATAGGGAAGAAGAAAGAGCATGTGCAGGGGAACTCCCCTTTGTAAGACCATCAGATCTCGTGAGACTTACTCACTATCACAACAACAGCACAGGAAAGACCTACCCTCATGGTTCAATTACCTCCTACTGGGTCCCTCCCATGACATGTGGGATTTTTTCTTTTCTTTTTCTTTTTCTTTTTTTTTTTTTTTTGATACAGTCCCACTCTGTCATCCAGGCTGGAGTGCAGTGGCACGACCTTGGCTCACTGCAACCTCTGTCTCTGAGGTTCAAGCGATTCTCCTGCCTTAGCCTCCCGAGTAGCTGGACTACAGGCTTGTGCCACTATGCCTGGCTAATTGTTTTTGTATTTTTAGTAGAGATGGGGTTTCATCCTGTTAACCAGAATGGTCTCAATCTCCTGACCTCATGATCTGCCCGCCTTGGCCTCCCAAAGTGTTGGGATTACAGGCGTGAGCCACTGCCTCAGCGACGTGGGATTTATGGGAGCTACAATTCAAGATTTGGGTGGGGACACTGCCAAAGCATATTAGTAGTGTTTTCATTTTATATTATTAAAATTTTGTAATTTTAGTTTGAAGAATTAATAGAAGTGTTTAAAATTTCTAGATTTAAGAGCTGTCATGTTGTTAGTAATCTCTAACTTTGTCATACTGTAATCAGAGAGTGGTGTTTGAAATATTTGTACTGTAAGAAACAATGATTTTAAAAAATCTAATATGTGGTTAATTCTTATAAATGTTCCATGAACGCTTCATAAGGTGCATTCTCTATTATCAGGTGTAGAAATTGACATAGACCTGTAAGATCTACCTTGCTGGTTATGTTGCTTATGCCTTATACTTTTTGTTCATTTGATTTGACTTGTACTGTGAATGGTATATTTGAGTCTACTATTTTTAGTGGGTTTCCACTTATTTCTCCTTGTATCTACTGTATTTTTTGCTTAATGAAAATAGTTGGTGTGTTATTTGGTGCACAATTATTCACAAATTTTAGATGTTTGTAAATTGTCAATTTAGTATTAAAAAATGCACTTGTCATCTGTTTTGGCTTGAATTCTATTTTGACATCAGGACTATTTTCCTCATTTCTTTTTCTTTCCATTTGCCTTTATAGCTTTGTCTACCACTTATTTTTCAGCTTAATTTTTTTAGGTTTGGTTCTTGTATCAAAAATATAGTTGGGATTTATTTTATGAGCCAAATTGGGATGCTTTTAAAGTTAATATGTAGGTTAAGCCTGTTCACTTTTATTGATCTAATATGTTTGATTTTAGATTTTTTAGTCATATATATTTATTTTATTTCCAGTATTTTTTCCTCCACAATATTTGTGTCCTTTGCCTTTATTTTTCTAAAAAAAATGTTTAGTAATGTTTGCATTTTTGTTCTAGTTTTATATTTAAATGCACTTAGCCTATTGTTTTACTATTTAATATTTTCTTATCTGGTTTATCAGTTTTTGTTGATATCTTTTAAGTCCTACCTATTGCCTAAATATCAATCAATTATTTTCTATTATTTCTATTATGGAGGGGAGAGTTTTTATTTTTATGGGAGTGGGGTGGAGGTGGGTAGTGTTACTGACATCTAGTGAATAAAGGCTGGGAATACTGCTAAACATCTTATGATTTATAAACAGCTCCAAAAACAAAACAGAATTATCCTCCTAAAATGTCAATAGGCCCAAAGTTGAGAAGCCCTAGCATGTATTCTATTTTGTAAAGAGCTTACCATCAGACCTTTTGCTGAAGTTTTCTTAATCATCTTCTGGTTGGGTAAACCTCATCCTTTGTAGACTACATCATGCAGAATTCCTCAAGTTCTTCTATGTCATCAATTGTTTCATGTCGTTAAGTACTTGTTTGAGAATATTTAATTCCATTTGGACTATTGTTTTACAGTTTTCTTCTGTTTTGTGGTCAATTTTTATGAGGAGAAAGGGGAATTTCCCTTAGTATGTGTATTGACATTTCTTGTCTGACTTTTTGTAATACCTCTGTATGAATGTGTTAGTTTTAATTTTAATTAATTTTTTGTGGTATTGGGTGTTTTACAAGAGTCCTAGCTTAATAATTCCTCTTCTATGAGATATTTTGATAGATTTTGTATGTTTTGTGGTAAAAGAGGGATTATGAAGTGTCTGTGTGTTTTACCTTTTGAGTTACAGAACTCAGTTTTTCTTCTTTGCTTTTTTCTAATATCAAAGGATACTTGTTTCTTCTTTTTCTCACCTATAATTTATAAGTTTGAAGACTGAACCTTCAAATTGCACATACTTTTAAGTCTTTCACCCTGTAGTCTGTGCTCTGATCTACCTGGATAATTTCTTAATAATTTTGGACTGAAAGTAGACAGTCTCTCTCGTGGTGTATTTAGTTCGAACCAGGTCTCCTTCTCTGGCTTTTGTTTTCTGTCTTCCCTGAAGTCTTTCTTAGTTTTTCTTTGCATGGCCAAAACCCTGCTGTGTAGCAGGGGTAGAGTGGGAGTCAGAAATAGTGGACTGAGATTTGGCCATTTTTCATTTTTTATTTACAGTTATTTTGAAGTTTGGGCATTCGCTTAAAGTTATACTGAGGGCATGACTTGTGGAGACTTTTTAGTATTCCATATTGTTTTCTGGAGGGAATATTAGGAGATAGAAAGATAGGTATCCCCATCATCCTCAGGAACCTGGAAGTTCTAGAGGGTTTGTCCAAACAGGCTGAAATACTGGTTATTAAAACACTCCTAGAGTTTCTGAGTCAGTAGGTCTGGGTTGGGCCTGAGGAATTTGCACTTTTAACAAGGTCTCAGGCAATATTTGATTCTGCCGTTCTTGGAACCACACATTGAAAAACCACTTGTTTGGTACAAAAGCAGCCACTTGGAAAAGTAAAACAAGAGGAAAGGATTATTTCCCATTTCACAGGGGTGTGCACCTGACCTAAGGAGGATAGGTGATGCTTAAGCCGATTGCCTCCTTCTGAACTGGCTTTAGAAAAACATATGTCTGATGAAATTATCTTAGAAACTTAAACTATGACATTGTGGTAAGAAGAGATGAAGCCATCGCCATAAAAAAGAATGAGTTCATGTCCTTTGCAGGGCCTTGGATGAAGCTGGGAGCCATCATTCTCAGCTAACTGACACAGGAACAGAAAACCAAACACCACATGTTCTCACTCATACGTGGGAGTTGAACAATGAGAAGACATGGACACAGGGAGGGGAACATCACATACTGGGGCCTGTCGGTGGGTAGGGGGTAAGGGGAGGGAGAGCATTAGAACAAATAACTAATGTATGCAGGACTTAAAACCTAGATGACAGGTTGATAGGTGCAGCAAACCACAATGGCACATGTATACCTATGTAACAAACCTGCACGTTCAGTACATGCATCCCAGAACTTAAAGTAAAATAAAAATAAATAAATAAATGAAAAATAAATAGAAGAAATGAAGCCAAGATAGTAACTAGAGGTGGAGTCATGGCTGTAAGGTCATGAGTGTGATAAGGTGCTATCACAGCTCAAAGTTTGAGAAACCAGACATAGAGACAAAGAAGAGAAGTAGAGACTGAGACAAGTACATATTTCAAAAGAGTGATAAAGTCCATGAAGAAAATAAAAGAGGGTTACATAATTAAATGAGTGGTAAAGATATAGGGTTGGGCAGTAAGGCAGACAGCATGAAATTTACATAAATAAAAAAGTCTTCTCTGAGGAGGTGATATCTGTGCTGAGTACTGAATGATGAGCTGCAGTGAACTATGCAAAAATCAAGGGAAGAGATTTCCAGAGGGAATACCAAGTGTAGATGCCCCAAAGTAGGATGTAAATAATAAGAATGCAGCTTTGAACCACATCTTCATAGCTCTAGACACTGAAACACCTCTTTCCCACCAGTTCTTGCTTGAAAAATATGGGAGCAGAACACCTAATGCATTGATTTGGTTCACGTGCTCATCATTACACAAATGGTGGCCAGGAGGTATGGCCTATAAACTGAAGGAGAGGGAAGAGTCATGGAAACAGCCACTAGGGATGTGATGGGAGCCAGATAGCCACCCATATGTATTCCTTATGATTTTGCAACCTTTGTGCTAAAATTGCACAGCTTTTCATCCTCCCAATTTACAAGATATGGAAAAAGTAGAATAGTCATATTAAGAACTCCAATGTAGAAAAAGGGATTGTGGAAAGCAACATCTAGTACCATATCCTGTGGTTTAGTCTGTTTGTGCTGCTATTACAGAATACCTGAGACTGGATAATTTATAAAAACAGAAATTTACTTTCTCACAGTTTCAGAGGCTGGAGAGTCCAAGATGTAGGCCTGGCAGGTTTAACTGTCTGATGAGGGCTGCATACTCTGGAGGGAAAGAACCCTGTATCCTTACATGGTAGAAGGGCTGTGCTGCAAGAAGCCTCTTTTATAAGAGCCTTAATCCCATTCACAAAGGAGAAGCCCTCATGAAAGGCCTAATCACTTCTTAAAGGCCATCATTATTGGCACCCATCATATTGGCAACGCCTGAATTTTAGAGGGGATACATTCAAATCACAGCATCCTGCTTTCTAGGAAAAGCACAGAATCCTTGATGAGGTAACCTGGCCACCCCAAAATTTGTTCTTTGGAATAATTTCTTTTGTCCATTATCTGTTATGGCTAATAAAGCATACTGAAAGGGCTTTTGTATTAGGGACCATTCCCCTTTATTTTTGGCACAATTGTGGAAACCCGGGGTTTGCTGGAAAAAAGGTGAAAATTACGGACCTCAGAATGTGGTCCTGACTGAGCCAGTGAAAAACAGAAAAACGGAGAGAAGACATCAGCTATGATTAATTTACCTCTGTCATGGGGCCCAGTCCTATGAAAGCAAACCTTGGATTCATCTAAGCAAAAGCTATGCTGCTAATAGTCTGGAATATCATATCAGTTGAAATCTGTGATACGATAAAGAAGAGAATAGAATCATTTCTTAAGTATTCGTAACTTAGCCATTATGGATTTACTATTCATGAACATTTTTTCTCTTTTCAGTCTGGATATAGATTATACCTGGTGAAATTTTTTAAAAAAAACTTTGTAAAGGAATCTTTTTTTCCTGACCAAGTTTAATTGATTTTTCACTTATAATTCTAGGGGGAAAATATTAGCAATTTAGGATTCTATGAAAAGGAAGAGAGAAAATAATCTACAAAATTTGATTATGGTAAGGATGAATAAAGATCTATTTCTGGATAAGTTTTGTAAATCATATATAATGTGAAGCTGACATACATATGTAAAGTTAATCCAGGAATCCACACTAATAAATAAGTAAATATCAGTAGCATGCCTCAGACACCTAAAAATATTTTCTTTCCATGTAGCTATTTTATTTAGATAGCATTCACTAATTCTGACACTTAAGTACTCCTATTTATCTTTCTCTAGTCCAGTGATTTTTAAAATTTTTAGACATATTTTATAATAAAATGCTACATGAACTCCATATATAAAAGCATATTTCATTAGTTTATTTCACATTTAAATATTATATAAATTCAAATTCATAACATAAAGCTAATCAGCAAGCAGTCAAGTTAATATATTGGTCATCTTCAATGTGATGTTCCTGTAACACATTTGAATGCACATATTTTATTTTGAATTCAGGTTTTAAAATAGTTTGAAATAAAGTAAAAGATGAGGTTAGAATAATTCGTGGAACCTGTAAAACACCTTTGAGGAATAAATATAGTTAGAAAGCCCTGTCTATTTCAGTTAGTAAGTTTCTGTGAAGCAGAAGTTGTACTAGTTTAGTTTCCTTGTCATATAAAAAATTGTCTTCCTATAGTTCCTTTAAGTGTATAGTGTTTTAGAGCTATTAACTCACTTGTAAATATTATCCTGGTTAGGCAAATGACTCTAGAAGCCATCAATGGTTGTTTCTAATAGATGCCCAGTAAACAATAGTCATAGGTTCTATCTTATTTCCCTTTGAGACATGCTTCTTGGAAATTTGCCAGCATGGAGATTACTGTTTTCAACAGTCCATCTCTGTAATCCTGTTTAATATTAACTTAGAAGAGAGTATATTTAATAACCTTTGTGAACAAACCCACTTATCCATGTTTATATGAAAAACTGGAACTCTGGGTGGTAGGTGTGTGTAAGGAAATATTTGAACAACCATTGATAGAATGAAAAAGCAAAACATTAATAGCCTTCTGATCTCAAAAGACTTGGAGACTCCTTGGGCAAGCATATTAGACAACTAAATAGTTGCAACATTTTTACTCTGATTTTTTTCCAAAAAGGGCTGATTGTAAAATGACTAATACAATGCAATGAAATACACATGATTTAAGAATGGCTTAAGTATTAGAACACCTGGGTTAGAGTCCAAATTAGCTCTTGACCTCCATAAACCATTTAATTTCTATGGGCACCCTTCATTTGCATAATCAGATTGTTTAACAATCTGTGGGGCTCGATGGGAATCACCTGAGAATTCTTTAAAGATGCTGATTCCTGGGCTCCATCCTACACCAAACAAATCAAATTTCTAAAGCCAAAGCCAGAATTTGGTACTTAATACATCTTTTCCTAGGTAAATCTGGTGTACAGACCAGTTAGGGAATCATCGTTCAAGATAGAATCTAGTTGGTCTCTAATGCCCTCTTCATTAAGTCTCTTCTAATCTTTCAGCTCAGTGTTTCTCAGACTTTAGGGCACATCAGAATCACCAGGAGGACGTGTTCAATACAGCTGTTGGGCCACAGCCTCACAATTTGCATATCTAACAAGTTTGCAGATGATGTTGATCCTACTGATTCTTTAAGAATCACCATTCTAGTCCTTAGCTAACACAGATCTGTTCCATGAGGTACAAGTGGGCATATACACATTCTACTTAGAAACACAGAGGTCTTCAGCTTGCAAGTAACCTTTTGGGATCATCTTCTAAACACTTAATTTTACAGCAGAAGTAATCTGAGACCCAGAGAATTGAAATAATTGACAAGGCCATGGTTAAACACTGTGCAGATTTTAGAATCATAGTCCCCTGACCCCCAGTTCTGAATCCTTTCCAATGCTTAGGAGAAGGGAAAGGAAGAATTCCTGCTCCCTAAATAATCTTATTAGTAAATGATTATTAATAAATGTTTGTTTGTTTGTTTGTTTTTTGAGATGGAGTCTTGCTCTGTCACCCAGGCTGGAGTGCAGTGGCACAAATTTGGGTCATTGCAAACTCTGCCTCCTGGATTCAAGAGATTCTCCTGCCTCAGCCCCCTGAGTAGCTGGGACTACAAGCATATGCCACCATGCCCAGCTAATTATTGTATATTTGTAGAGACGGGGTTTTGCCATGTTGGCCAGGCTGGTCTCAAATTTCTAACCTCAAGTGATCCACGTGCCTCGGCCTCCCAAGTTGCTAGGATTATAGGCCTGAGCCACCATGTCCGGCAGGTAGCTGCCATTTAATGAGTGCTTACAGGTATCAGAGACTGCTTTAGATACTTCATCAGAGTTGAAGCTAAAACTTATTGAGGTCTTGTTAAGTGCTCAGCACTGCCCTAAGTGGCTGCACATGTATTAATCCATTTAACCTTCCCAACAATTTTGAGGTAAGTAATATTAACATTCCTATCTCAGAGAAGAAGAACTAAAGCAGGGGAGGTCAAATAACTTGCCCAAAGCCAGAGATTCAAACTCAGGAACTCCACCAATATGTTCTGTTGTCTCCCTTTCTTTTAATCCTCACAACAATCACAAGATCATTATTATTATCTCTTCTTTTACAGATCAGAGGACAAGGTCAGAGAGTGTACAAATTGCTTCTAATAACTTGCTTTCTAATAAAGTAGTGAAGATAGTGGTTGGATCCAGGGTTGACTAACTTCAAAATCCTGGCTTTTTCTACTTGGCCAGCTCCTTAATCTATTCACATCCCCATCAAGGTTAGAATCAGGTAGGTTATAACAATCTCTCAAGCTGGACTTGTCTGCTTATCTTTGAGCATAAGAGCTAACATCTCACCTTTCCATTTTCCAGTAGCAATTACACTAGAAAATGGTATGAACAGAGCATTGTGGATAAGTAATTTTCTTCCTCCTGTTCATTATCTTTACCTATTAAAGCTTTCCCAGAACATCTGTCCTCCTGTCCAGCTTCTTTGGGCCATGTGTCTGACATAGCTCGAGGGTGAGGTCATATTGACTTGATGGCTTTGTTTTGCTTCAGAGGTTCTTCTCCTTTCCTAACTAAGATTGGACCTGCATTATTTACCAACAGTAAGAGGCTTGCTATTTATTAAATGGCTACTATATTCTTGGAACTGTGCTGAGCATTACTGAGATAGAAAATACTAACACCTTACCCATATTGTCTTTACAGTCTTGTTTTCTGGTTGGGAAACAGAAATTAACTTGCAAAACACAGTGAGATAATCTATTAAAAAGGGTCAGGTATCCAGTATAGAAAATAAGAGCCAAAGAATTTGAGAACTGAGAGATGATATAGTTGAAATTATCTGAAAAGGCTGTGTGGAGGCTTCTGAAATTGATGAAATAGCTAAAATAGATGGTGTCAGTAGTTATAAGCTTTGGAAGAAAAAGAATCCATAGAGGGGAAGGGGAAGAAAGGTCGTTGAGGAAGGAAAAATGTGACCACAATGGGGACTGGTAGACTAAGGCAAACGCTTCCATATCACATAGTTTAGGCATGAAGTAGGCTTTGTTGGGAAACTTACATGAGCAAAAATATCACCAAAATACGATGCATGGCTGTATGGAAGATGCACCTAACAGCAATTAATGTAAACATACCTTGAGAATGATCCTATGGTCTAGGAAGAATGTCTGATTAGAGTTCTGAGCTAAGGAAACTGGGAATGGCCAACCTGGAGAATCATTCCTTATCTGTGAGGAACAGCTAAACCCCAGCCCACCTTGTGGAATGTAGGCCATACAAGGGATTGAGGTCGTTTGTTTTGGGTTAAATGAAGTTTGTCAGGTGAAGGTTTCTAGGGGTGGGTTGCTAAGTGAAAATGCTGTATAAACTGCATGCTTTTTACAAAGGGTAGTGCCTCTCCTATCCAACCTGCGGTCACTGATCCACTCTGTATGGAAGTCCCCTAAATAAATTTTATTTCCTTCACTGGCTTCAGGTCTCTTTGGCTTTTCAAACATGTTGCCACCCCTATTGAAATCAATAAGGATCTGGCATGGCAATGGCCCCATATCTTATTGCCATTCTGCAGAGAGGTATGATTGATGTATTTACGATAACTGCCAAGAAGGGTTTCACGAGCAGGAGAAAAACTGTCTGAACTTGGGGAGTCGCTCATTGTTGGGAGACAATTTTTTATGTGTCTCTTGCATTTCTGCACATCTTACAAAGTGACGTATTGACTGGCCTTTGTTCAAACTATCTTTTTAAGGATGTTTATGTTAGCAAACACCTTAGAAAATATAGTGTCTCAGGCCACGCATGGTGGCTCATGCCTGTAATCTCAGCACTTTGGGAGGCCAAGGCGGGTGGATCACAAGGTCAGGAGATTGAGACCATCCTGACTAACACAGTGAAACCCTGTCTCTACTGAAAACACAAAAAATTAGCTGGGCGTGGTGGCAGGCACCTGTAGTCTCAGCTACTCAGGAGGCTGAGGCAGGAAAACGGCATGAAC